>NC_000002.12:99004769-99307799 GCF_000001405.40 Homo sapiens
GAATCCTCCCTAACTCATTTTATGAGGCCAGCATCATCCTGATACCAAAGGCTGGCAGAGACACAACAAAAAAAGAGAATTTTAGACCAATATCCTTGATGAACACTGATGCAAAACTCCTCAATAAAATACTCACAAACCAAATCCAGCAGCACATCAAAAAGCTTATCCACCATCATCAAGTGGGCTTCATCCCTGGGATGCAAGGCTGGTTCAACATATGCAAATCAATAAATGTAATCCAGCATATAAACAGAACCAAAGACAAAAACCACATGATTATCTCAATAGAGGCAGAAAAGGCCTTTGACAAAATTCAACAACGCTTCATGCTAAAAACTCTCAATAAATTAGGTATTGATGGGACGTATCTCAAAATAATAAGAGCTACTTATGACAAACCCACAGCCAGTATCATACTGAATGGGCAAAAACTGGAAGCATTCCCTTGAAGACTGGCACAAGACAGGGATGCCCTCTCTCACCACTCTTATTCAACATTCTGTTGGAAGTGCTGACCAGGGCAATTAGGCAGGAGAAAGAAACAAAGGGTATTCAAATAGGAAAAGAGGAAGTCAAATTGGCCCTGTTTGCAGAAGACATGATTGTATATCTAGAAAACCCCATTGTCTCAGCCCAAAATCTCCTTAAGCTGATAGGCAACTTCAGCAAAGTCTCAGGATACAAAATCAATGTGCAAAAATCACAAGCATTCTTATACACCAATAACAGACAGACAGAGAGCCAAATCATGAGTGAACTCCCATTCACAACTGCTTCAAAGAGAATAAAATACCTAGGAATCCAACTTACAAGGGATATGAAGGACCTCTTCAAGGACAACTACAAACCACTGCTCAATGAAATAAAAGAGGATACAAACAAATGGAAGAACATTCCATGCTCATGGGTAGGAAGAATCAATATCGTGAAAATGGCCATACTGCCCAAGGTAATTTATAGATTTAATGCCATCCCCATCAAGCTACCAATGACTTTCTTCACAGAATTGGAAAAAACTACTTTAAAGTTCATATGGAACCAAAAAAGAGCCCGCATTGCCAAGGCAATCCTAAGTCAAAAGAACAAAGCTGGAGGCATCACGTTACCTGACTTCAAACTATACTACAAGGCTACAGTAACCAAAACAGCATGGTACTGGTACCAAAACAGAGATATAGATCAATGGAACAGAACAGAGCCCTCAGAAATAATGCCGCATATCTACAACCATCTGATCTTTGACAAACCTGACAAAAACAAGAAATGGGGAAAGGATTCCCTATTTAATAAATGATGCTGGGAAAACTGGCTAGCTGTATGTAGAAAGCTGAAACTGGATCCCTTCCTTACACCTTATACAAAAATTAATTCAAGATGGATTAAAGACTTACATGTTTGACCTAAAACCATAAAAACCTTAGAAGAAAACCTAGGCAATACCGTTCAGGACATAGGCATGGGCAAGGACTTCATGTCTAAAACACCAAAAGCAATGGCAACAAAAGCCAAAATTGACAAATGGGATCTAATTAAACTAAAGAGCTTCTGCACAGCAAAAGAAACTACCATCAGAGTGAACAGGCAACCAACAGAATGGGAGAATATTTTTGCAATCTACTCATCTGACAAAGGGCTAATATCCAGAATCTACAATGAACTCAAACGAATTTACAAGAAAAAAAACAAACAACCCCATCAAAAAGTGGGTGAAGGATATGAACAGATACTTCTCAAAAGAAGACATTTATGCAGCCAAAAGACACATGAAAAAATGCTCATCATCACTGGCCATCAGAGAAATGCAAATCAAAACCACAATGAGATACCATCTCACACCAGTTATAATGGCGATCATTAAAGAGTCAGGAAACAACAGGTGCTGGAGAGGATGTGGAGAAATAGGAACACTTTTACACGGTTGGTGGGACTGTAAACTAGTTCAACCATTGTGGAAGTCAGTGTGGCGATTCCTCAGGGATCTAGAACTAGAAATACCATTTGACCCAGCCATCCCATTACTGGGTATATACCCAAAGGATTATAAATCATGCTATTACAAAGACACATGCACACGTATGTTTATTGTGGCACTATTCACAATAGCAAAGACTTGGAACCAACACAAATGTCCATCAATGATAGACTGGATTAAGAAAACGTGGCATATATACACCATGGAATACTATGCAGCCATAAAAAATGAGCTTATGTCCTTTGTAGGGACATGGATGAAGCTGGAAACCATCATTCTGAGCAAACTATCACAATGACAGAAAACCAAACACCGCATGTTCTCACTCATAGGTGGGAATTGAACAATGAGAACATTTGGACACAGGAAGGGGAGCATCATACACTGGGGCCTGTTGTGGGGTGGGAGGAGGGGGGAGGGATAGCATTAGGAGGAATACCTAATGTAAATGACGAGTTAATGGGTGCAGCACAGCAACATGGCACATGTATACATATGTAACAAACCTGCACATTGTGCACATGCACCCTAGATCTTAAAGTATAAGAATAAATAATAAAAAAGAGTGTAAATTTCTCAAAAAAATTCACAATGACTCATAAAGCAAAACTCAAATCCATACTGTATATAAGAGATATATTTAAAATGCAGTTACTCAAAAAAGTTAAAAATATTTACCATGTAAATAGAAACAACAAGAAAATAGGAGTGGCAACACTAATACCAGACAAAGTAGAGTTCAGCAAAAGAAAAAAATCTAAATGCATCAGAAAAGGACACTTTATAAAAGCCACATTCCATGATGAAGAATGACAGTTCAGAATATCAATGCAACAAATAAAACAGCAAACCACCTATATAAAGCAAAATTTAGAGGATATGGAAAAAGCAATTAAAACATACTAATAATAGGAGACTTTAGAACACCACTCTTGATATAAAACAGGTCAGATGAACAAATATTAAACAGTGATATAAAAGATCTGCAAAAAATGAAAAAGTGGAGGTATTTACACCACAGAAATTGGCAAGTGCTACAGATCAGGGCCTCCCCCTCCTCTCTTTGGAAAGCCAGTTTACCAGCACACCACTGAGCTATCCCTACAGAATTAAAAATACCACATAGCCTCTATAATTAAATAGTGTGGGACTGCACATGAATAGGCAGATCAATGGAATAGAAATAGAAAGTCCAAAAAGAGATCTGAATGACTGGGACAAAGAGTCTTTTAAATCAATGATCTTGCAACTTGATAGTCAGTTGGAAAAAGATAAAATTAGATCCATTTCTCAAACCATACATAAAATAAACTCCAAATGAATCAGATATCTAAATGCAAAAAGTAAAAATATACAAGTACTAAAAGAAAACATTCCTCTACTATCTGGGGAGAGAGAAAGATTTGCTAACTGTGAATAGAAATCCAGATGCATTAAAGGAAAAGCTTTAAAATCTGACTACACAAAAATAAAAACTTTATAGAGAAAAAGGCAATACAGTAAGATTAAAAGACAAATGACAAAAAAGTGAGAAAATATTGGTAGCATATATCACCAATAAAGAGATAATTTCTGAAATGTACTAAAAATTTTTTTAACAAAAAGATCTAAAGTCCATTAGAAAAATAGACGAAGAAATGAATAGCTAATTCCCAAAAAGAGATATAATAATAGCCCTTAAACCTATGAAAAGATATTCAACTTCACTCACAATAAGAGAAATGCAAATTAAAGCTACACTGAAATACCATTTCTCATCCACCACAGTGGCACAAATTCAAAAGCTTGACAGTGTGTTCTATTAGTGACGCTGTGGGGAAACAGTACTTTCACACATTGCTGAAGGGACTGCAAAATGGAGGGGAATGTGGCACTGTCTAACAAAACTACATGTGTATTTACCCATTGACCCAGCAATCCCACTTCTAGGAATTTATTCTGAAGATACTGCAACATGAGAATACATATGTACAAGATTATTCATTACAGCCTTGTTTGTAATTGCAAATTATTGGAAACTACCTAAATGTCCAAGTTTAGGAGGTGGGTTGCATAACTATGGTACATCCATACACTGGAGTAGTGTGCACCTGAAAAAAAGGACTAAGGAGAATCTCTATGAATCAATATGGAGAGATTTCCAGGAGATAGTGTTAAGTGAGAAAAGCAAAGTGCAAAGAAGCATGCAACTTTTTGCATAAACAAAGAAAGATATGTATCTGTGTATCATTAGCACAAAACCACAAAGAAAGGGGGTGGAGGCATGGCTGATGGGATGGAAGGCATAAAGAGAAAGTGACACTTCTCTTAGTATTATTTTTTGCAGAGTGTTGACCTTCAAAAGCATGCTAATCTACATATTCAAAAATAAAATTAAGTTGAGGAAAAAACTAGGAAGTGGAAATATGAAAAATGAAAGCAAATTGAAACAAATGAATCCAATGTTACTTACAATGAATACCATGACCAAAATAAAAGATGGAAAAAAATTAATCCAAATAAGTTACAAACTCAGTATTTAACTAAATGCTCTCAAGACTTGGGCAAGGTAGCATACAGGCCTAAGAAGGAAGAACTGCAAACAGATTCTGAGCTTTTAAAAAGTTGGCCTGTTCAGGAGATCGAGACCATCCTGGCTAACACGGTGAAAACCCCGTCTCTACTAAAAATACAAAAAATTAGCCGGGCATTGTGGCAGGTGCCTGTAGTCCCAGCTACTCAGGAGGCTGTGGCAGGAGAATGGCGTGAACCTGGGAGGCGGAGCTTGCAGTGAGCCGAGATCGCACCACTGCACTCCAGCCTGGGTGACAGAGCGAGACCCTGTCTCAAAAAAAAAAAAAAAAAAAAAAAAAAAGTTGGCCTGTTTATTGTGGTGACATCGGTGAAGAAATTTTGAAACTATTGTAGATGCATTCTGGGATTGAGCAAATTAGTAACTACATTGATATTGTTGAGTAAACATGTTAATGTTGAGCCAAGGTTCTCACTGTAGAAGAAAGAACATATATATAAGTAATGGAAGAAAGCAAGGATGAAACCTGTGGGCATGGTTTGGAGTTTTGTTTATATTTTTAAATGAGCCTCTGTGAGTGTGTGTGCAAGTGTGTGTGTCTGTGAAGAAACATGCAAGCATGTGAGCACATGAGCCACCACATGTGTATATAAGAAAACAAATGGGGTAAAATTTTTTAAATAGTGAGTATGGGTAAAGGGCATGTAGATGTTCTTTGTATTCTTATTTTTGTAACTTTTTGAAAGGTTGAAATTGTTTCCAAATAAAAAGTTTTTATGAAATTTGTGATACATAGAAATATATCTAAAATATTTTCCTCTAAAAAACAAGCTGATTACTTTCCTAGAACATATAAATTTTGTGGTGCTATAACAACCAATGTTTTGTAATTAAATGAAAGAAGTTAATGTAGAAATAAAAAGGAAATCAAACTCTTAAAATACAATTTATGGGGCAGATGGAGTATGGCAGATAGGAGACAGGTCTAACGTGCAGCTCCCACATGGAAGGACAGAACAGTGTTAGAGACTCATATTGTGATCTTTTGCTCCAAGATTCACTGTAGGAATATACCAGGAAAACCAAAAGAATTCACATATCCTTCGAAAGAAGTGGCATGCTGCTGCCAATTCCATGAAACAGGTGAAAAACTGTGAGTTCCCAAAGTGTGAGAGGGAAGAAAACCTACCTCCGAACACGTCCCCACTGGGGAATCTAAAAATCCACATCACGGGAGAAAAATTTAACCTTATCTAGAGATGAAAGAGATTTATGGAGTCACGTAAAGTATAAAAGTAGAAGTAGCAGCAGGAAGTGCCTTGCACACACTCCCAGTCTCCAGCTCAAGCCCAGGGAAGCCAGCAATGGCTTCTCACAGGTGTCCTTGGGAAGGCAGCCAGCAGAATTGGGGAGGGGTCACAGAGTGAAGGAAGCTCCCAACTGAAATTGGTAGTGGTTTTGACTGGGCACAAATTTTCTTGAGCAGAGTCCAGGGGACGAGTGGAAGCTGCTGCAGATAGGAGCCAGGGCAAGAATAGCCAGACAGGGAAGGGCCAGGTTCAAATGCTGTGCTTGCTTTTTCAGTGGGGTAGCTCACGGCCTGGGGCAAAATCTGAGCAAGGCACTGCAGGAGCGAGGCTGGCCTTGCCAACTACATGGGAGCTGGGCAAGGCCTCTTGCTACTGGCTATTCCCCACTTCTCTGGCAAACTGTATGATACAGCAGAGGTGGCCAAGATCCCCTCTATAACATAAGCCCATTGGCCTGAGAACCATACCCCCATCCCCCAAGGTGGCCGTGGCAAGCCCTGCCCAAGTAGAGTCTGAGCCCAGACCCACCTAACCCTGCCCCGACCTAAAGTGATGCATCACTTTCCTGTCACCTCTACTAGAGCAGGTACTGGTATCCATGCTGTTGCCAGGCTGTAGTACGGTGGTGCAATCTCTGCTCACTGCAACCTCCGACACCCGGGTTCAAGCGATTCTCCTGCCTCAGCCTCCCAAGTAGCTGGGATTACAGGCATGTGCCACCCACCTGGCTAATTTTTGTATTTTCAGTAGAGACGGGATTTCGCCATGTTGGCCAGGCTGGTCTTGAACTCCTGACTTCAAGTGATCTGCCCACCTCGGCCTCCCAAAGTGCTGGGATTACAGGCATTAGCCACCATGCCCGGCCAAAGACAGGTCTTTAGAATTAGCCCAATCAGACAAAGACAAAAAAGAATTTTAAAAAATGAACAAATCCTCCAAGAAATTTGGGATTATGTTAAATGGCCAAACCTAAGAATAACTAGTGTTCCTGAGGAAGAAAAGAAATCTAAAAGTTTAGAAAACTTATTTGAGGGAATAATTGAGGAAAGCCTCCCTGACCTTGCTGGACCTCCTCCCTGACCTTTAAATGTGCCTCTGCAAGTATGTGTGTGTGCAAGTGTGTGTGTGTCTGTGAAGAAACATGCAAGCATGTGAGCACATGAGCCACCACATGTGTATATAAGAAAACAAATGGGGTAAAATTTTTTAAATAATGAGTATGGGTAAAGGGTTTGGAGATCTAGACCTCCAAACACAAGAAGCTCAAAGAACACCTGGGAAATTCATTGCAAAAAGATCATCACCTAGGCACAAAGTCATCAGGATACCCAAAGTCAAGACAAAGGAAAGAATCTTAAGACCTGTGAGACAAAAGCATCAAGATAAACTATAAAGGAAAACCTATCACATTAACACCAGATTTCTCAGCAGAAACCCTACAAGCCAGAAGGGATTGGGGTCCCATCTTTAGCCTTATGAAACAGCCAAGAATTTTGTATCCAGCAAAACTAAGCTACATAATGAAGGAAAGATAAAGTCATTTTCAGACATGCTGAGAGAATTTGCCACTACTAAACCAGCACTACAAGAACTGTTTAAAGGAGTTCTAAATCTTGAAACAAAACCTCAAAATACATCAAAATAGAAGCTCCTTATGACATAAATCTCACAGGGCCCATAAAACAATAACACAATGGGGGAAGAAAACACCAAAACAAGGTATTAAGGCAACAACTAATGTGATGAACAGAACAATACCTAACATCTTAATACTAATGTTGAATGTAAAGAGCCTAAATAGTCCACTTAAAAGATACGGAATGGCAGAATGGATAAAAATTCACTGACTAAGTATCTGCTATCTTCAAGAGACTCACCTAACACATAAGGACTCACATAAACTTAAGGTTAAAGGGTGGAAAAAGATATTCCACGCAAATGGAAAGTGAGCAAGAGTAGCTATTCTTATATCAGACAAAACAGACTTTAAAGCAACATCAGTAAAAAAAAGAAAAAGAGGGACATTATATAATGATAAAAGGAATAGTCCAAAAGGAAAATATTGCAATTCTAAATGTATATGCACCTAACACTGGAGCTCTCAAATTTAGAAAACAATGACTATTAGACCCAGGAAATGAGATGCACAGCAACACAATAATAGTGGGAGACTTCAATACTCCACTGACAGCACTAGACAGGTCATCAATACAGAAAGTCAAAGAAACAATGAACTTAAACTATACCCTAGAACAAACGGACTTAACAGGTATTTACAGAACATTCTACCCAACAACTGCAGAATATAAATTCTTTTCTTCAGCACATGGAACAATCTCCAAGATTGAACATATGATAGGACACAAAGCAAGTCTCAATAAATTTAAGAAAATCAGATTTATATAAAGTATCTTCTTTTTTAACTTATCTTTTGTAATTTTTTTGTCTCATTTTCATTGAGTTCTGCTCTGATCTTTGTTATTTCTTTTCTTCTGCTGGGTTTAGGTTTGGTTTGTTCTTGTTTCTCTAGTTCCTTCAGGTGTGACCTTAGAGTGTCTATTTGTGCTCTTTCAAACTTTCTGATGTAGGCACTAAATGCTATGAACTTTTCTTAGTACTACTTTTGGTGTATCCCAGAGGTTTTGATAAGTTGTGTTTCACTATTACCTCTCAGTTCAAAGAAGTTTTTAATTTCCATCTTGATTTCACTGTTGACCCAAAGATCACTTAAGATCAGATGATGATGATGATGATGACAATAATAATAATAATTATTAATTTTTTTGAGATGTAATCTTCTCTGTTGCTCAGGCTGGAATGCTGTGGCGCAATCTCGGCTCACTGCAAGCTCCACCCCCTGGGTTCACACTATTCTCCTGCCTCAGCCTCCCGAGTGGCTGGGACTACAGGTGCCTGCCACCACGCCCGGCTAATTTTTTGTATTTTTAGTAGAGACGGGTTTTACCATGTTAGCCAGGATGGTCTCAATCTCCTGATGTCGTGATCCGCCTGCCTCCGCCCCCCAAAGTGCTGGGATTACAGGCGTGAGCCACCGCACCCAGCCTGAAGTATCTTCTTAAACCACAGTGGAATGCAACTGGAAATTACCTCCAAAAGGAACCCTCAAAACTATAAAAATACATGGACATTAAATAATCTGCTCTTGAGGCTGGCTGCGGGGGCTCATGCCTGTAATCCCAGCATTTTGGGAGGCGAAGACAGGCGGATCACTTGAGGTCAGGAGTTCAAAATCAGCCTGGCCAACATGGTGAAACCCTGTCTCTACTAAAAATACAAAAATTAAGGCTGGGCGCAGTGCCTCATGCCTGTAATCCCAGCACTTTGGGAGACTGAGGCAGGCAGATCACCTGAGGTCAGGAGTTCAAGACCAGCCTGGACAACATGGTGAAACCCTGACTCTACTAAAAACACAAAAAAATTAGCCAGGCATGGTAGCAGACGTCTGTAATCTCAGCTACTTGGGAGTCTGAGGCACAAGAATCGCTTGAACCTGGGAGATGGAGGTTGCAGTGAACCGAGATTGTGCCATTGCACTCCAGCCTGGGCAACAGAGCGAGACTCTGTCTCAAAAAAATAAATAAATAAATAAAAATAAAAATAAGCCCGGCATTGTGACGCATGCCTGTATTCCCAGCTACTTGGGAGGTTGAGGCAGGAGAACTGCTTGAACCTGAGGAGCAGAGGTTGCAGTGAGCCGAGATCATGCCACTGCACTCCAGCCTGAGCAACAGAGCAAGATTCCATCTCAAAAAAATTAATAATAATTATCATCATCATCATCATCATCTGATCTTGAGTGATCTTTGGGTCAACAATGAAATCAAGATGGAAATTAAAAACTTCTTTGAACTGAGAGGTAATAGTGAAACACAACTTATCAAAACATCTGGGATACACCAAAAGTAGTACTAAGAGAAAAGTTCATAGCATTTAGTGCCTACATCAGAAAGTTTGAAAGAGCACAAATAGACACTCTAAGGTCACACCTGAAGGAACTAGAGAAACAAGAACAAACCAAACCTAAACCCAGCAGAAGAAAAGAAATAACAAAGATCAGAGCAGAATTAAATGAAAATGAGACAAAAAAATTACAAAAGATAAATCAAACAAAAAGCTGGTTCTTTGAAAAGATAAACAAAATTGATAGACCACTAGCGAGATTAACCAAGAAAAGAAGAGAGAAGATCCAAATTAGCTCAATGAGAAATGAAACAGGAGATATTACAACCAATACCACAGAAATACAAAAGATCATTCGAGGCTACTATGAACACCTTTACACATACAAACTAGAAAATCTAGAGGAGATGGATAAATTCCTGGAGATATACAACTCTCCCAGATTAAATCAGGAAGACATAGAAACTCTGAACAGACCAGTAAGAAGTAGAGAGATTAAAACAGTAATAAAAAAATTGCCAATAAAAAAAGTCCAGGACCAGATGGATTCACAGCTGAATTCCATCAGACAGTCAAAGAAGAATTGGAACCAATCCTATAGAACACTACTGCACAAGATAGAGAAAGACGGAATCCTCCCTAAATCATCCTATGAAGCCAGTATCACCCTAATTCCAAAGCTAGGAAAGGACATAACAAAAAGTGAAAACTATAGACCAATATCCCTGATGAACATAGATGCAGAAGTCCTAAACATCAAATTTGCTAACTGAATCCAACAGCATATCAAAAAGATAATACACCATGACCAAGTGAGTTGCATACCAGGTATGCAGCAATGGTTTAACATATGCAAGTCAAAAAATGTGACAGATCACATAAACAAACTTAAAAACAAAAATCATGTGATCATCTTAATAGATGCAGAAAAAGCATTTGACAAAATCCAGCATCCCTTTATGGTTAAAACCCTCAGCAAAATTGGTATAGGAGGGACACACACTTCACATAGATAGGTAATAAAAGCTATCTATGACACACCCACAGCCAACATTATACTGAATGGGGACAGTTGAAAGCATTCCCCCTGAGAACTGGAACAAGACAAGGATGCCCACTTTCATCGCTTCTATTCAACATAGTATCTGAAGTCCTAGACAGAGCGATCACACAAGAGAAACAAATAAAGGGCACCTAAATCAGTAGAGTCAAACTATCACTGTTCACTGACGATATGATCATATACCTAGAAAACCCTACAGACTCATCCAAAAAGCTCCCAGATCTGATAAATGAATTCAGTAAAGTTTCAGGATACAAAATTAATGTGCACAAATCAGTAGCACTGCTATACACCAACAGCAATCAAGCTGAGAAACAAATCAATAACTCAACTCCTTTTACAATGGCAGCAAAAAACAAACAAACAAACAAAAACACCAACTTAGGAATATACCTAATCAAGGTGGTGAAAGAATTCTACAAGGAAAACTACAAAACACTGCTGAAAGAAGTCACTGATGACACAAACAAATGGAAACACATCCCATGCTCATGGAGAATCAATATTGTAAAAATGACCATACTGCCAAAAGCAATATGCAAATTCAGTGCAGTTCCAATCAAAGTACCATAATCATTCTTCACAGAACTAGGAAAACAATCCTAAAATTCATATGGAACCTCAAAAGACCCCACATAGCAAGACTAAGCAAAAAGAACAAATCTGGAGGCATCACATTACCTGACTTCAAACTATACTACAAGACTATAGTTATCAAAACAGCATGGTACTGATATAAAAATAGGCACATAGACCAATGAAACAGAATAGAGAACCCAGAAATGAAGCCAAATACTTACAGCCAACTGATTTTTGACAAAGCAAACAAAAACATAAAGTGGGGAAAGGACATCTTATTCAACAAATGGTGCTGGGATAATTGGGAAGCCACATGTAGAGGAATGAAACTGGATCCTCATCTCTCACCTTATAAAAAATCAACTCAAGATGATCAAAGACCTAAATCTAACATCTGAAACCATAAAAATTCTAGAAGATAACATTGGTAAAAGTCTTCTGAACTTTGGCTTAGGCAAAGATTTCATGACCAAGAACCCAAAAGCAAATGAAACAAAAACAAATATAAATAGATGGGACTTAATTAAACTAAAAAGCTTCTGCACAGCAAAAGAAATAATCAGCAGAGTAAACAGACAACCCACAGAGTGGGAGAAAATCTTCCCAAACGTGCATCCAGCAAAGGACTAATATCTGGAATCTACAAGGAAGTCAAACAATCAGCAAGAAAAAACAAAACAAAACATAATCCCATCAAAAAGTGGGCTAAGGACATGAATAAACAATTCTCAAAAGAATATATACAAATGCCCAACAAACATATGAAAAGATGCTCATCATCACTAATTATCAGGGAAATGCAAATTAATACCACAATGAGATACCTACCTTACTCCTGCAAGAATGGCCATAATTAAAAAATCAAAAAGCATAGATGTTGGCATAGATGTGGTGAAAAGGGAATGTTTTCATTTACACTGCTGGTGGAAATGGAAACTAGTACAACCACTAAGGAAAACAGTACAGAGATTCCATTTAGAACTAAAAGTATAACTACCATTTGATCCATCTATCCAACTACTGGGTATCTATTCAGAGGAAAAAAAGTCATTATATGAAAAAGATACTTGCACACGCATGTTTGTAGCAGCATAATTTGCAATTGCAAAAATATGGAACCAGCCTAAATGCCCATTGACCAACAAGTGGATAAAGAAAATGTGGTATAAATACACCAGGGAATACTACTCAGCCATAAAAAGGAACGAAATAATGGCATTCATAGCAACCTGGATGGAGTTGGAGACCATTATTCTAAGGGAAGTAACTCAGGAATGGAAAACCAAATATCATATGTTCTCACTTTAAGTGAGAGTTAAGCTATGAGGATGAAAGTTATAAGAATGATACATTGGGCCGGGCGCGGTGGCTCACGCCTGTAATCCCAGCACTTTGGGAGGCCGAGGCAGGCGGATCACGAGGTCAGGAGATCGAGACCATCCCGGCTAAAACGGTGAAACCCCGTCTCTACTAAAAATACAAAAAATTAGCCGGGCGTAGTGGCGGGCGCCTGTAGTCCCAGCTACTTGGGAGGCTGAGGCAGGAGAATGGCGTGAACCCGGGAGGCGGAGCTTGCAGTGAGCCGAGATCCCGCCACTGCACTCCAGCCTGGACGACAGAGAGAGACTCCGTCTCAAAAAAAAAAAAAAAAAGAATGATACATTGGACTTTGGGGATTCAGGGGGAAGGATGGGAGAAGAGTGAGGAATAAAGGAGTACACAATGGGTACAGTGCACACTGTTTGGGTGTTGGATGCACCAAAATCTCAAAAATTACTGCTAAGGAACTTATCGGTGTAACAAAAAACCACCTGTTCCCCCAAAACCATGGAAATAAAAAAATATATAATTTATGCAAACAGATAAAATATTAGACCTTTCACTTTAGTATAATATATATAATTCTAATTTAATTATCAAAATCCTGTATTTTATATCAATATATCTTGGTAATCATGTTTAAATATCACTATTAAAGATAGACTATTGAGTTTCCTTATTACCCCAAATGTTCACTATACTAGATACTGCTATTTGATCTCAAGAGAATGGATCCTTAAATAGACTCACTCTTCTAATGATCGATCTAGGCCTCGGTCAGGAGATCGATGGTGAGCACGTTCTGGTGAATGACATTTTGTATTTGGCTTCATTGTAGAACTCATATGATAAGCATTACTTGAATAATTTTGGCGGCGAAGTTCTTGTACGGCCCTCTCCCTAAAGCAAAATAGTGATGCTTTAAATTTTATATCCAGCAAAATTATTAAAACTATCATAAAACTAGCTCAATTCATACTTGAAAATCTAACCATCATGAAAGAACTAAAACCTCTTGTTACCTAAGAAACAATGCTTTCCATGCTGAAAAGCATTGTTTTTGAGCTTGCATAGAGATAAACTTACCTTTCAAAGCGCTCTGTTCCTAGTTGTCTTTTGGTAATGTCTAAATCAGCTTCCAATTGTGTGACAACATTTCTGAACTGGGCCACATCTCTACTCTGGATGGCCCTGTTTAAAAGAAGATAAGAGTTATAGTTGACTAAACTTAAAATATGGCTATGATTCTGGGGTACATGAAACCATATTGATAGTGGTTTCTCAGCTGGATCCAAATCACATTGTGATTTTTATGGCCAGATTTATTAGTACATCTAAAATATGCCCATGTTAGACATAGTAAGTATGCAGAGTAGCCTACTTGAAAAGCCTAAGCAATCCCAGTCCCATTTAATTAGTTAATCCTTCTCTGTTTCAGCTTCCCTGTGGGAACATATTATACATCATCTGTCTATACTACTTACTATAAATTGTTTTTTATGTAAGTACTTAGAGGTATTCTATAAAGTAGTGGTATGATCAAATAATTAACACCGGAATTCACTAGCTCCATGATTAATATGGTCTGTTTTATATATATCTATTCAACCAAGTGCCTTATAATGAAATTTGACATACACAATCTTCAATTTAATAGAATCTTCCTTAAGGCTAAAAAATGCCTCAAAAAACCTGTAATAAGGCACAATATCATAGGGAAGATAAACATTGATGAATGCCACTCACACAGAACATTCTATCCTCTTCACTTGCTTTCAGGATAGTATCATAGACTGCTGAAATCTAAACTTTAGAGACTAATAACAAACACTTCTCATGCTAATTCTAAGTGTTAGTATTTACCAGCCAGTCTAAAACAGAGTATAGCCCTTAGGGTGGAAGTTTTGGCGTATTTCACAAAAGGTAGATTTCCACCTACCATCCTGAGAAAGTGATCCTGCAAAACCTGTTGAAGGAATCATAATAGGCTAGCTACAGTAATGGAAAAGAAGGACTCAGTCACCGCCACTATAACCTGAAAACAGTTTCTGAAGGAAACTGGCCCTGGCTCTGAAGCCCTTGCCTAGTCAGGGGCTCCTAGGAGTGGCTGATTGCTGAGACCATGCTTCTTATCCTTCCCCATGTCCTGACCTCAGATGTGAGGACAGAGTGGAGGCTGGATGAAAAGTGTTACAGATGGGACAGGTAAGAACAGGGGTTAAGGGTCCCCCATCAGTTTTTATGAGAGATGATCAAGTTTAATAGAAAAAAAATTCACTATACAGGGAGGCAATTCCACCCAATTCTCCAGCCAAATGTCTTTTAATAAGGTGCTAGGAGTGCTAGAGATCCTAAAGAAAAGAAAAAGAAAGAAAAGAAGCCAAAATCAATGTCCTGGGAAGTCTTCTGTATTTTGTGAATGCAGGTGTTCTTCTAGGTATCCAGTACATGCAATAGGTACAAAAGAAAATATGATGTGGCAAATGCAAACACTAGGTTGCAATATATTGGTCTAAATATGAAAATTCTTCTGGTTTCAAACTGGTTAATTTTTTTTCTCATTTTGTTATATTTCCTAAAGGCAGTATTTTAGATCAGACATTCTATCATACTCAAAACTCTGTTGGAAAGAATCAGTAGAGATCATTAAACTTAAATTTAGATAAGAAAAACATAATAGAAAAAGTACCACCTCTTAGGCAAATCACAGTATTTCTGATCCTTAGGCAAAGTATAGAAGGCAAATTCTCTAAATTCTAGCTTAAAATTTCTACTAAAGTACCAAAAAATTAAGATGTATGACTTTACTTTATATTGCTAAACAACTCACATTTTATTTTCTGCCAAACAAAGGTGTTCTTTAAGAAGCTGAATTTCAGATTCTTTTTCTTGAAGTGCTATCTGAGACTGATATTCTTTGTCTCGATTGGCCACCAGCAAAGCTTCTAGATTCTGCATGGAGATTCTCTCATTTGCCATCTGACTCCTCAGGAGTTCAATTTCAGAATGAGCAGAATCTAACTCATTCTCCCTCTGTTCAATAACAAGAAGATATCTACACTTATTCCCATTAATTCACTTAACTATTATATTATCAGGGACTCACAAAATTTTCATAATCTGTTATAAACTGGCAACTACTTTTAATGTGATTTGAAATTGTGTCCCTCCTTCTTACCAAATAAACACACCACACATGTATGTATAGTATCACTTTCTCCATCTCTCTGATCATATCAGAAAATTCATTAATTTAAGAAAAGGCTTATTAATTTCAAACTGCAACCAGTTTCTACTACCAGCTTTGATATTTCTTTATATACTCCTGCAAGACTGACAGGATGATATCTGTGAGCACTGCTTTGTCCTGAGTTAGGTGAGCTACATGCTTATAGAATGTCATTGGACTCCATAATTAAGGAATATAAGGAGTAATCTCTTATATTCTTATATAAAGAGTAATCTCTTATAGTCTCTTAATATAATTAATAATTATATTTAATAATGTAATTAAATATAATTATAATTAATATAAGGAGTAATCTCTTATATTCTCTTGCATAAACTTGTGGAAAGCTTCCTTTAGAAAATTATCTTGAGCCTTAAAATATGCTCAGTGAGACAAATGTTTTTTAAAAAGGAGGAAGAACAGTCACTAGTATTTAGAAAACAATTATTCCTTATCTTGTAATATACATAACAAATTCTATATGCATTTAAAAGTTAAATTTGAAAAGGTAAGCTTTAAATTCCAGTGAAAAGAAATAAAAATGAAATTACATGGAAGGGAGATAGGTAGGTAGGGAAATTTTCTAAGCTAGATACAATGCAAAAAAAAGTTTCATCACATTAAAAAAATAAACATTTTGATAGTCAATATAAACTTAACCAAAATTTGAAAGGAAACAACTGGAAGACAAATAAACTTAGTAAATCAAATTAATAGCTTATATCTCTACTAACATAAAGAACGCATATAAACTGATGAGAAATATGAGCTAAATGATAATGATCAGAAAATTTACAAAAGGAGAAATACAAGTAAATTATAAACGTATGGGGAAAATTTACCCTTACTAGTAATCAAATAAACTAAAACAAGATGCTATTACTAGTTCAGGGCTTCTTACCTCAACATTACTGATGTTTTGGGTTGGATAATTATTTGGAGTGGGGGCAGCACTATGCATTACAGGATGCTTAGCAGTATCCCTGGCCTCTGCCCAATCAACGCCACCAGCATTCCCCACTCTAGTCATGACCACCAAAAATGTCATTACTAAATGCACACTGGGAGCAAACTCTCTTTCAGCTGAACTGGAAAAACTCTACCAAAGACACTGTTCTAGTCTATCTAGTCTATTCTAGTCTATCGCAAATTTGTTAGTTTGTGTTAATGAACATTACATTGGGCAATGGCAATCTCATATACTTTGCTGGCAGGAGTAGAAAATGGACCGTGATTTTTTTGACAATAGCTTTTTTGAAATATAATTCACATGCCATCAATGATTTTTAGCATATTAACACAGTTGTACAATCGTTACCACAATCTAATGTGAGAACTTTTTCATCATCCCAAAAAGAAACTCAAGGTTGGGCATGGTGGCTAACACTTGTAATCCCAGCACTCTGGGAGGCCAAGGTAGGTGGATTGCTTGAGCTCAGGAGTTTGAGACCAGCCTGGGCAACATGGTGAAACTCCATCGCTACAAAAAATTCAAAAACTTAGCCAGGCATGGTGACATAGGCCTGTAGTCCCAGCTACTCAGCAGGCTGAGGTGGGAAATTGCTTGAGCCCAGAAGTTGAGGATACAGTGAGCCAAGATGGCACCACTGCACTCCAGCCTCGGCCACTGAAGGAGACCCTGTCTCAAAAAAAAAAAAAAAAAAAAAAAAAAAACACCCAACACAGAACGTTCTCTGGCCCTAGGCAACCCCTAAACTATTTTCTACTATTTGCCTTATTCTGGGTATTCCATATAAACGGAAACAAACAATGTGTATGCGGTCTTTTGTGACTGGCTTCCTTTATTAGCACAATGTTTTTAAGAGTTATCGATGTTTTAGCAGGATCAAAACTTCATCACTTTTATTGCCTAATAATATTCCATTGCATAGATAAACCACAGCTCTATTCATGAGTTAAAAATATTTGACTTATTATACTTTGGGACTATTATAAATAATATTGCCATAAAAATTTGTATACAAGTTTTTGTATGGACATGTTTTCATTCCTCTTGAATAGATAGAAGTGACATTTATGAGCTGTAAGGCAATCTAATTTTTAACATTTTGAGGAACTGACAAAATGTTTTACAAAGTTGCCTTACTATTTTACATTTCCACCAGCAATGTATGAGGGTTTCACTTTTTCCACATTTTTGTCAACATTTTTTATCTTCTCTCTGATTACAGCCATCCTAGTGGTTGTGAAATAGTATGGTTTTGATTTGCATTTTTCTATTAATGATGTTCAGCATCTTTTCATGTGTTTATTGGCCATTTATGTATCTTATGTAGAGAAATGTCTATTAATATCCTTTGCCTAATTTTTTAGTTGGGTTATTAAGTTTTTTGTTTTTTGAGACAAGGTCTCATTCTGTCACCCAGGCTGGAGTGCAGTGGCATGAAGATGGCTCACTGAAGTAAACCTCCCACCTCAGCCCCTCAAGTCTCTGGGAATACAACTGTGCACCACCACACCTGGTTAATTTTTGTATTTTTTGTAGAGATGGGTTTTTGCCATGTTGCCCAGGCTGGTCTTAAACTCCTGGGCTCAAACGATCCTCCTGTCTAGGCCTCCCAAAGTGCTAGGATTAGAGGCATGAACCACCACTACATATTTTGAATATGAATCTCTTATCAGATATATGGTTTGCAAATGTTTTCTCACATCTTGTGCATCGTCTTGCCACTTTCTTGATGATATCATTTGCAGCACAGAAGGTTTTTTTTTTTATTTTGATCAAGTCTACTTAATCTATTTTTTTTGTTTGTGTTTTTGATGTGTATTTAAGAAAGTGCTGCCTAACCCAAGGTCACAAAGATTTACTTCTGTGTTTTCTTCTTAATACAGTTTTGGCTGTTACATATAGCCCTATGATTCATTTTCAGTTAATCTTTGCATGTGATCCAACTTCATTCTTTTCCACATAGATATTAGGTTGTCCCAACGCCATTTGCTAAAAATACTATTCTTTCCTCATTGAATTGTCCTAGCACCTGTATTTTGAAAAATCATTTGGGCACAAATGTATAAACCATTTCTGGACTCTGAATTCTGTTCCATCAACCTCTATGTCTTTCCTTATGCTAGTACCACATTGTCTTGATTACTTCAGTTTTGCAGCCAGTTTTGAAATCAGGGAAGTGTGATTCTCCAACTTTCTTTTTCTTTTTCAAGATTGTTTTGGCTATTCACTTGCACTTCCATATGAATTTTAGATCAGTTTGACAATTTCTACAAGACACCTGGGATTCTGATAAGCATTGCATTAAATTTGTGGATCAGTTTTGGGAGTAATGCCATCTTAACAATGATAAGTGTTCTGGCCCATGAACATGGGATGTGTTTCCATTTATTTAGGTCTCCTTTAATTTCTGTTGACAATGTTCTGTAGTTTTGTAAAGTACAAGTATTTGTCTTTTTTTTTTTAGACAGAGTCTTGCTCTGTCACCAGGCAGAGTGCAGTGGCATAATCTTGGCTCACTGCAACCTCTGACTCCCTGGTTCAAGCGATTCTCCTGCCTCGGCCTCCCAAGTAGCTGGGATTACAGGCACGTGCCATCACACCCAGCTAATTTTTGTATTTTTAGTAGAGATGGGGTTTCACCATGTTAGCCAGGATGGTCTTGATCTCCTGACCTCATGATCTGCCCACCTCGGCCTCCCAAAGTGCTGGGATTACAGGCATAAGCCACCGCGTCTGGCCGTATTTGTCCTTTTTTAATGCTACCCTTTTTGATGCAATTCCGTTTGATATAATTTTTTTTTCAGATTGTTCATTGTTAATGTATAGAAATAAGAAATATGATAACTGGATATTGATCTTGTGTCCTACAACCCTGATGCTCATTAATTCTAATACGTTTTTAGTGGATTCTTAGGATTTTCTATATTTCAGATCATGTCACCTGCGAACAGAGATAGTTTTACTTCTTTTCCAATCTGGATGCCTTTTATTTCTTTTTCTTGCCTAACTGCCCTGCCTAGAACCTCTGCTACAGTGTTGAATAGAAAAGGCAAGGTGGGCATTCTTGTCTTGATACTGATCTTAGGGCAAAATCATTCAATCACCACTAAGTACAGTGTTTGCTGTGGGTTTTTCACAGGTGCCCTTTATGAGGTCAAGAAAGTTTCTATTTCTAGTTTATAGAGTGTTTTTATCAGGCAAGAATGTTGGATTTTGCCAAATGCTTTTTCTGCATCCATTGAGAAGGCTGTGTGGTTTTCGTTCTTGATTCTGTTGATATGATGATGTATTAATTGATTTTTCAGTTGTTAAACCAACCCAGCATTCATGGAATAAACCTTACTAGATGGTGTAAATTTCGTTTTATGTGTTGTTGGATTCAGTGTTATAGTATTTTCTCGAGAATTTTTCATCTGTATTCATAAGAGATAATGGTCTGCAGTTTTATTTTCCTGTGAGGTGTTTGTCTGGCTTTGGCCTCAGGGCAATAATGGCTTCATAGAATGCATTAAGAAGTGTTGTCTTCTACTTTTGGAAGAGTTTGCAAAAATGCTGGATCAATGCATCTTGAATCATTTGGAAGAATTCACAACTGAAGCCATCTGGGCCTCAGTATTACTTTATGGAAGTTTAAAAATTTCTATTTTCACCTCTTTAGGTTACAGGTTTATTCAGATTTTCTACTTTTCCTTAAGTCAGTTTTAATAGTTTGTGTTTTTCTGGAAATTTGTTGATTTCATCTAAGCATTTAATTTTTGGCATTCAGTTGTTCATGATATTCCCCTATGATACTTTTTTTATAAGGTTAGTAGTGATGTCCCTTCTCTTATTCCCGATTTTAGTAATTTGGCTCTGTCACTTTGCTAAAGATTTGTCAATTTTGTTGGTATTCTGAAAGAACAAGCTTGTGGCTTCTTTGATTCTTGATTGTTTTCACTTAGTTTCTGTTCTAATCTTGATTATTATTTTCATTCTTCTTGCTGTGGGTTTAGTTTGTTCCCTTTTTCCAGTGTTCTAAGTGGAAGGCTAGGTTAGTGACTTAAGAGTTTTCTTCTTTTTTAATATAGATAGGCATTTATAGCTATAAATTTCCCTCTAAGTACTGCTTTAGCTGCATCCTATATGTTTTGACACAGTACATATTCATTTTCACTAATCTCAGAGTATTTTCTTTTTTTCCTTTGTGATTTCTTCTTTGACTCACCACTATTTGGGAATGTGCTGCTCAATTTTCATATACTTGTGAATTTACAAAATATTCTTCTTTTATCAATCCCTAACAATTCCATTGTGATGGGAAAACATATTTTGCATAAGTTCAATCCTTTTAAATCTATTGAGGCTTATATTATGGCCTAATGTATGATCTATTCTGGAGGATCTTCCATGTTGAGAAGACTATGTATTCTACTGTTTTTGGAAGAGTGTTTTATAAATTTATGTTAATGCCAATTTGGTTTTTGTGTTGTTGAAATCTTATATTTCCTTGTTGATGTTCTGCCTAGCTGCTCTCTTCATTATTGAAAGTGGGGTATTGACATCTGCAACTATTACTGTTGAACTGTTTATTTACAGCTCAATACAGAAATGTTATTCCTACATAGCTGTTTTTCTTCCTTTTCTCACTAGTGATATTAGTCTTACACTTACATCTATATATGTCACAAGCCCAATGATATATTGTTACAATTATTACTTTTAAATGTTATAGCTTTTAAAGAAGTTGATAGAAGAAAGGACAACAAAAATATACAGTCAGACTTAGTAGCTCTTTTTTTTTTTTATTTTTGAGATGGAGTCTCACTCTGCCACCCAGGCTGGAGTGCAGTGGCATGATCTCGGCTCACTGTAAGCTCTGCCTCCCAGGTTCATGCCATTCTCCTGCCTCAGCCTCCCAAGTAGCTGCGACTACAAGCACCTGCCACCACGCCTGGCTAATTTTTTTGTATTTTTTTTAGTAGAGACAGGGTTTCACCGTGTTAGCCAGGATGGTCTCGATCTCCTGACCTCGTGATCTGCCCGCCTCAGCCTCCCAAAGTGCTGGGATTATAGGCATGAGCCACCACGCCCGGCCCAAAGCAGCTCTTTTAAATATGTTCAAAGAAATAAAGGAAGTCATACTTAAGGAGGTAAAGTAAGGCCATAAATGGATGAATTGATAAAGAAAACGTGGTATATATACAAAATGGAATACTATACAGCAGCGGTCCCCAACCTTTTTGTCACCAGGAACTGGTTTCATGGAAGACAATTTTTCCATGGACAGCAGTCGGGGTGGGGATGGTTTTGGGATGAAACTGTTCCACCTCAGATCATCAGGCATTAGTTAGATTCTCACAAGGAGTGTGCAACCTAGATCCCTTGCATGCGCAGTTCACAATAGGGTGCACGCTTTTATGAGAATCTAATGCCACTGCTGATCTGACAAGAGGTGGAGCTCAGGCAGTAATGCTCACTCACCCACCGCTCACCTCCTGCTGTGCGGCTAGGACTGGTACCAGTCTGTGGTAACAGGCTATGGGCCCGTACAGGTCTGCGGCCCAAGGGTTGGGAACTCCTACTATACGGCCTTTAAAAAGAAAAAAATTCTGTCATTCATGGCAACCTGGGTGGAATTGGAGGACATCATGCTAAATGAAATAAGCCAGGCAAAGAAAGACAAATACTGTATGATCTTACTTATAAGTGGAATCTAAACAAGCTGACTTTATAGAAACAGAGAGTAGAATGGTGGGAGGAGGAAGGATGGAGAAAGGGGAGATGTTGATCAGAGTCCAAAGTTTTAGTTAGACTGGAGAAATAAGTTTTGGTGATTTATTACATTGCATGGTGACCACAGTTAATAATAATCTACTGTATAATTCAAAATTGCTAAAAGAATAAAATTTTAATGATATCATGCAAAAAATAAGTTGATAAGTTGATTGATATGTTATTAGCTTAATTAAACCTGTCTGCCATACATACATCAAATCTGTCTACATACATAGACCAAAACATCACATTATACTCCATAAATATACATAATTATTATTTGTCAACTAAAAAAAGAAAGAAAAAAGTAAAAGAAGGCCTAATAACAATGTCTCATCAAATAGAGACTAATAATAAGGAAATAATAAGCTGCTCTAAAAGACAGTTTCTTTTGTTTGCTTTATTTTCCTATGGATGGGCTGCATTTTCCTGGCTTTTTGAGGGTTAAATTTTTGTTGTTGAAAACCAGAAATTTTAAATAATATATTGTAGCATCTCTAAATACTGATCCTCCCCATCTTGGGGCTTGTTATGGTTGGCTTATTTCCTTATTTATTTGTCTGGATTGTTTCTATGATGTCTGTTTCCCTTGCGGTATATAGC
The DNA here is from genome assembly GCF_000001405.40 of Homo sapiens. Lineage (NCBI taxonomy): Eukaryota > Metazoa > Chordata > Mammalia > Primates > Hominidae > Homo > Homo sapiens. The sequence continues at coordinate 99,028,006 of NC_000002.12, forward strand.
CTCCGATGTTGCTCCTCAGGGTATGCACATAGTTACCCCGATCCCTTCCCATGGGCATTTACACAGTCATTCTAGCCCCTCCCGCTAGGATGCAATGGATTTAGCCAGGCTCTCTTTGACTGTCTCTCTCTGATCTCCCTGTTAAGTGTCTGGCTGGTCTGTCCCTACTGGTATCAAATCCAACTATTAGCCTCTATTAATTGCTAGCTGACTGTTCTATTTATTTTGATAATCAACTGTGGGTTACCTTGCTTCACAGTCTGATCCAATTACATTTGATCCCTTTGCAGGGGTACTACTTCCCAACCCAAGCGTTGTTGAGGTACGATTGACAAATAAAAATTATATATACTTAAGGAATATAACATGATGTTTTGATACACACATACATTATAGAATGATTGCCACAATTAAGCTAACTAACATATCCATCACCTCTCAACTAGTTACTGTTGTATGTGTGTGTTAAGAACACATGAGATCTATTCACAGCAAGTTTCAAGTATACAGTATATTAACTGTAGTTACCATGCTGTACATTAGATCTCCCAAACTTATTCACCTTGTAACTGAAAATTTGCACCCCTTGTCCAACGTCTCCCTTCTTCCCCTACTCCCCTCACCCCCAGCCCCTCATCACCACCATTCTACTCTCTGTCAAACTCACAGAAGGGGTAGTTTTGAGGCAAGTTTTTGAGGCTTGCTCTGATCCCAGAAGGGCTCTTGTTAGCTGCTGCTGTCCATGGTTCTCTATTCAACTTCTAACTGGTCTATTGTTTCCATTTTTGTTTTCGTGATGTTTCCTCTTAATTGTGAAGCAGTGGCTTTTTGAAAGCTCGTTGGCTGTATGTGCCAAAATTTCCACTTGTGGGAATCCATCTTAAGGATATAATGCAAAATGTGATAAAAGTTTTACGTAAAAAAATTTTCCATGTTGTTTTATACAATAAAAATTTTACATTTTTTATACAGAAATGGTAAAAAGTAGAATAATCCATTTAATATATTATTTTGCAACTATGCAAAAGAACACAAAAATCTGGCCAGGAAAAGAAAAGGCCAGAAGGAAATGTGACAAAATGTCTATAGTGGGAGAAAGTACCTTATTCTAGTTTTAGGTTCTGAAATCCATTGTAGCCTAAGGTGATGACTACATTTTTAAAAATCCTTTGCTTCCTTCAAAAATTATATGAGATTCTCCAAAGCACTTCTCATATTATGCCTAAGGAAATCACCCATAACATAAGCATTCATTAAAAGATGCTAAAGGAAGAATATTTGGAATTCATGTTCTCAAAATTCCTTGAGAAGAGTTAGTTAATAGATATGGTATTAATTTAGAGATAGAAAATCAAGACCAGGGTATATTATATAGTGTGAATTATATATCAACAAATATATCTCAGTAAATGTATTTAAAAAAAAAGAAAAGCAAAGAAAACTAAGACTGAACAAAAGGTCCAGATAGTGCTTTAAACTATTTTTATAGGAGAATGAAGGTGGCAATATAGATATTTTTGACCCTAACTTCTCTTTTCTTATTTAAAATTACCTGAATGATCTCAGGGATGGAAGGCTGGTTCAATATTCAAAAACAATTAATGTGATCTATCATATTAATAGGCTAAATAAGAAAAATCATTGGATCTTATAATTAGATGCTGAAAAAGCATTTGACAAAATTCAATATCAATCTATGATAAAACCTCTTAGAAATATGGGAATAGAGGGGAAATCCCTCTACTTGATAAAGAACAACTGCAAAATACTACAGATAACACTAGTGGTGAAACACTGAATGCTTTCTGCCTAATATTGGGAAGAAGGTAAGATGTCCACTTTCACCATTCTTAACTGACACCGTGCTTAAGTACGAAACAGTGCAAGAAGGCAAGAAAAGGCAAACAGATCAGAAAATAATAAAACTGTTCTTATTTTCAGATATAGTGGTTGTTTACCTAGAAAACCCCATGGAATCTGCAGGAAAACTCCTAGAACTAGTAAGTGGATTTGGCAAGTTCATAGGACACAAGATAAACATTCAAAAATTAAAATTGTTGGCTGGGCACGGTGGCTCATGCCTGTAATCCCAGCACTTTGGGAGGCTGAGGCAGGCAGATAACTTGAGGTCAGGAGTTCGAGACCAGCCTGGGAAATATGGTGAAACCCCGTCTCTACTAAATACACAAAAATTAGCTGGGTGTGTTGGCACATGCCTGTAATCCCAGCTACTCGGGAGGTTGAGGCAGGAGAATCACTTCAACCTGGGAGGTGGAGGTTGCAGTGAGCCAAGATAGTGCCACTGTACTCCAGCCTGGGGGACAGAGCAAGGCTCTGTCTCAAAAAAAATTAAAATTATTGGCTGGGCATGCTGGCTAACGCCTGTAATCCCAGCATTTTGGGAGGCTGGGGCAGGAGGATTGCTTAAGGCCAGAAGTTCGAGACCAGCCTGGGCAACATAGCAAGACCCCATCTCTACAAAAATCAAAATATTAGCCAGGCATGGTGACACATGTCTGTAGTGCCACCTAGCTACTTGGGAGGCTGAGGTGAAAGAATTACTTGAGCCCAGGGGTTCAAGACTGCAGTAATCTGTGTGCCACTGCACTCCAGCCTGGGTGACAGAGTGAGACCCAATCTCTAAAACCAAACCAAAAGAAAACAAAAAACAAAAATCAATTGTACTTCTACATACTAGCAAGGAACACGTTGACAATGACATTAACACTAAAATACCACTTACAATAGCTCAAAAAAAGAATACTTCTTTTTATTTTGTAGGTGGAAATCCAAACATGTACAGAACTTGCATGCTGAAAACTACACAGTTAACAAAAGAAATCAAGGAAAATCTAAATAAGACATACCACGTTCATGAATTGGAGGCCTTAGCATAGTAAAGATGTTAATTCTCCCCAAGTTAATGCAATTTTAATGCAATTCCTATCAAAATTCAAGCAGGATTTTTGAAGATATAAAAAGATTATTCTAAAATTTATGTGAAAAATCAAAGAGATTAGAATACCTAAAACAATTTTGAAAAAAAAAGAATAAAGCAGATGAACCTAAATTAAAGACTTAATATATAACTACAGTAAACAAAATTCTGTGGTATTGGGGGAAAGACAGATACATAGGTAAATGTAAAAGAATAGAAAACCAAGAAATAGACCCACACAAATATACCCAATTGATTTTTCACAAGGGTACAAAATCAATTCAATGGCAGAAAGATAGCTTTTTAAACAAATGGTACAGAAGAAGGTGGATACTCATAGGCCAAAAAAAAAAAAAAAAAAAAAAAAAAGAACCTCTATGTCAACCTCACACTTTACGCAGAATTAACTCAAAATGGGTCACGGAATTAAATGTGAAAAATAAAACTATAAAACATTTAGAATAAGAAGTAGGAAAATCTTTGAGATTTAGAGCTATAGCAAATAATTTTTAGACTTAAAGCCAAAAGCACAATCCATAAAAGGAAAATTTATAAATGCGACTTCATCAAAATTGAAAACTTTTTAATTGAGAAAGACCCTGTTAAGAGAATAAAAACCACAAGCCACATACTTAGTGAAAGAAAATATTTGCAAACCACATGTCTGATAAAGCAGGAGTCCCTAACCCCTGGGCCACAGACTGCTACCAGTCTGTGGTCTGTTAGGAACCAGGCCACACAGCAGGAGGTGAATGGCAGGTGAGCCCGCAAAGCTTCATCTGTATTTACAACTGCTCCCCATTACTCGCATTACTGTCTGAACTCCACCTCCTGTCAGATCTGCAGCAGCATTAGATTCTCATAGGAGTGGAACCCTATTGTGTTCCACAGGCAAGGGATCTCAGTTGTGCACTCTTTAAAGGAATCTAATGCCTGATGATCTGAGGTGGAGCTGAGGCACTGATCTTAGCTCTGGGGAGCTGCTGCAAATATAGATTAACATTAGCAGAGAGGTTTGACTGCACAGAGACCTTAATAAATCAATTGCTTGCAGACTCATATCAAAACCCTATTGCTGAGTGGCAAGTGAAAATTAAGTTGCATCTGGTAGTAGGCTTTATAGTGGCAAGTGAGTTGATGTGCTTCAATTGTACAGTTGCATCTAGTGGCAGGCTTTAAGTCAGAATCTGACACTTATTTTAGTCTGCATGTGGCCTGCCCATTTTTTTATTTACCACTTCCATCCGTGTCTCTTTCCTGCACTGAGTACTTGTCTCAGTCATAGTTTTGGTAAACCCACAAGCTAACCATAGCCAAAATGAGTAAAAAACAAACATCACTAGAGAGCTCCTTTGAAAAGGGCAAAAGACCCAATGATGAGACAGCAGAAGAATCTAAGACTATCAACAAAAGGAACGCTGCATTTAAAAGAAAATACCAAGTCCCACTTAAATTACGGGTTCATTGCAACAGGTAGATTCACATTCTCCAAGTCTACTTTGTATAATATGTAGTGACCGGCTATCCAGTGAAACCATGAAACCTTCAAAACTGCTTTGCCACTTGGAGACCAAGCACCCTGTATTAAAAGACAAGACTTTGGAGTTTCTCAAAAGAAAAAAAATGTGAACACAAAGAACAGAAGCAATTATTAAAGGCCACCACTTCATCAAATGTGTCTCCACTGAGAGCATCATTCTTAGTGGCTAAACACATTGCTAATGCTAAGAAGCCCTTTGCTATTGGTGGAGAGTTGATCCTGCCTACTGATAAGGATAATGTCATAAAATTTTAGGAGAGGCTGAAGTTCAAAAGGTGGCACATGTTCCTCTTTTGGCTAGCACCAATAACTAGATGAATTGATGAAATAACAGAGGATATTGTGAGACAATTGTTAGAGAGGATTAATGAGTCACCGTGGTATGCAATCCAGGTTGACGAGTCTACGGATGTTGACGGCAAGGCAACAATGCTTGTTTCTGTGTGATATATTTTTCAGGAGCATGTGCATGAAGACATGTTATGTGCGCTTTTGTTGCCAACCAACATCACAGTTGCAGACTACTCAAGTCTTTGAATGACTACACATCAGGAAAACTGAATTGGTCATTTTGTGTCAGTATATGAGCAGATGGCAGTGGTTGCCATGGCTGGATAGCTTTCTGATTTCATTACTTGGGTCAAAGAGGTCGCTTCTGAATGTGAGTCTACACACTGTGTCATCTATAGAGAAATGCTGGCTATCCAAAAAATGTCACCTGAACTTAACAACGTTTTGCAGGATGTGATTAAAATTATCAGCCACATTAAAGTACATGCCCTTAACTCATGTCTGTTCGCATAGCTCTGTGAAGAGATGGATGCAGAGCAAACACGTCTTCTCTTATATACAGAAGTGAGATGACTTTCTAAAGGTGTATCACTGGCCAGAGTTTTTGAGTTATGAGAGCAACTTCAGAGATTTCTTTCAGAAAATGTCACCACTGGAAGCACATTTTAGTGACAGAGAATGGGTCTCAAAACTTGCTTACTTGTATGACCTATACAGCCTGCTCAACAAACTCTATCTGTCACTTCAGGGGAGAATGACAACTGTGTTCAAGTTGGCAGATAAAGTGGCTACATTCAAAACTAAACTGCTGTAATCCCAGCACTGGGAGGCTGAGGTGGGCAGATCACTTGAGGTCAGGAGTTCAAGACCAGCCTGGCCAACATGGTGAAATGCTGTCTTACTAAAAATACAAAAATCAGCCAGGTGTGGTGGTGGGCACCTGTAATCCCAGCTACTTGGGAGGCTGAGGCAGGAGAATTGTTTGAACCCGGGAGGCGGAGGCTGCAGTGAGCCAAGATCACGCCACTGCACTCCAGCCTGGGTGACAGAGCGAAACGAAACAAAACAAACAAAAAAAGCCAAACTGGAATTATGGGGGCAACGAGTGAACACTGGGATTTTTGACATTTTTCAAACATTAACAGAGATTTTGAAGGAGGGTGAGCCAGGGCCTTCTTTCTCCCAGTTGGTGTATGATCACCTAGCTCAGCTTTCAAAAGAGTTTGAGCATTACTTCCCAATCACAAAAGACCCCTGAACTTGGAAGGAATGGATCTGCAACCCATTTGTGAATATGCTAGGTGAATTGACTTTATCCATGCTAGAAGAGGATCAACTGCTTGAGAGTGCAAATGATGGTGGCTTTAAAAGTATGTTTGAGACAACTTCAAATCTCCATACATTCTGGATTAAAGTCGAGGAGTTCAAGACCAGCCTGGCCAACATGGTGAAATACTGTCTTACTAAAAATACAAAAATCAGCCAGGTGTGGTGGCGGGCACCTGTAATCCCAGCTACTCGGGAGGCTGAGGCAGGAGAATCGCTTGAACCAGGGAGTCGGAGGTTGCAGTGAGCCGAGATCATGCCACTGCACTCCAGCCTGGCGACAGAGTGAGACTCCATCTCAAAAATAAAAAAAATAAAGGTTCAATAGGGTTTGGTAATAACAGAACTTTAAACATGACCAAAATTTTCCACTATTTCAAATACACTATGCATCTTCTATACATACCCCTTTAAAATTCGGGCTCTATCTCTCCAGCCACTTCCTCCCATGCATGCTACACTAGCCATTACAAAGTACTTATTATTCACTCCATACCCTTGTCTGTGTTGTTTTTCCTTCTGAATGGGATGCCTCATTCCTTTAGAGCTCCTGAGTATCTCCTTGTGTACTCCTCCCTGATATTCCTGGGCTGAATAGAAATTTCCTCTATAAAGCTTTTAGTGTCTCTTATTAATATATCATTCATTACAAATTATTTGTATGTCAATGGGAAGTCCCTGAGGACAGGAACCTATATCTTTTGAATATTATACTCCCTGTGGCAAGTAGAATGTCAGGCACAAAGTAGATACAATCAACTGAGTTACAGTTAAAAGAACCCGGCCAATTAGTAAATAAATTTAGCTTAAAAGAATATCATTAAAGTTACAATTTAGCTAAATAAACCTCAACCTCATGGTTCTTTGCTGATCGCTATGTCAATGTGTTTTATGATTCTGCTGGCTAAAAGTAAATGCAAATTACATGCTCAAAGGAAGAGTTTCTGTTACAGTCTTAAGTTGTCTGGAATACAGCTGTCATAAACTAACCTCTTGGATTTTAAAAATAAAATCTAAGTTCAAAGACATGGATTCATGTAATATTACATAAAAAAGAACTTACTTTTCCAAAATTATACTAACTTTACAGTAATAGCAATTTTAAAGATTTTTAAAATATATTACATACCATTTCTATTTCTTGATCTTTAGCAACCAGCTGTCGATTAAGAAGTTCTTTGCTTGAGTCAAGTTTAATACAGAGTTCCCTAGTAGAAGACAAATCTGCAAGAGCGGACACTTTTTCAAACTGAACCTTCTGAAGCTCCTCTTCCATTTTTACAACAGATTTATGTAAGGTAGAAATCTGGGACTTGTAAGACCTTTCTGCATTTAAGTGCTGTAAGAATAAAATTATATATATGTATGTATACATATATATTAAACTGGAAGGAAACTATAACATGGAAAAATGAAGTGGGGCAAATCTAAGAGTAGTGCACTTAGATTGTATGAAGTTTAAATAATACAGGTGGTAACAATATGTACAAAACAGTCTAAGATAAATTCAGGTTTTGACTTTTTTTTTTTTTACATAAAATTCATGAGCAGGATGGTCAACTGGTCATTCTTTTTAATGTACTTAGGAAAAAAAAACCTTTCCCACTTAAAAGTCTCCAGCCCCAAAACTAGTTGAGATATATCATTTGACCAACAGTTTTACCTATATTAGCCAGTTTCAATTATTTTATAATACAAATGCTATTGTTGTTGTTAAAAACAAAAATGCTAGCCACTGTTTTATTCACAACATCTGTTTTTGAATTCTTGACTGGCATGTCAATTTCAATCATAATGTCATAAAATGAAAACTGATAACTCTTTAACACTTACTAATACCTCTGAGGGAAAGAGACTAAGGGCAAGTATAAATTAAGTATATATCCACATTATAGGAAATAAGAGTGTGTTTTTAAAACTATGAGATTCAAGTTACATAAATGCTTTCGAATGTTCAAGATAATTCCACCCCCACCCTTTTCTTTCAGAAAAATGTCTTATGTAAGTGCACTGCCACCTACAGAGAAGTATTTGTTTGCTATAATGTGAAGACAAGTAGAACTGAGAGGCAAATAAATTTATGTGTTTTTACAAGTGATTTTACAAGTGTAAAGCACTAGAATTTGCTCCCATTATAAGTTATTTGGCCATAATTCACTCCTACTTTCTCTCTATCTCTTCCCTTCCTTCCTCACTCACTCTTTCTTATTCTCCAAGCCAACTTTTTATCCATCCTTCCATCCACCCACCCATTCATCACATATATATTGAATATACTCTATGTTCCAGTCACTGTGGCTAGGTACATATTCGATGGTATGTGGTATCTGCTCTAATGAAACATCCAGACTACTAGAGAAGTCATATATTAATCAAATAATGATACAAATAACTATATAAATACATACAAAGAAAATATAATTAATACCCTAAGAGAAAAAACAAAATGGAATTATATAACATGCTCGATTAAAACCAGAAAAGGCAGAAGAGCAGCTGAAGACTAAACAAACAAATGAACGGGGCAATAAATTAAAGATACTTATAAATATGGGAAATATTAATCCAACTATAATTACTTTAACTGTGACTAATCTATATACCCCAATTAAGACAAATGGTCAGAGTGGATAAGAAAACAAGATCTACTTATTTAGCTACGATAAATTAATATTAATATTCAAATGTTAATGCTAATAAAAGGAAAGTTGGGGTAGCTACATTAATTTCAGACAAAGCAAATTTCAGAGAAAGGAAAATTATCAGTAATAAAGAGAGGGCATGACATAATGATTGTAAAAAGTTAATTTTCAAAGAAGACATAACAATCCTTAATGTGCACATTCCTAACAACAGAGCATGCCAACATACGTAAGCCAAAAAAATTGATAGGATGGCAAGGAGAGATACCCATATCTACTATTCTAGATTACTATTATAGATTATTATTGGAGAATGCAACACCCATGTATCAGTAACTGACAGATCAAGCAGGCAGAAAGTCAGCAAGGATACAATTCAACTGAACAGCGTTATCAATCAATTGGATCTAGATATTTACAGAGTACTTTATCCAAAAACAGCAGAATACACATTCTTTTCAAGCTCACATGCAACATTCACTAAGACAGACTACGTATGCCCTATAAAACACATCTAAACAAACTTAAAAGAGCAAAAATCATACAAAGTATACTCTCAGATCACAATGGAGTTGAACTAGAAATACATTAACAGAAGGATAGTTGGAAAATCCCAAAATATTTAGAAATTTAACAACATACTTCTAAATAACACATAGGTCAAAGAAGAAATCACAAAAAAAATTTAGAATATTTTGAATGAAACAAAAATTAAAATATAACTTACCAAAATTTGTGGCATGTAGTTAAAGCAGTACTTACAAGAAATTTATAGCACTGAGTGCATATATTAGAAAAGAAGGAATATCTAAAATCAATAACCTGGCCGGGTGTGGTGGCTCACGTCTGTAATCCTAGCACTTTGGGAGGCCGAGGCAGGTGGATCGCCTGAGGCCAGGAGTTCGAGACCAGCCTGGCCAACATAATGAAACCCTGTCTCTACTAAAAATACAAAAAATTAGCTGGGTGTGGTGGTGGGTGCCTGTAATCCCAGCTACTCTGGAGCCTGAGGCAGAAGAATCATGTGAATTCAGGAGGCAGAGGTTGCAGTGAGCTGGGATCGCGCCATTGCACTGCCCCTGGTCAACAAGAGCGAAACTCCATCTCAAAAATAAATAAATAAATAAATAAACACAAAAGAAAGAATCTTAAGATCTGTGAGGCAAAAGCATCCAGTAACCTATAAAGAAAAACCTATCAGATTAATAGCAGATTTCTTAGCAGAAACCATACAAGCTAGAAGGGATTGGGGTCCTATCTTTTACCTCCTTAAACAAAACAATTATCAGCCAAGATTTTGTCTCCAGTGAAACTAAGCTTCAAAAATGAAAAAAAAAAAAGTTTTTTTTCAGACAAATGCTGAGAGAAGTTGCCACTACCATGTCAGCACTATGAGAACTGCTGACAGGAGTTCTAAATCTTGAGACAAAACCTTGAAATACACCAAAATAGAATCTCTTTAAAGTATAACTCTCACAAGGCCTATAAAACAATAACACAATTAAAGAAAAACAAAGTATTCAGGCAACAAGTAGCATAATGAATAATAGTACCTCACATCTCAATACTAACATTGAATGTAAATGGTCTAAATGCTCTACCTAAAAGACACAGAATGGCAGAATTGATAAGAATACACTAAATAAGTATCTGATGTCTTCAAGAGACTCACCTAACACATAAGGACTCATACAAACTTAAGTAAAGGGGTGGAAAAACATATTCCATACAAAATGAAAACCAAAAGCGAGCAGGAGTAGCTATTCTTATATCAGACAAAGCAAACTTTAAAGCAACAACAGTTAAAAAAGACAAAGAGGGACATTATATAATGATAAAAGGAAGAGTCTAACAGGAAAATCTCACAGTTCTAAATATTTATGCATCTAACATTGGAGCTCCCAAATTTATAAGCAATTACTACTAGACCTAAAAAATGAGATAGATGGCAACACAATAATAGTGGGGGACTTCAATAGACAGGTCATTAAGACAGAAAGTTTAAAAAGAAACAATGGACTTAAACTATACCCTAGAACAAATGCACTTCACAGATATTTACAGAACATTCTACCGAACAATTGCAGGACATACATTCTATTCATCAGCACAAGGAACATTCTCCAAAACAGACCATATGATAGGCCATAAAACAAGTCTCAATAAATTTTTAAAAATCAAATTTATATCAAGTATCTTCTCAAACCACAATGGAATAAAACTGGAAATTACCTCCAATAGGAACCCTCAAAACTATAAAAATATATGGACATTAAATAATCTGCTCTTGAATGATCTCTGGTTCAACAATGAAATCGAGATGGAAATTAAAAAATTATTTGAGCTGAACAATAATAGTGCCACAACTTATCAAAACCTCTGGGATACAGCAAAAGTGGTACTAAGAGGAAAGTTCATACTATTAAATGCCTAAATCAAAAAGTCTGAAAGAGCACAATCTAAGGTCACACCTCAAGGAACTAGAGAAACAAGAACAAACCAAACTCAAACCCCGCAGAAGAAAAGAAATAACAAAGATCAGAGCAGAATTAAAATGGAAACAACCAAAAAAAAAAAAACCACTACAAAAGATAAAAGAAACAAAAAGCTGGTTGAGAAGATAAACAAAGCTGATAGACTATTAGTGAGATTAACCAAGAAAAGAGCAGAGAAGATCCAAATAAGTCCAGTTAGAAACGAAATGGGAGCTATTACAACCAATACCACGGAAATACAAAAGATCATTCAAGGCTACTATGAACATTGTTACATGCATAAACTAGAAAACCTAGAGGAAATGGATAAATTCCTGGAAATATACAACCCTTCTAGATTACAAGCAGCAAGATTCAAATGGTAAAAAACAAAAAAAACAAGAAACAAAAACAAAAAACTGCCTGCCAATGAAGAAAAGTCCAGGACCAGATGAATTCACAGCTGAATTCTGTCATTCAAAGAACTGGTACCAATCCTACTGAAATTATTCCACAAGGCAGAGAAAGAGAGAATGCTCCCTAAATCATTCTATGAAGCCAATATCACACTAATACCAAAACTAGGAAAGGACATAACAAAAAAAGAAAACTACAGACCAATATCCCTGATGAACATAGCTGCAAAAATCCTCAATAAAATACTAGCTAGCCGAATCCAACAGCATAACAAAAAGATAATACATCATGATCAAATGGGTTTCATATCAGGGATGCAGGGATGGTTTAACGTAAGTAAGTCAATAAATATGATAGACCACATAAACAGAATTAAAAACAAAAATCACATGATCATCTCCATAGATGCAGACAAAACATATGACAAACTCCAGTATTCCTTTATCATTAAAACCCTCAGCAAAATCAGCATAGAAGGGACATACCCTAAGGTAATAAAAGCCATCTATGACAAACCCACAGACAATATTACCGAATGGGGAAAAGTTGAAAGCATTCCCCCTAAGAACTAGAACAAGACAAGAATGCCCACTTTCACTACTTCTATTCAACATAGTACTGGAAGTCTTAGCCAGAGCAATCAGACAACAGAAAGAAATAAAAGGCACCCAAATTGGTAAAGAGGAAGTCAATTGTCACTGTTCGCCAATTATAGGATCATATACCTAGAAAACTCTAAAGATTCATCCAAAAGCTCCCAGATCTGATAAATGAATTCAGTATACAAAATCAATGTACATAAATCATCACTGCTATACACCAACAGTGACCAAGTTGAGAATCAAATCAAGAACTCAACTCCTTTTACAATAGCAAAAACAAAAAACAAAAAACAAAAAAACACAACTTAGGAATATACCTAACCAAGGAGGTGAAAGAGCTCTACAAGGAAAACTACAAAACACTGCTGAAAGAAATCATTTATGACACAAACAAATGGAAATACATCCCATGCTCATGGATGGGTAGAATCAATATTGTAAAAATGAGCATACTGCCAAAAACAATATACAAATTCAAGGCAATTCCTATCAAAATACCATCATCATTCTTCATAGAACCAGAAAAAAAAAAACCTAAACATCCTAAAATTCGTATATGACTAAAAAAGAGCCAGCATACTGTAGAAAGTAGAAAAGTTAATCTTCAAAGTTCGTCTTGATTTAAAAATAAAATAATAGACACTAGGAATAACAGTTCCTTACTCTAAAGCCTCCTATCAACTATTAGTTCTTACACTTTAGCCCAGTTAGTTGCTTTGGCTTACTCAGGCATGTCTGGACAGGCCCAGGCAAGTCTTAGCTCATAGCTTATGCCCCTTCCTTATTTGGAAATGTTATTGTTTCCTTAAACCTTTCATAAGCAACTTCCTCTTCTTTGTTCTCTCTTGCACTTACCTATTTAGGAAAGTTTTAGGTTATTAGCAAATTGGGTATCAGTTTAAGATTGTGAGGTCCAGCTCCAGCCAATGGATGCAGGACACTGCAGTAAGGATGACCCAAATGCATAAGAGATAAACATGTCTGCTTTTCCTTTGCTCAAGTGTGCTCTCACCATTGTTCCATCTGCAATGGGCACCCTTTCTGCAGAAAGTAAAAATGGCCTTGCTGAGGGAATTAAATTTATGTTCAAGTGCTATTTCTTTGCGACACCAGGGAACAAGCATTTCTAACAATACCCAAAGCAAGACTAAGCAAAAAGAACAAATCTGGAGGCATCACTTACCCAACTTCAAACTATACTACAAGGCTATGTTACCAAAATAGCATGGTACTGGTATAAAAATAGGCACATAGACCAATGGAACAGAATAGAGAACACAGAAATAAAGCCAAAACGTACAGCCAAGTGATCTTCGAGAGAGCAAACAAAAACATAAAGTGGGGAAAGAACACCTTATTCAACAAAATGGTGCTGAGATAATTGGCAAGCTATATGTAGAAGAATGAAACTGGATCCTCACCTCTCACCTTATACAAAAATCAACTCAAAATGATCAAAGACTTAAATCTAAGACCTAAAACCATAAAAATTCTAGAACATCGGAAAAACCCTTCTAGACATTGGCTTAGGCAAACCCTTCATTACCAAGAACACAAAAGCAAATGCAACACAAAGATAAATAGATGCGACTTAATTAAACTAAAAAACTTCTGCACAGCAAAAGAAATAATCATCAGAGTAAACAGACAGCCCCCAGAGTGGGAGAAAATCTTTGCAAATGACGCATCCAATAAAATAATAATATCCAGAATGTACAAGGAACTCAAACAAATCAGCAAGAAAGAAACAAACAATCTGATCAAAAAGTGGGCTATGCACATGAATAGACAATTGCCCCCCCACATTTTTTTTTTTTTTTTTTTTGAGACAGGGTCTTACTCTGTTGCCCAGGCTGGAGTGCAGTGGTACTGTCTCGGCTCACTGCAACCTCTCTGGTTGAAAATGACATTTTTATAGATAAACACAAACATTTTGAAGGTTTGAGTCACTCGCTTTGTGAGGCTTGGCCAGTGTTATATTGTTCTCTTCACAGCCTTTGTGAGCCAAGACAGGTCTTTGAGTTGAGATGTGCTGGGGCGCAGGTCTTATGTGGTACCACATTCTAGAACAGAAATGACTGGGTGCATTTTGTTGGCCCTGGGGCATCCTAAAAGGGCCCCTCAGTAGGGAAGAAAGCGCTGTAGACGGGACATGGCCAGCCCATCCAGCAGAGAGGGCCCAGCAGGTAGCACGGAGAAGGCTGGTCAGCTGTCTGGGGCTCTGACCAGACGAGATTTCCCTCACCTCAGTCAGGCTGCTCTTTGGCCACTGTGTAACATGGCTTGAAGCTGGGTACTGCAGTAACTGTCTCTACCGTCAAGCCTAGGAGTGGAACAGGAGCAGATCTCTTACAACATTTGGGGCATAGCTTTCTGAACTTCTGTCTGTGCTATACTGACTACACATACATACGTATATGTGCAAAAGTGCATATTTACCTGAAAGAGGTACTGTCTGCATTGTTTTGTGAGCTTTTTTTTTTTTTGAGACGGAGTCTTGCGTTGTGGCCCAGGCTGGAGTGTAGTGGCGTGATCTCAGCTCACTGCAACCTCTGCTTCCCAGGTTCAAGTGATTCTCCTGCCTCAGCCTCTCAAGTAGCTGGGATTACAGGCATGCACCATCATGCCCGGCTAATTTTTTTTAGTAGATACAGGGTTTCACCATGTTGGCCAGGCTGGTCTCAAACTCCTGGCCTCAGGTGATCCTCCCGCCTCAGCCTCCCAAAGTGCTGGGATTACAGGGATGAGGCCACCATGCCTGGCCCCATTCTTTATTTTGTAAGATTGAGGAGAACACATTTTCAAGCAACCAGATGTCATAATTAACAAGCAAAACTTCAAAGTAGGCATTAAAAATATGTTCAAGGACCTAATGATGCATGGTTAATGAAGTAAAGGAAGATATGATGACAATGTCTCATCAAATAAAGATTATAAAAAAATATATAAATCATTTTTTTAAAAGAACAAAATGGAATGTCTGAAACTTGAAATTACAATAATTGAAATGAAAAGGTTTCCCAGAGGGTCTCAGCAGTGGATTCTGAACTGGCAGAGGAAACAATTAATGAATTTAAAAAAGATTGATGAAGATTATGCAATTTGATGAAGAAAAAAAGCAGAATGAAGAAAAATGAACAAACCTCCGAAAAATATAGGACACTATTAAGCACACCAACCTACATATAATGATAGTAGTAGAAGGAGAGGATATAGAAAGGACCAGAAGAAATAATTGAAAAAATAATGGCTGGAAACTTCATAAATTTCAAGGAAAATTTTCATCTTCATATTTAGCATGCTAAATAAGCAAGTAGGATAAAAGCTAAGAGATCTACAATCAGACACATCATTATAAAAATGCTGAAAGCAAGGAAAATATCTTGAAAGCAGCAAGGGAAAAATGGCTTGTCAATTGCACAGGAACTCCAATAATATTAACAACTGGCTTCTAAGCAGAAACAATGGAATCCAGAAAGCAGTGATCTAACATATTCAAAGAGCTCAAAAAACAAAACAACCCAAAATACCAAGAATTCTTGTCAACCAAGAAGCCTACACCCAGGAGAACTACCTTTCAGAATGAAGGGAAAATCTCTACAGAAATGCTACAAGCCAGAAGAGAGTGGGAGCCAATATTCAACATTCTTAAAGAAAAGAATTCTCAACCCAGAATTTCATATCCAGCCAAACTAAGCTTCATAAGAGAAGGAGAAATAAAATCCTTCACAGACAAGCAAATGCTGGGACATTTTGTTACCACCAGGCCTGCCTTACAAGAGCTCTGAAAAAGCACTAAAATTGGATAGGAAAAACTGGTACCAGCCACTGCAAAAACATACCAAATTGTAAAGACCATCAACACTATGAAGAAACTTCACCAACTAATGGGCAAAATAACCAGGTAGCATCATAATGACAGGATCGAATTCACACATAACAATATTAACCTTAAATGTAACTGGGCTAAATGCCCCAATTAAAAGACACAGACTGGCAAATTGGATAGTCAAGACCCACTGGTGTGCTGTATTCAGGAGATCCATCTCACGTACGAAAACACACATAGGCTCAAAATAAAGGGATGGAGGAATATTTACCAAGCAAATGGAAAGCAAAAAAAAAAAAAAAAATCAGGAGTTGCAATTTTAATCTCTGATAAAACAGACTTTAAACCAACAAAGATCAAAAGAGACAAAGAAGGGCATAAAATAATGGTAAAAACATCAATGCAACAAGAAAAGCTAACTATCCTAAATATATATGCACCCAATACAGGAACACCCAGATTCATAAAACAAGTTCTTAAAGACCTATGAGAGACTTAGACTCCCACACAATAATAGTGGGAGATTTTAACACCCCAATGTCAATATTAGACAAATCAATGAGACAGAAAATTAACAAAGGTATTCAGGACTTGAACTCAGCTCTGGACCAAGCGGACCAGGCAGACAACAGAACTCTCCACTCCAAATCAACAGAATATACATTCTTCTCAGCACCTCATCACACTTATTCTAAAATTGACCATATAATTGGAAGTAAAACACTCCTCAGCAAATGCAAAATAACAGAAATCATAATAAACAGTTTCTCAGACCACAGTGCAATCAAATTAGAACTCAGGATTAAGAAATCCACTCAAAACCGCACAACTACATGGAAACTGAACAACCTGCTCCTGAATGACTACTGGGTACATAACAAAATGAAGGCAGAAATAAAGATGTTCTTGGAAACCAACAAGAACAAAGACAGAACGTAACAGAATCTCTGGGACACATTTAAAGCAGTGGGTAGAGAGAAATTTATAGCACTAAATGCCCACAAAAGAAAGCAAGAAAAATCTAAAATCGACACCCTAACATCACAATTAAAAGAACTAGAGAAGCAAGAGCAAACAAATTCAAAAGCTAGCAGAAGACAAGAAATAACTAAGATCAGAGCAGAACTGAAGGAGACAGAGACACAAAAAACCCTTCAAAAAATCACTGATGCCACAAAGATACTCCTCGAGAAGGGCAACTCCAAGACACATAATTGTCAGATTCACCAAAATTGAAATGAAGGAAAAAATGTTAAGGGCAGCCAGAAAGAAAGGTCGGGTTACCCACAAAGGGAAGCCCATCAGACTAACAGAGGATCTCTCGGCAGAAACTCTACAAACCAGAAGACAGCAGGGCCAATATTCAACATTCTTAAAGAAAAGAATTTTCAACGCAGAATTTCATATCCAGCCAAACCAAGCTTCAAAAGTGAAGGAGAAATAAAATGCTTTAAAGACAAGCAAATGCTGAGAGATTTTGTCACCACCAGGCCTGCCCTAAAAGAGCTCCTGAAGGAAGCACTAAACATGGAAAGGAACAACTGGTACCAGCCACTGCAAAAACATGACAAATTGTAAAGACCATTGATGCTAGGAAGAAACTGCATCAACTAACGAGCAAAATAACCAGCTAACATCATAATGACAGGATCAAATTCACACATGACAATATTAACCTTAAATGTAAATGGGCTAAATGCTCCAATTAAAAGACACAGACTGGCAAATTTGATAGAGTCAAGACCCATCAGTGTGCTGTATGCAGGAGACCCATCTCATGTGCAGAGACATACATAGGCTCAAAATAAACGGACGGAGGAGGAGCAAATGGAAAACAAAAAATGGCAGGAGTTGCAATCCTGGTCTCTGATAAAACAGACTTTAAACCACAAAGATCAAAAGAGACAAAGAAGGCCATTACATAATGGTAAAGGGATCAATTCAACAAGAAGAGCCAACTATCCTAAATATATATGTACCCAATACAGGAGCACCCAGATGAATAAAGCAAGTCCTTAGAGATCTACAAAGAGACTTAGACTCCCACATAATAATAATGGGAGACTTTAACACCCCACTGTCAACATTAGACAGATCAGCGAGACAGAAAGTTAACAAGGATACCCAGGAATTGAACTCAGCTCTGCACCAAGCAGACCTAATAGACATCTACAGAACACTCCACCCCAAATCAACAGAATATACATTCTTCTCAGCACCACACCACACTTATTCCAAAATTGACCACATAGTTGGAAGTAAAGCACTCCTTAGCAAATGTAAAAGAACAGAAATTATAACAAACTGTCTCTCAGACCACAGTGCAATCAACTAAAACTCAGGATGAAGAAGCTCACTCAAAACCACTCAACTACATGGAAACTGAACAACCTGCTCCTGAATGACTACTGGGTACATAACGAAATGAAGGCAGAAATAAAGATGTTCTTTGAAACCAATGAGAACAAAGACACAACATACTAGAATCTCTGGGACACAGCTAAAGCAGTGTGTAGAGGGAAATTTATAGCATTAAATGCCCACAAGAGAAAGCAAGAAAGATCTAAAATTGACAAACTAACATCACAATTAAAAGAACTAGAGAAGCAAGAGCAAACACATTCAAAAGCTAGCAGAAGGCAAGAAATAACTAAGAACAGAGAAGAACTGAAGGATATAGAGACACAAAAAACCCTTCAAAAAATCAATGAATCCAGGACCTGGTTTTTTGAAAAGATCAACAAAACTGATAGACCACTAGCAAGACTAATAAAGAAGAAAAGAGAGAAGAATCAAATAGACGCAATACAAAATGAAAAAGGGGATATCACCACTGATCCCATAGAGATAGAAACTACCATCAGAGAATACTATAAACACCTCTACACAAATAAACTTGAAAATCTAGAAGAAACGGATAAATTCCTGGACACATACACCCTCCCAAGACTAAATCAGGAAGAAGTTGAATCCCTGAATAGACAAATAACAGGCTCTGAAATTGAGGCAATAATTAATAGCTTACCAATCAAAAAAAGTCCAGGACCAGACGGATTCATAGCTGAATTCTACAAGAGGCACAAGGAGGAGCTGGTACCTTTCCTTCTGAAAGTATTCCAATCAACAGAAAAAGAGGGAATCCTCCTTAACTCATTTTATGAGGCCAGCATCATCCTGATACCAAAGACTGGCAGAGATACAACAAAAAAAGGATAATTTTAGACCAATATCCCTGATGAACCTCAATGCAAAAATCCTCAATAAAATACTGGCAAACCGAATCCAGCAGTACGTCAGAAAGCTTATCCACCATGATCAAGCGGGCTTCATCCCTGGGATGCAAGGCTGGTTCAACATATGCAAATCAATAAATGTAATCCATCACATAAACAGAACCAAAGACAAAAACCACATGATTATCTCAATAGATGCAGAAAAGGCCTTTGACAAAATTCAACAGCTCTTCATGCTAAAAACTCTCAATAAACTAGGTATTGATGGGATGTATCTCAAAATAATAAGAGCTATTTATGACAAACCCACAGCCAATATCATAATGAATGTGCAAAAACTGGAAGCATTCCCTTTGAAGACTGGCACAAGAGGGGGATGCCCTCTCTCACCACTCCTATTCAACTGTTGGAAGTTCTGGCCAGGGCAATCAGGCAGGAGAAAGAAATAAAGGGCATTCAATTAGGAAAAGAGGAAGTCAAATTGTCCCTGTTTGAAGATGGCATGATTGTATATTTAGAAAACCCCATTGTCTCAGCCCAAAATCTCCTTAAGCTGATAAGCAACTTCAGCAAAGTCTCAGGATAGAAAATCAATGTGCAAAAATCACAAGAATTCTTATACACCAATAATAGACAAACTGAGGGCTAAATCATGAGTGAACTCCCATTCACAATTGCTTCAAAGAGAATAAAATACCTAGGAATCCAGCTTACAGGGGACATGAAGGACCTCTTCAAGGAGAACTACAAACCACTGCTCAAGACAATAACAGAGGACACAAACAAATGGAAGAACATTCCATGCTCATGGATAGGAAGAATCAATATCGTGAAAATGGCCATACTGCCCAAAGGGATTTATAGATTCAATGCTATCCCCATCAAGCTACCATTGACTTTCTTCACAGAATCAGAAAAAAGCTACTTTAAACTTCATATAGAACCAAAAAAGAGCCCATACAGCCAAGACAATCCTAAGGAAAAAGAACAAAGCTGGAGGGATCATGCTACTGGACTTCAAACTATACCACAAGGCTACAGTAACCAAAACAGCATGGTACTGGTACCAAAACATATATATATACACACACACCAATGGAACAGAACAGAGGCCTCAGAAATAACACCACACATCTACAACTATCTGCTCTTTGACAAACCTGACAAAAACAAGAAATGGGGAAAGGATTCCCTATTTCATAAATGGTGTTGGAAAAACTGGCTAGCCATATGCAGAAAACTGAAACTGGACCCCTTCCTTACACCTTATACAAAAATTAACTCAAGATGGATTAAAGACTTAAACGTAAGATCTAAAGCCATAAAAATCCTAGAAGAAAACCTAGGCAATACCATTCAGGACACAGGCATGGGCAAGGACTTCATGACTAAAACACCAAAAGCAATGGCAACAAAAGCCAAAATTGACAAATGGGATCTAATTAAACTAAAGAGCTCTGCACAGCAAAAGAAACTGTCATCAGTATGAACAGGCAACCTAAAGAATGGGGGAAAATTTTTGCAATCTATTCATCTGACAAAGGGCTAATATCCAGAGTCTACAAAGAACTTAAACAAATTTAGAAGAAAAAAAACAGACGACCCCACCAAAAAGTGGGCAAAGGATATGAACAGGCACTTCTCAAAAGAAGACACTTATGCAGCCAACAAACATGAAAAAAAGCTCATCATCACTGGTCATTAGAGAAATGCAAATCAAATTCACGATGAGATACCCTCTCACACTAGCTAGAATGGTGATCATTAAAATGTCAGGAAACAACAGATGCTGGAGAGGATGTGGAGAAATAAGAATGCTTTTACACTGTTGGTGGGAGTGTAAATTAGTTTAACCATTGTGGAAGACAGTGTGGTGATTCCTCAAGGATTTAGAACTACAAATACCATTTGACCCAGCAATCCCATTAATGGGTATATACCAAAAGGATTACAAATCATGCTACTATAAAGGCACATGTGCACGTATGTTTACTGCAGCACTATTCACAATAGCAAAGACTTGGAACCAACTCAAATGTCCATCAATGACAGACCGGATAAAGAAAATGTGGCACATATACGCTATGGAATACTATGCAGCCATAAAAAAGGATGAGTTCATGTTCTTTACAGGGACATGGATGAAGCTGAAAACTATCATTCTCAGCAAACTAACACAAGAACAGAAAACCAAACACCGCATGTTCTCACTCATAAGTGGGAGTTCAACAATGAGAACACCGGGACACAGGGAGGGGAACATCACACACCGGGGCCTGTCAGGGGGTGGGAGGCTACGGGAGGGATGGCATTAGGAGAAATACCTAATGTAGGTGACAGGTTGATAAGTGCAGCAAACCACCATGACATGTGTACACCTATGTAACAAAGCTGCACATTCTGCACATATACCCCAGAACTTAAAGTATAATTTAAAAAAAAGAAAAAAAAAAAGAAAAATACATTCCTAGAGAAACAAAAAGTGAGAGCATGCCTTGTTGGCAGATCCACCATATAAGAAACACTAAAGGAAGTTCTTCAAACTGAAAATAACTGATCACAGATGGTAATTCAAAACCACACACAAAAAGCAAAGAACAACAATAAAAATAATTATGTAATTATAAAAGACAGTATAGCTGCATCTCTTTTCCATCTGAACTGATTTTAAAATCAATTATATAATATTACATAAGATGATACAAATATAATTGTACTATTGGTCCTATAACAGATGAAATACAATATATTTACCAATAAATGCACAAAGAACGTGGGTGGGAGCAAAGCTTTATTGGACTAAGGAAATGAAAAGAGACAAACTCAAAGCCAAAGTAACAATGAAGACACCCAGAAATGGGAGGGCGAGGGAAGGCTAACATAACAAAAATCTATAAATATATAGTTGCCCTCATTTTTCCTCTCAGGTTTTTAAAAAGACACACAATTGTATAAAGTTATAATAGCAACAATGCATTGTTTTGTAGTATACAGAAAATCCAAAATACTCCAAAATCCGAAACTTCTTGAGCACTGACATGACATTCAAAGGAAATGCTCGTTAAAACATTTCAGATTTCAGATTTTCATATGTATTTTGAAAAGCGCAACTAGTAAGTAAAATTCAAATATTCCATAATCAGAAAAAAATCCAAAATCTGAAATATTTCTGGTCCCAAGCATTCTGGATAAGGGATTCTCAACCTGCAATATGTATAACAGTAATAGAAAAAAATGGAGGAAAAGGGAATAGAACTATGTAACAGTAACAGTTCCATATATCATCAGAATTAAGTTAGTATAAACCTGAAGTAGATTCTGGTAAGTTAGATGCATGTAGCAAACACCAATAATTCACAAAATGCAGGGATGAAAATCACAAAAAAATTTTTTAATGTTTTATTAGATAATATACACTTAATGCAAAAGGAAACAGTAAAGGAGGAATAGAGGAACAAAAAGGCATAAGTCATATAGGAAAAAGTAAAATGGCAGATATAAATCCAACTACAGTCATGTGACACATAATAATGTTTTGGTCAATGATGGACCAGCACACATGATGGTGGGCCCATAAGATTATAATATCATATTTTTACTGTGCCTTTTCTATATTTAGATATGTTTATATACACAAATACTATTGTATTACTATTGCCTATGTATTCAGTACAGTAACATGCTGTACAGGTTTATAGCCTAGGCACAACAGGCTATTCCATATAGCCTAGGTGTTAGGAGATTAAACCATCTAGGTTTCCAGAAGTACACTCTATGATGTTCACACAAAGAAACTGCCGAATGGCACATTTCTCAGAATATATTTTCATCATTAAGAGACACATGACTGTATATCAATAATATTAAATGTAAACTGATAAAGCAATTTAATCACAAAAACTGAAAAACTAAGTAAATAAGCAAGGTTCAACTATATGCTGTCTGTAAGGGACACACTTTAGTTTCAAAGTCAAATAGAATGAAACTAAAAAGATAAAAAATATATCATGCAAAGAGCAACATAAGAAAGCTGAAGTGGTTATGATAATATCAGAGAAAACAGACTTTTTAAAAATGTTACTAGAGATAAAGGAGGACATTTTACAGTGGTAAAGGGTCAAGGCCATCAGAAATGCGTAAGAATATACGTATATATGAACTCAGTAACAAAGCACTAAGTAAATGAACCAAAAAGTGACAGAAATGAAGGGAAAATGATAAAATTCAATGCTCATATTCAGACTTCAATACAGCACTTACAATAATGTTACCACAATAAGGCAGAAGATAACAGGTAAATAGAAGACTTAAACAACATTATAAACCAATCAGGCCTAGAAGACATCTATAGATCATTTCATCAAACAAAGTAGAATACATATTTTTTTCAAGTGCACATGAAACATTCTCTAGAATAGACACTACACTGGGCAATACAACAAAATCAAGAAATTTTTTTAAGCTGTAAAAATATAAAGTATGTTTTCCAACCATAATAATAAAATTAAATTAGAAATGAATAACAGAAAAAAAGGGGAAACTAACAAATATGTGGAAATAAAAAATATAGTCCAAAATAACCAATGGGACAAAGAAGAAATCAAAAGGAAAATTGGAAAATACTTTGAGATTACTTAAAATGAACATACAACATACCTGAACTTATGAGCTGCCGCTAAAGCAGTGCTTAGAAGAAAATTGATGCAGGTAAGTACCTATCTTTAAAAAGAAAAAAAATCTCAAATCAACAACCTAACTTCTTAAGACACTAAAAAAGAAAGGCAAACAAAATCTAAAGCAAGCAGAAGGAAGAAGAAATAAAAATATAAAGGATTGGAGCAAAAATTATAATAATAAAGACTAGAAAAAATAGTAGAAAATATCAATGAAACTAAGAGTTGATTTCTGAAAAGATAAACAAAACTGAGAAAACTTTAGCCAAACTAAGAAAAAAAGAAGTCTCAAATATACAATTATAAATGAAAGAAGAGACACAACAAGAAATACAAAGAATCATAAGTGACTACTGTGAACAATTATATGCCAACAAATTGGATAACCTAGAGGAAAAGAATAATTCCTAGAAATATACAACCTACAAAGATTGAATCATGAAAAAAAATTTTTTTAAAGCCTGAAGAGACCAAAGCAAGTAAGGAGATTAAATCAGCAATAAAAATAAATCTGTCCCAGAACTTTGGGAGGCCTAGGAGGGCGGATCACGAGGTCAGGAGATTGAGACCATCCTGGCTAACACGGTGAAACCCCGTCTCTACTAAAAATACAAAAAATTAGCCGGGCGTGGTGGCAGGCGCCTGTAGTCCCAGCTACTTGGGAGGCTGAGGCAGAAGAATGGCGTGAACCCAGGAGGCGGAGCTTGCAGTGAGCCAAGATCGCGCCACTGCACTCCAGCCTGGGTGACAGAGCGAGACTCCATCTCAATTTAAAAAAAAAAATTAAAATAAATAAATAAATAAATAAATAAATCTTGCCAGGTGCAGTGGCTCATGCCTATAACCCCAGCACTTTGGAAGGCTGAGGCAGGTGGATCACCTGAGCTCAGGAGTTCAGGACTAGCCTGGGCAACATGCCCATCTCTACCAAAAACACAAAAATTAGCTGAGCATAGTAGCGTGCACTTGTAGTCTCAGCTACTTGGGAGGCTGAGGTAGGGGAATAGTTTGAGCCCGAGAGACAGATATTGCAGTGAGCCTTGATGGCACCACTGCACTCCAGCCTGAGGGACAGAAGCAGACCCTGTCTCAAAGATTAAATAAATAAATAGTGTATTCCTGATAGTTAAGATTTAAAAAAAAAATCTTACATCAAAAAAAAGCTCAAGACCAGATGGCTTCATGGGTGAATTCTACTAAGCATTTAAAGAACTACCACCAATCCTCAAATTCTTCCAAAAAATTGAAAAGAAGGGAAGACTTCCAAATTCATTTTAGTGGTCAGCATTATCATGATACCAGAGCAAGACAATGTTTTCTACAAATTTTCTACAAGGGAACTACATGCCAATATTCTTCCTAAATACAAATTCAAAAATTTCCAAAAAAAAAAAAAATACTAGCAAACAAAATTGGATAACATGTTAAAAGGATCATACACCATAATCAAGTAGCATTTATCCCTGAGATGCAAGGATGGTTCAACATATACAAATCAATCCATGTGAAAGGCCACGTTAACAGAATGAAGGATAAAAGTCGTATGATAATCTCAACACATGTAGAAAATGCATTTGACCAACTTCAACGTCCTTTCATAATAAACATAAAAAAGCTCTAAAGAAACTAGGTATAGAAGGTATGTACCTCAACACAATAAAGGCTATATATGACAAGCCCACAGTTAACATCATACTCAGTGGTGAAAAGCTCCAACAAAAAATGGTTAGAAGTAATAAATTCAGTAAATTTTAGGATACAAAATCAACATACAAAGATCAGTAGCATTTCTATACACTGACAGAATGGAAATCAATAAAATCAATAAAACAATCCCATTTATAATAGCATAAGAAAAAAGATGCTATATGTTCACCGAAAACTATAAAACACTGATGAAAGAAATTGAAGAAGACACAAATAAATGGAAAGATATTCCATGTTTACAGATCAGAAGAATTAATAATGTTAATGTTCATACTACCCAAAGCAATCTACAGATTCAGTGTAATCCCTATCAAAATTCCAAGAGCATTTTTACAGAAATAGAAAAAAAATCCTAAAATTCATATGGAACCACAATACACCCTTTAGACAAAGTAATCTTGAGCAAAAAGAACAAAGTTGGAGGCATCACACTACCTGATTTCAAAATACTACAAAACAACAGTAATCAAAACAGAATGGTAGTGCCATAAAAAGCAGACATAGAGACCAATGGAACAGAATAGACAGCCCAGAAATAAATCCATTCATTTACAGTCAATTGACCTTTGACAAAGGTGTCAAGAAGATGCAGTGGAGAAAGGACGATCTCTGCAAATGATAATGGGAACACTGCCTATGGAGAAGAATGAGATTGGACCCTTATTTCAACATATACAAAAATCAACTCTTAATGGATTAAAGACTTAAATATAAGACCTGAAACGGTAAAACTGCTAGAAGAAAATGGAGAGGAAATGCTTCTTGACATTGACCAGGGTAGTGATTGTTTTGGATATAATTCCAAAAGCATAGGCTTCAAAAGAGAAAATAGAGAAATGGGGTTGGATCAAAGTAAAAAACTTCTGCATAACAAAGAAAAGTGTGAAGAGAAAATCTACAAAATGGGAAAAAATTTGTAAACCATACAGCTGATAAGGGCTTAATATTCAAAATATACAAGGAATTCAATAGGAAGAAAACAAATAACCCAATTTAAAAATGGGCAAAGAGCCTGAATAGACATTTCTCAAAAGAAGTCATACAACTGGCCAACAGGTATGTTAAAAAACACTCGACATTGGTAATCATTAGGGCAACATTGCTAATTATTAAAGAAATGCAAAGTAAAAACCACCTCACACCTGTTGGAATGGCTATTACAAGAAAGACGAAAGATAAATGTTGGTGAGGATATGGAGAAAAGGAACCCCTTCCCTTGTACACCATTGGTGGGAATGTAAATTAGTATAGCCATTATGGGAAACAGTATAAAAGTGTCTTTAAAAATTTAAAACAGAACTACTATATAATCCAGCAATCCCACTTCTGGATATACATCCAAAGGAAATGAAATCAGTATGTCAAAAAGACATCTGCATTCCCATGTGCTCTGAATTATTTACAATAGCCAAGATATGGAATCAACCTAAGTGTCCATCAGTGGCTGAATGGATAGCAAACTTGTGGTATATAGATA
The DNA here is from genome assembly GCF_000001405.40 of Homo sapiens. Taxonomy (NCBI): domain Eukaryota; kingdom Metazoa; phylum Chordata; class Mammalia; order Primates; family Hominidae; genus Homo; species Homo sapiens. The sequence goes on from NC_000002.12 coordinate 99,055,155, forward strand.
TACAATGAAATACTATTCAGCCTTAAAAACAAAGAAATCCTGCCATTTGTGACCACATGGATGACCCTAGAGGTTCATTATGCTAAGTGAGATAAGCCAGGCACAGTAAGACAAACACTGATCTCGTTTATATGTGGAATCTAAAAAAGTTGAGCTCATAGAAGCAGAGAGTAGAATGGTGGTTACCTGGAGCTGATAGGGCAGGGTGAGGTGAGAGAAAGCTTCAGTTAGACAGAAAGAATAAGTTTTGGGGACAATAGTTAATAATAATGTACTGTATGTTTGAAAATTACTAAGAGGGTAGATCTTAAATGTTCTCACCACAAAAAAAAAAATGGCAAGCATATGAGGTGCTGGATATGTTAATTAGCTTGATTTAATCATTTCACAATTTATACATATATTAAAATATCACATTGTACACTGTAAACAATACAATTTTTTATTTGGTAGATTATACCTTAATAAAACTGGTGGGGGAATAAAGCCAGGCAGAGTTCCTACTGCCAGAAAGAGAGAGGGAGAGAGAGAGAAAGAAAGAAATTAACAAAACAGCCAGGCAGAGTAGCTCACACCTGTAATTCCAACACTTTGGAAGGCTGAGGTGGGAAGATCTTGAGCCCAGGAGGTCAAGGCTGCAGTGAGCCGTGATTGCACCACTGCATTCCAGCCTGGGCAACAAAGCAAGACCCTGTATCCAATTAACAAAAAAAAAAAAAAAAAAAGGAAGAAAAGAAATTACTGAAATAAAGAAAATAACAATAGTCGGCCAGGCGCGGTGGCTCACGCCTGTAATCCCAGCACTTTGGGAGGCTGAGGAGGGTGAATCACGAGGTCAGGAGATCGAGATCATCCTGGCTAATACGGTGAAACCCCGTCTGTACTAAAAATACAAAAAAAATTAGCCAGGCGTGGTGGTGGGCACCTGTAGTCCCAGGTACTCGCGAGGCTGAGGCAGGAATATAGCGTGAACCCGGGAGGCAGCGCTTGCAGTGAGCCGAGATCACGCCACTGCACTCCAGCCTGGGTGACAGAGCAAGACTTCGTCTCAAAAAAAAAAAGAAAATAACAATAGTCAACACAACCAAGTAACCAAGTTAGTTTCTGAAAAGATCAACTAAATTGACAAGTCTGTAGCTAGATTGATCTAGAAAAAAAGACTCAATTAATAGAATCAGAAATGAAATAATGTAGTAACGCAATCCTTACATACTGCATTAGTAGTAATGTGACCTTACTGAAATGAAATAGATTATAAAAATACACTATAAACAACTGTATGCCAATAAATTAAATATCTTGGATGAAATGAACAAATTCCTAGAAAACACAAACTAGCAAAACTGTCTCATGAAAAATAGACTATCTGTATAGATCTATAACAACAAAGAAATTGATTAGCAATTTTAATACTGCCCATAAAGAGGTAATTTTAAAACTTCCCATAAAACTTCTCTACCAGATGGCTTTACTGGTAAATTTTTACCAAACCTTTAAAGAAGAATCAATGCAAATTCCATACAAACTGTTTTGAAATACAGAAGAGGAGGAAACATTTTCTAACTCATTCTATGAGGCCAGTCTCACTCTGATATTAAAAACAGACAACACATTACAAGAAAAGAAAATTACAGACGCTCCTAGAAATACACAAAATCCTTCAAAAAAAAAAAAAAAAAAACTAGAAAGCCAAATCCAGCAACATAAAAAATAATTACATACCATGACCAAGTGGGATTTATCTAAAAATGCAAAGTTGGCTTAGCATATGAAAGTCAATTAATGTAATATACTATATCTATAAAATAAAGAAAAACTACATGATAATCTCAATAGACACAGAAAAAGCATTTGACAAAATCCAACACCCTTTTTGATAAATACACTCTTCAAAGTAACAATAAAAGGGAATTTCTTCAGTGTCATAAAGGTTTTCTATAAAAAACCAACAGCTAACATCATACTTGATGGTAAAAGATGAAATGCTTTCCCCCTAAAATCAGGAACAAGATAAGGATGCCCCTTCTGGACCCTTCTATTCAACACTGTACTAGAAGTTCTAGCCAGGGTAGTTAGGCAAGAAAATAAAATAAAAGGCATCCAGATTGGAAAGGAAAAAGTAAAAACTATCTCTATTCACAGATGACATGATCTTTGATATAGAAAATCCACCAGCCCAGGTGACAGATATAGAAAATCCTAAGGCATTCACTAAAAACTTTTAGACTTAATAAATAAGTTCAGCAAGGTTGCAGGATACAAGATCGATATACAAAAATCATTGTATTTTTATACACTTGCGATGGAGAATCTGAAAATAAAAATAAGAAAACAATTCTATTTACAGTTGCATTCAAAATAATAAAATACTTAAGAATAAAATTAACACAAGAAGACCTAACTTATACTCTGAAAACAACAAAATATTGTTGAAAGAAATTAAAGATCTAATAAACGAAACTACACCTTGTGTTCATGGATCAGAAAACTTAATATTGTTAAGACAGCCATATTCCCCAAATTGATCTACCAGCTCAGCATAGTCTCTATCAGAATCCCAGGTGGTTTCTTTGTAGAAATTGACAAGCTGATCCTAAAATTTATATGAAAATTCAAAAGTCTCAGAATAGCCAAACAATCTTGAAAAAATGAAAACAAAGCAGGAGGACTTTCACTTTTCCATTTCAAAAGCTACTACAAAGCAATAGTAATTATGCCAGTGTGGTACTGATATAAGGATAGACATACAGATCAATGAAATAGAATTAAGAGTCTAGAAGAAGCCCATGTGTCTATGATCTATTGATTTTTGATAGAGGTGCCAAGACCATTCAAATGGTGGGGGGAGGGGAGAAATAGTCTTTTCAACAAATGTTACTAAGATAACTAGATGGACACATGCAAAAGAATGAATTTGGACCCTTACTTCATACCATGTGAAAAAAAATGAACTAAAAATGCATCAAAGACCTAATGGAGGGTTTGGTGGTGATAAAGGGTACAGTGATTCTTTTCAAAGTGATGAAAATGTTCTAAAATTGATTGTGGTGATCATTACACAACTCTACGAACATCTAAGCACTATTAAATTGTATACTTTAAGTGGATAAACTATATGGCATGTTAATTATTCTCAATAAAGCTGTTACAAAAAATAGCAACACAAAAATATGTAGAATACAGCTAAAGCACTGTGTAGGGGAAAATACATACCTTAAATGCTTAGAAAAGAAGAATGGGCTAAAACCAATGACCTAAGCACCTACATTAAAATACGAAGAGAAAAATTAAACATATATTATTTAGAAGGAAAGAAATAATAAAGAGAAGAAATCAATGAAATAGAAAACTAGTTCATTAATAGAGAAAAATCAATTAAATTAATACTCCTTCTTTGGAAAGATAAACATAAATGATAAACTTCTGGCTAGACTGATGAAGAGAATAGAGAAATGCTACAAATTACCAATAACAAGAATGCAAAAAGGAATATAACTACAAAGTAAGAACAAATTTGCCTACAAATTTGACAACTTAGATGAAATAGGCAAATCCTAGCGAAACAGAAATTACCAAAATGACCTAAGAAATCAGAAATCCTGGCTGGGCATGGTGGCTCACGCCTGTAATCCCAGCACTTTGGGAGGTTGAGGTGGGTGAATTATGAGGTCAGGAGTTCGAGACCAGCCTGACCAACATGGTGAAACCCTGTCTCTACTAAAAATACAAAAAATTTGCTGGGCATAGTGGTGGGCACCTGTAATCCCAGCTACTCAGGAGGCTGAGGCAGGAGAATTGCTTGACCCAGGAGATGGAGGTTGCAGCAAGCTGAGATCACACCAGTGTGCTCCAGTCTGGGCAACAGAGTGAGACTCTGTCTCAAAAAAAAAAAATAATATATATATATATATATATTTATATATTTTTATATATATATATATATGCAATCTAATAATGTATGTTTAAAAATACATCATGACCTTGCACCACGAGTGCAGCCTGGGTGACAGAGCTAGACCATGTCTCAACAAAAAACAAAACCACCATGACCTACTATCCAGGAATTATTTTTTAAAGCAATGTATTAGCCAGTTTAACAAACTAAAAAATTAAAGTGATATGACCATCTCAATAGCTGCAGAAAAAGCATTTGATAAAATTTTATACCCATTCATGATACAAACTCTAAGTAAACTTAGGCCAGGCATGGTGGCTCATGCCTGTAATCCCAGCACTTTCGGAAGCCGACGTGGGCAGATCACCTGAGGTCAGGAGTTCGAGACCAGTCTGGCCAACATGTCAAAACCCCATCTCTATTAAAAATACAAAAAAAAATTAGCCAGGCATAGTGGCAGGCACCTGTAATCCCAGCTACTCGGGAGGCTGAGGCAGGAGAATTGCTTGAACCTGGGAGGCGGAAGTTGCAGTGAGCCGAGATCACGCCACTGCACACCAGCCTGGGCGACAGAGCAAGACTCAGTCTTGGGGGAAACACACACACACAACTTTAAGTAAACTTGTAAGACAAGGGAATGTTTTCAACTTGACAAAATGCTTCTACAAGCCCGGCCAACATGGTGAAACCCCGTTTCTACAAAAAAATGCAAAAATTAGCCAGGCATGGTGGCACGCTCCTGTATTCCCAGCTACTCAGGAGGCTGAAGTGGGAGAATCCTTTGAACCCAGGAGGCGAAGGCTGCAGTGAGCCAAGACTGCGCCACTGCACTCCAGCCTGGGCGACAGAGCGAGACCCCATCTCAAAAAAAAAAAAAAAAAAAGCTTCTACAAAAAACCTGCAGCTAATATCATATTCAAAGATGAAACACTGAGTCCTATTTCCTTATGGCTATATATGAGGCAAAAAATATCCACTCTCACCACTTTTATTCAATACTGATATTTGAAGTACTAGGCAGAAGAAAAAGGCGTTCTGAGAAGAGTAAAAGAGAAGAAGTAAAACTATCTTTATACATTTAAGTCATAATTGCATACGTAGAAAATCCTTTTAAAATCTACAAAAACCTACTAGGACTAAAACATTGAATTTAAACAATGTTACAGAATAAAAGGTCACAAAATTCTATTCTACTTTTGTGTATAGGCTATCAAAACCTGGAACATAAAATTCAAGAATAAAATATCATTTTTACAATGGCATTGTAAAGACTGAGATATTCTATAAGAGCCATAAAAAACCCCATGAGATAATATGGGATACATTTAACAAAATATATTTAATACCTATACACTGAAAAGTACAAAACATTGTTGAGAGAAATAAAAGACCTGCCTAAATAAATAAATGAGTGGATACACCATGTTTATGGATTGGAAGACTCAATATTGTTAAAATCTCAACTCTTCCCATACTGAACTGTATATTCAAAATAATGCTAATCAAACCCCAAGTAGGTTTTTTTTCTGTAGAAAATGATATGCTCATTCTAAATTTATGTGGAAATGCAGAGGACCCATAGTAGCCAAACATTTGAGGAAAGAACACATTTGGAGGATTTAACTAACTCATTTCAAGATCTACCATAAAGATATATTAATCAAGTCACTGGGTTACTGGCTAAGGATAGATGTATACCCAGAAGAGAGTATAGAAACAGATCCACACATATATGATCATTTGATTTTTGTGAAAAATTTGTAGATAATTCAATGATGAAATAAGTCTTTTCAATAAGTGGTGCTGGATACCTTCATATCTGTATGAGAAAAAATGAACCTTGACCCTTATCTTACATCATACACAAGTATTAATTCAATTGTAGCATAGATCTAAATATAAAATCTAAAAATATAAAATTCCTAAAAGAAAGTCTATGCACCTTGGTGCATGCAAAGATTTATCAGGACATAGAAGTACAAAGTATAAAAAGAAAATTGGTAAACTGGACTTCATCAAAAATGTAAAACTTCTGCTCTTAGAATGATTTTATTAAGAAAACAGAAAGGCAAGCCAATGACTGGGAGAAAATATCCAAAATCTAAAGTGTTCAAAAAATATCTACAATTTAATAACAAGAAGATAAACATGCCAATAAAAAGATGGGCAATAGATTTGAACAGCTACTTCACAAAAGAAGATAGACTCATGACCAGTAAGCATGTGAAAATCTGTTCAACATCATTAGTCGTGAGGAAAAGGTAAACTAAAATATGAATGTGATAACCTTACTCATCTATTAACAATACCAAGTGTGGGAGAAGATTTAGAGCAACTATCACACAGTGCAAGCGGGAGTGTAAACTGATATAACCACTTTGTTTTTTGTTTCCATCTCCTCCAGCATTTATCCTTTGTGTTACAAATAATACAATTAGACTCTTTTAGTTATTTTTAAATGTACAATAAATTACTGTTGACTATAGTCACCCTGTTGTACTATCAAATACTAGATATTATTTATTCAATTTGTCAGGTTTTTACAAAGTTAAGCATACTTACCATATAATCCAGCAATTCCACTCCTAGTTATTTATCCAAGAAAAATGAAAACTTACATGAACGCAAAGACTTGAACACAATGTTCACAGAAATTATATTCCTCACGGCCAAAAACTAGAAACAACCTGTTATGGACAAAACTGTGTCCCCTCCAAATTCATACGTTGAACCCTAACCCCCTAGTGTGACTATATTTGGAGATAGGACCTTTAAAGAGGTAATTAAGGTTAAATGGGGTTATAAGGATAGGATCCTAATCCAACATGACTGGTGTCCTTATAAGAATAGGGAGAGACACCAAGGATGTGCATGCACAGAAGAAAGGCCATGTGAGAATGTAGCAAGAAGGCAGACATTTGCAGACCAAGGAGAGAAGCCCCAGAAGAAACCAAACCTTCCGGCACTGTGATCTTAGATTTCCAGTCTCCAGAACTGTGAGAAAATCATTCAGAGGGAAATAAACAAATCCACAGTTACAGAGGAAGATTTTAACATGTCTTTCAGTATTTGAGAGATCAAGAATACAAATATAGTAAGGATTTATAAGACTTGACTGACACTATTAACAAGCCTAATCTGTAAATATATATAACATACATATATGTGTCCACCAAGAAGTGAGCACAGATGCTTTTCAAGGTCATGTAGAATATTATCAAATATTGATTACATAATCTGCCACTAAGCAATTCTTAGCAGATAACAAAGAATTAATTATCATAAGCCATTTTATCTGATCACAATATTAGAAACATTAGACAATAAGATATTAGACACAACAAAGTAAAAATAGACTAATAACCTCAAGTCCCCTGCACATTGGAAAGTTTTTTAAAACTTCAGGTCAAGTGTGGTGGCTCATGCCTCTAATCCTAGCACTTTGGGAGGTTGAGGTGGGAGGATCACTTGAGGCCAGGAGATCAAGACCAGCTTGGGCAATATAGTAAGACTCCATTGCTACAAAAATATTAAAAATTAGCTGGGTGTGGTGACTCACACTTGTAGTGTTAGCCACTTGGAGGCTGAGACAGATGGATCACCTGTGCCCAGGAATTGGAGGCTGCGGTGAGCTATGATTGTACCACTGCACTCCAGCCTAGGAACAGAGTGAGACTCTGTCTCAAACAAACAGACAAACAAACTTTAGTAATTAAAAATAAATCATAATGAAACGAGATGATATTAAAAACTGAATGGCAATGAAAGGATTATCTCAAAACTTGTGGGCTGCAGGTGGCTGCACCCAAAAAAATAGAAATTTCCAGTCTTCAATGCATAGAAAAGAAATAAAATCATGAAATCTGATACATTTATTCTAAAATTCATCTGAGACAGGTTAATAAGGACCAAGTACAGTCCAGATAATTTGAGGGAACATTAATTCTTCCAGATATCAAGACTCAACATAAAATTATAATAGCTACAAGAGTGTGTTATTGACAAGGGGATAAATTGACCAATGGAGCAGAATGTATGGGAACTTATTTTTATGACAAAGTAGACTTGACTTATATTTCAGAGAAGAAAGGACAACGGATATCTATTCACAAAAATAAAAATTATATGTCTACTTCGAACTGCACAAAATCAATCTCAAGCAGGTTAAAGTCCTAAATGTAAATGGCAAAATTTCACATACTTTCAAACATTTAGAAGAACTTTTAAATGAAAATATAGGAAAATATCTCTCTGGCCTTGGGATTGTATAGGATTTCTTAAAGAAGACATAAAAGTATAAACTATATAGGAAAATATTGATAATAATTCTGAGTATATCAGAACTGAACATGTCTGTTTATACTGCAAGGAAGGTGAAAAGACAAGCCACAGACAAGGACAATATAATTGTAATATCTTTAAGAGGATTATTATCAAGAATACATAGAGAATTCCGTTAAAAATCAATATGAAGGCAGGGTGTGGTGGCTCAGGCCTGTGATCCCAGCACTTTGGGAGGGCAAGGTGGGTGGATCATGAGGTCAAGAGATCGAGAACAGCCTGGCCAACATGGTGAAACCCCATCTCTACTAAATACAAAAAAAAAACTAGTTGGCCAGGGTGGTGCGCACCTGTAGTCCCAGCTACTTGGGAGGTTGAGGCAGGAGAATCACTTGAATCTGGAAAGCGGAGGTTGCAGTGAGCCAAGATCACGCCACTGCACTCCAGCCTGGCGACAGAGCGAGACTCCATCTCAAAAAAATATATATATATGAAAAAGATAAGCTATGCAATAGAAAAATGGCCAAAGTTTACAAAAATTTCATTCAAGAGAAATTCAAGAAAATGTTCATAGAGGAAGAATCCTAAATGGCAAAGAAACATGAAAAGGTCCTCAATTTCACTTGCAATCAAGGAAGCACAAGACAAAAAGTATGGAAAAAATTGTCTGACAATATCAAGTATTGATTCACATTTGAGAAAATAACTCAGGATTTCTTATGGCAGAATGACACTTTAGAGAGCAATTTGACAAAAACTTAGAAGAGCTGAAATTGCACATATCTTGGATCTACTCCAGGCATATAGCTTTTTAAAATTCACTTCCAGGCATAAATATAGGGAAACATGTAGTCAAGGAGAAATGTAAAAGGTTTGTTGCAGTGTTTTATCACAGAAAAAAGTGAAAAAAAATTAACTTTCCTTCAATATGGGAATGAATTTTAAAAAGGGAATATTTATACAATGAATATATGCAACTGTTTGAGTAAAGCAGTACACTATATATATATCAAAATAGATGTGTCAAAATTATAATATTGAGCAAAGAGGGCAAGTTGCAAATGAATATCTCCAACTATGTTTGTTTTCACTTAAATAAAAACCAAAACATACCAAATAACATTATACATTATTTGTGGGTGTAAGATTGTAGAAAAAGTATAAACATATGCAAAGGAGTTAGACACACTGACAGGAAAGTTATGCACACCAGCAACTAGGGAGGTAGGAGGGAAAAGGATGAGAGAAGTTTTATCTGTAATGTTTTATTTCTTTAAACAAGGAGACATTTGAAGCAAACATGGCAAAATGTTAGTATCCTTACATGTGGGAGCTGGGGATATGTTTATCTGTTTTGTTACTTTTGCACTTTTATGGTATGTTTGAAATAGTTTCTAATTTTAACAAATGCTAATGATTGTTCTGGATGTAGGGTAGATAAGAGATTGTAGAAGAATCAAAGTATAAGGAGAATGGTTAGCATGCTACAATTCACAGTACATTTAAATAATTTACGTGTTTGTTCATACATTTAATTTATGGAAGGCCAAACAAAACTCTTTTAAATATGATGCAGGATGTATTATAAGCATATTTTTCCAAACTTACTTGCTCAACCTCTCTGTTGAGGGAATCTACTTTTTCTTTTAATCTGTTACCCTCTGCCTCAGCAGTGATAAGTTCCAGTTTGAGGGTATTGTTATCTGCCTCTGATTGACGGGCTTTATTTTCCCAGTTTTCAGCATCTTCATTGGCTTTTCGAAGTTGTTCCATCATTTGCCGGTTCTCAGATTCCTGAAAAGCAAACTTTAGCTATTACTTTAAAATGCTGAACATATGATAAAAATTAAACATTATTATCCAAGTCATTGGGAATTCACTTGCCATGAGAAGCGTTTATAATAGAACCCTGAGGAAATATATCTATACTCTTAGTTTAGAAAACAGGTCATCCTGTAATTAACAAAGACTGCAATCAGCATCTGCCCTGGCTCCTGAGTAACACTCAGTGAACACTAGTAAATAGTAAATTTAGGTAAATTACTCTTTTCTTCAAGACCTGAATGAATTTGTTCTTATATTTCCTTTTGTTTGAAGTCCTCCACAGCCTGCTTTTCCCATATGTCTGCTTACTGACTACTTGCTGGTCTGGATTCTGAGCCTCTGACCTTTCGTACTGGTGTATTCCCTTGTTCTTGACCAATTTACCGGGCTGTGCTGGCTACAGAGCTTCTGAGTACTTGCATATTTTAAATGTCAGCTTCTGATAATTTCCTGTCTGGTGTCTGCCTTTTATTCATAGCCCCAGCCTTAATTATCTTGATCATGAACTGTTCTATGATTATCTTTTACCTGCTAGTCTAGTAACTTTCCCTGCCAGTCTAGTAACTTTCCTGAAATTGCTCAGAAGTAAACTATCAAACCTATGCCAATAAACACTAGTTGTAAATATGCATTCATGTATAAATTGAGCATACAATAAGAACCAGATTTTTTGAACTTTCAAAATTCTATCATGAGCAGAGTAACTGAAGTAGGGTCTGATTTCTAGTAGGGAAATAAGGAGGGAAAAAAATTCAGCTCCACAAACAATATAATAGACCGAGTAATCATTATTAGGCTATTTAAAAAAATATTTTATTATGGTTTGGTGAATTCATTCTAAAAAATTAGTTGTAATTTTGGTAATTTTTTAAAAGGCACTAGATCTCTTTCTCTCCTGTTAATAAATAGTGCACGTCCCTATCAGAAATCCTGGGCTAAATAAAATGACCAAATTGCAATAAATAATGTCTAATACTCCTTTCAAATCAGATAAGCCATTTCCTGATTATGTTTACTGGTGGAAATTCAGCTAATATTGCCACCTTGTGGCCTCTAATGTGAAAGATCTTTGCCAAGTCTGTGTTAGTCAACAATATACTAAACTACCTTATTGGCTTTCAAGATTCAGATACTCCAACTGTGTCAGCAGGAACCTGATATGTGTTTTCCATGATTGTACTAACAATCATAGTTGTGTACAGAGTATGTACTTGGAGGGTGCTTGTACAATATACTTAAACGAATTGTATTCACATTGATCTTTACCCTCTTTAACTTTGTGCAGTACTTACTGTCTATGTCATTCACTTAAAACTGCCTTACAGCTTTGTGTTGCTAGGTGTGGATGTAAAGCCTCCCTGATAACACCTTGTATTTCTCTAAAGCAGGAACCATTTTTATATTAAATTTAGTTCTGTGACCAGGTAGTACATTATTCAAAGTGAAAAGGGATTCCGTAGAATGTCTCTCCTGTCCTCCAACCACCCAGTGCTCCCTCCTTCTTGGCAAGCAGAAAGCATATTTTACCCTTTTTCATATCCTCCCATAGAGGCCAGAGCAGTGTTGAGCATGAGAGGCAACACTATAAAGAAAATGAAACTGTTCTTTGGTATTCTCTATTTCCTGCTTTCAGGATCTCTTTACTTCTATATGGTGCCTCCCCTGTATCCACAGCTCCCTCTGGCCACCCACAAGTCTCACTGCAACACTCCGTAGGCCTCAGCTGGAATCCTTTGCATTTCTTGCCTAAATTATGGTTACAACCTCTTCTAACTGCTCTCTCCACTTCTGATTTTGTTACCCTTCTGGTTTATTCTTGACGTTTCCAAAATAAACTTCCTAAAAGGCAATCCTTAAATAACTTATATGTTTTAGTTCTAACAAAAGCTTCTGAAAATAGGGTTCAAAGAAGGTCTTTCTTACCTCTCCTTTATCATCCACTTGTACACACTACTCTACCTACAGGACCTACTTTTTCCCCTACACCTTTGCTCATGTTGTTCCCACTGCCTGGCAGTCATTCTGTTTCCTCTCCATTTTTCATCTCTGGCACTCCAGCACCTAGCACGCTGCATGAATGAGTGAATGAATGAAGTACTCCACACTTCTTGATGGTCTATCCCTATCAAAATGGATCCGTGGTTCATTCTCTCCGGGCCTGCATCCATCCAGTGTTATGCAATCTCATAAACAAATTCATACTAGGATGCTAAAATCCCCAGCACTTCGGAAGGCCGAGGTGGGAGGATCACTTGAGCCTAAGAAGCTTGATGTGTGATGTCTGAAAATATAATTCTAGAATCTAAAAGTTATAATCCCTAATGGTGGAATTTCAGGTAATGTTACTAACAGACAAGGGAGATAAAGGGAAGTGTTTAACACTGGCTGAAAGCTTACTATGTTAAATGTTGCTCTGGGGTGAGTGCAGTGGCTCATGCCTGTAATCCCAGCACTTTGGGAGGCCGAGACAGGTGGATCACTTCAGGTCAGAAGTTCGAGACCAGACTGGCTAACATGGCGAAACCCCGTCTCTACTAAAAATACAAAAATTAGCCGGGCATGGTTGCATGCACCTGTAACCCCACCTACTCAGGAGGCAGGAGAATCGCTTGAACATGGGAGGCAAAGGTTGCAGTGAGCCACGATTGCACCACTGCACTCCAGCCTGGCAATACAGTGAGCCTGTCTCAAAAAAAAAAAAAAGTGTTGCTCTGGATATTCATTTATTTATTTCTGACCTATTCTAGAATAGATTCAGATGGCTCACTGTGCTAGGTGTTTTAAATTATCTCACTTACTTGGGTGTTCTTCCCGATTACAGATGGGAAGAATCAGAGAGGCTGAGTAGCCTGCATAAATAAAAAGCCTTTTGTTCATTTATGGTATTACATTGCTGGAACCTTAAAATCAGGAAGTGTAGGAAACCACGTGCTTTTCCTACACAGGCTGCTTGCTGCCTGAAAGCAAGGATTGCAATTTAGAAATCCTTAGAATCTCTTCTGTCTCAAAGCCCTTAACAGTACTATGCATACCATAAATAAATGTTCAAGATATGTTTGTGGACTGACATGAAATGATAAAATAGTATAGGTGGATTGATTATTATAATAGGTATAGTGTTACCTACATACCACTCAAACCATTAATGGGAACATCCTCCCTCAATTTTAGATAATATTTTACCTAATAGACATATCTAAAATCCTCAGTAAAGCTGCCTGTTTATTCCTGAGTTGCCACACATGCACCACACTTATTGGAGTCATCTGATGTCATGTACATGTGCCTGGTCAAATGATTGCTAACAGAGAAGTGTGAGGAGAACCATCTGCCTTGTGGTCCTAAAAAAAATAGATGGTCCCATAACAGGGTAACCAATTCTGATCTGCTACATAATCAGGTGGAACCTCTTTTGTCAGAGGTTTATAACTGGAAACCCCACCACTTTCAATTAATTATAAGCGAGGTCAAATTGATTTTAGCCCTTTGTCCATCATCCAGTTAGGAAGATTCTGCTTGTCTAGAGTGGCAGAGTTGCAAAACAAAAGGGGCATATTCTCCAGGCATCTTTCTGAACATTCTAAATATGTAGTTAACCCACCATTGTCAAAACTAAAATATACTATGTATTAAAGAAAGCTTTGATTCACCTGTCGTTCTGAGTATACCAACTTCTAAATTAACTCTAGTGAAAACTAAGTATCATGAGCAAAAAGAAAAAAAAAATACATACTTCAGACTTTAATATATTCTTCAGCTTGTTAACCTCCAAATTAGTATCTTGAACCTTCTGTTTTATGTCATTAAGTTCATTATGAGTGTCATTCAATTTTTTGGACAGTGCCTACGAAAAAAAGATAGGTATATTTGACTATGAAAAATAAAAAATTTCTATATCTCAAAAATACCATAAACAAATTTTTAAACACTTGGAACAAATAAAATTAACATACCTAATATATAAACTCATATAAAAAAAGAAAACACATAAGCCCAATAGCAAGTGGGCAAATGACCCAAATAAGCAATTCAAAAAAGGAAGCATAAGTAGGTAAGACCTGAAAAAAACTCTACTAGCAACTGAAGATATGCTAATTAAAACAACACATTACTATTCTGCTTATCAAATTAATAAAGATTTAAAGCTATTCAGCTATGGTAAAGAATGGGCATTTCCATGTACTACTGGAGTAAATGTAGATTTGCAGAAAGCAAATCTGTGATCAGGAATCTGGTGATGTATCAAGAGACAATTTTTAAATGCTCATAAAAACAAGAAAGACAAAAATGTTGATTATTTTTGAAGGTGGGAAATGGCACATGGGGATTCATTATATTTGAAAATGTCTATTTACATTTTTTTAATTTAAAAAAGAAACCTCAGCTGGGTGTTTTTCCTGTAATCCTGGCACTTTGGGAGGATCACTTGAGCCTAAGAGTTTGAGACCAGCCTGAACAACATAGTGGGAACCCAACTCTACAATAAATAAATAAATAAATAAATAAATAATAATTAAAAAGAAACCTGATAATCTGTGATTCACTCTGAAATGAAATCTAATAAAATTTAATGAGATGCTGTCATTAAGGCATTTGTTACAGTGACAATATTTATTCACATTAAGTGAATCATGCAGTAAATAATAGTATATCTACATAGTGGCATAACCACATAATGGAATATTACATACCTGTGAGAAATGTTTGGAATGATTTTTAATAATACAGGGAAATATTTGCCTATGTTAAGTGAAAAAAAAATCGTGCTAAAACACAAAAATACCTCATTATCCCAATTTGTTAAAAATTGTGGTATCAAGGATAAATTTTTTTTAAGTTTCCACTTTCTCGTCTTCTGCAATACTGGTTCTTAACCTGTGGTCCACAGAGAGAGACCTCTCTTCTACCTTGGGCCTATGACCATAACGAAGAAAAAACTACTTTTGAGCATATGTAAATTGTTATGACAACAGTTTTCTTCTGATTATAAAAAATGTTTACAAAGTTTGAACAAGGCAGGAAAATGCTTACAATATTATAGTAAGCTAATAATAGCTATAAAATATTTATTGAGTGATATACTGGACAGTACAGTAAGTGCTTTCCAGGTATAGTCTCACTTATTAACCATTTTTACAGATGCTACAGAGACTCAGAGAAGTTGGTTTATATGATCACACACGCAGAGAGCAAGATTCAACCCATGTGAATCTTACTCGACTCTACTGCCTCTTCATGTAGAAAAAAGCATGATCTAAAGTGATAGGTGATTTTATCCCACTACATTAGAAAATGTGTATAAAAATAGTGTTAAAATTTTTAAGTGCACTGTATAGCAATTAAAAAAATATGTCAAATATAACAGTAACTGAGTATCAAAAACATGGGGGCTTTTCTAAACTCTTAACTTTTTGTTTAGAAAAAAGACTTTCTATAATAAGCTTCTATTTCTAAACCAATCAAAAAAATAGAAACTAAATTTCTAGGTTTTCATAAATAAGATATATCCACCTTTAGCCCATATGCTCTAGCTGTAAAGAGTACACAAAGGCAAACCTTACAAATTCCCATGTTTTGGTTTTTATTGCTATTCATTAATTTTTTAAATAAACTTTTAGAATAGTTTTAGATTTACAGAAAAGTTGTGAAGACATTATAAAGGGCACCTCTATTGTTAACATTTTACATTAGTATGGTGCATATGTCACAATTAATAAGCCAATATTGACACATTATTATCTGAAGTCCATACTTTATTCAGATTTCTTTCCTTTTTTACATAATGTCCTTTTTCTATTCCAGGATCCCATTATTCATTTACTTTTAAACAAAATACTTTAACATCTCAGATAATTTTTTATGATTAACAAAGTATTACAGCTTTATAGCTGTTTAAGTAAATTAATAATCTTCAACAGTTAAAGAACACAGACTTTCAGGATGCAAACTAAACACACTGAAAGTGATACAAAGTGGGGAAAACCATTTGGTCTTAAAAATTTTGAGAAGGGAAGAAATTTTCCAAATAGGATTTTTAAATGTTCACGTTAAAATAAATGTTATTGGAAATGAGAACTGCAGATTAGACTTAAATATATTGCCTTAGGGAGAAAGAGTAATTATAAGAGGAACTTTCCTAAAAAGAATCACAGTGCTAATGAGAACCAAAAAACAAGGCACAGTCCATACATTCATACTTAAAACAGAATAATATGTAGTCCATTTTTTTAAAAAAAAAACACCTATTCTTTTCTTTAAGGTTTCTCAAGGTTTTTATTCTCATTTTTTGATTATTCAAATATTTATCCTTCAGCAAGGAAGTACTAAGCTTTAATACAAATATAGCCCTGTTCTCTCTTTTCTTTAATATTTAACCCTTTGTGTCTGAGAATTCCATTTAAAAATTATGTGGCCTATTTTGTTATTTTTTAAAAAAAAGAAAAGGCTAGTTCCAGTGTCTGAGCTCTTCTATAAAATAAAATGAGGGCTGTTCCTCACAAGAAATTCATATTTTTTTTTCTTGGAGAAAATGATTCTAGGAACAAGTGTACCTGGTTTTCTTGTTTAGCTTTAGCAAACTGTTCCTGGAGATTGTCATTGTCATGAGCCAAGATATCTCTTTCCCTGGCGATCTGGGCCAGCTCATCATTTGTCTCATCCAATTGCCGACGCATTCTGGAAACGTCTTGTTCACACACAATTAGGGCCTCAGTACACTGTCTATTCCACAAATCAAAGAGTACATAAGAAGAGACATTTTACTGAAACAGAGCAACAAATTCTCACAAGACAGAAGATGGACAGTTAGTATGAAAACATTTGAAGAGATTTTAAACACGTTTGAATTTATAGGAATAAATACTGCAAAGACAGTGCATTAGAGTTTCTCAATGTTGCCATCATTTCGCTATGAAAAGGATACAAAGTATACATAATAGTCAATGATTTGCCAAATATTTCAAAACTTCTTACATCAAGTATTAGGAAGGCTTTCATCCTACTTCTGTTATGGCTTAGTCTCCTTTACAGATTCCTCTTCCTCTGCCCACTTAAAAATTAATGCTTTTCAGGGCTCAAGCCCTAGCCTCCCAATTATTCTCACTCTAACCCTTCTCTCAGACAAACTCTATTCATATCCATGGTTCCCAACCCCATCTAGATCCAATGACTCCAAAATAATTATCTCCAGTTTTAGACCCTCTGTTATACTCCAGACTTATATTTAACTGCTTACTAGACATGTCTACAATAAGGTCCCAAAGGTTCTTCAAATTCAGAGGTAAAATCATTTTTTCTCCTCATACTTTCTTCATGTTCAGTATTTGTCCCTGGCCAGAAACTTGGCATTTTCCTGGTGTCTCTCCCTCATACAAAAGCATTTCACTCCTTCTGTCCCACAACTCCTAAACCCCAATTTATCACCACCTCTTCTGCTTAGGTATCTTTCTAACACAAAATTCTCCTCAGAATTCTTTAATGATTTCTTATTGCCCAAAGGATATAACCAATACTCATTTGTCTGTTACACAAGCCTCTGCCTGCCTATTTAGTCTCCTCCCTTCACTTCTCCCCTTACACTCTAGGTTTCAACAACACTCACCCACTTGTAGGTCAAGAGGCTTGTCAACATGATCTGTGGTTCTTTGCTATTCTTTCTACTTTAAATGCCCTTCCCTTCCCCTTATTTTACTTGGCAAACACCATCCCCTCTTTTAGTTCCTTAGACAGACTTAGGCCTCCTTTGATGAGAGAGTTAGCACCTTACACGTATCATTAAGCCCCTTGTTTCTTACTATCTTTGTACCTAACATGGTACTTGGCCCCCCAGTAAGAGCTCATATATTTGTTGCACGACTGATTTACCTTGATGCCTGTTCCATCTCAGCAATGATATTCTTCATGCCTGAAATGGTCTTTTCCTTGAAAAATAATATAAGTATTAAATAAAAAAATCTTAAGCTGTTATTTCTGTTAAAATTGAATGAACAAAAAGAAAATTTCCCTTTCCCTTTAGGTTTCCATTTGGTTTTAAAAACATGTATGTCCTATTCTTTTCCACACTTTAAAGCCTAGTATATCAATGTGAATATTTGCACTGGGTAAAAATAGATTATGTTCATTAAAGTAAAGGCTATACTTAGGTGTAATTATGAGATCAGTATATCAAATTCTTTGTCAAAAGATATTTTATGCAGTCACCCAGCAATACAAGAACCCTATAACCACCTGTTTTTGGAGGCAAACCAATGGTTTGGCATTGGAGTATTGGCATTTTATACTGGGATTTAGAACTGGTTCTCTTGCTCACATTCTTTATGTTATAAAACCCAGAGAAGCCAATCATGTATACCTAAATTTAGTTTTTAAGAATAATTTTGATTAAGTGTATTATTTATATTAGCCAGCAACAAAATCTTCAAAAAGCTGTTCCAATCCAATTACTTATAGAAGTATACTACTGATATTTAGGTGAGAGCTAATAAGAAGGTAAGCATTAGGCCTCGAGCAAAGGTAAGAGAAATAAACTATATTTTCCTTTTTCAAAGGCGTGATGAGGGAGTAGAAGTAGTGGAGTCAGTCAAGGCAGAAATGGGTTTGAATATCTTAATGCCTTTAATACCATTCCCACACCTCTTTTTAAAACTTCCATTGACCCTGAACTAGTCCAACTATAAACAGATACTTAGAGCTAACATTAGCCCTAAAAAAGTAAGAAAGTTATTTCACTAAGTAATAACTAGATTTCACCTTGCCATTTGAATTTTCAAATTTTAAGTAACTAAGTAAAAAGATTTTTAAAAACCCAAACCTATATTTTCCAACCAATTCTGTTCCTGTTTCTTTTCTTTTTTTTTTTTTTTTTTTTTTTTTTTTTGAGATGGAGTTTTGCTCTTGATGCCCCGGCTGGAGTGCGAGGGCGCGATCTCGGCTCACTGCAACCTCCGCCTCCCAGGTTCAAGCGATTCTCCTGCCTCAGCCTCCCAAGTAGCTGGGACTACAGGCATGCGCCACCATGCCCAGCTAATTTTTTGTATACTTAGTAGAGACGGGGTTTCACTATGTTGGCCAGGCTGGTCTCAAACTCCTGACTTCAAGTGATCCACCCACCTCGGCCTCCCAAAGTGCTGGGATTACAGGCGTAAGCCACTGCGCCCGGCCGTTCCTATTTCTTTAGCGTTAGTTTTACACATATTTGCGTGTGTGTGTGTGTGTGTGTGTGTGCTATCTTCCTTTATTCATGTGCTCTTCTCCAGGGTATTTTTAGCTACAGTTTCCCATTCTGCTTTCTCATGGAATGGTACAGATTCCACATCTGGCAGTAATAGATACTGGTGTGTTGTTAAAATATGCATTAAAAAAAAAGTTAAACCCCTTCAAGAAGGACAAGCCAACGAAGGAAAAACTAAAAGACAAAATACTCCATAAAATGGAATGTTTACACATTTTTGAAATATAATTTAATACATTTCTAAACAAATTCTGAAAAGCTAGTTGAACTAGTGCTTTTGAAAGTCTTTACTTGAGGCCGAATGCGGTGGCTTATGCCTGTAATCCCAGCACTTTGAGAGGGTGAGGCAGGCGGAACACGAGGTCAGGAGTTTGAGACCAGCCTGACCAACATGGTGAAACCCCATCTCTACTGAAAATACAAAAATTAGCCGGGTGCAGTGGTGGGCGCCTATAATCCCAGCTACTCAGGAGACTGAGGCAGGGAATCACTTGAACTCGGGTGGCGAGGGTTGCAGTGGGCTGAGATTGTGTCACTGCACTCCAACCTGGGTGACAGAGACTCCGTCTCAAAAAAAAAAAAAAGTCCTTTCTTGATTAACCTTAAAATATGTTTGATAAGCCTAAAAAGGGCTTCACTTTATCAATATAAGTGCATCTTAAAAAAAAATACTCTAGAAACATTGTAAAGTATCCAGGGCAACAAAATTTCTGGGTTGAATCCAATAACATATACTCTTAGCCTATTTTTCTCTTAATATGACCCTAATACCACCATTTCTCAAATGTGCCATCATTCCTTGTACAACCTCAGTATGTTCTAAGATGTATTCCTTGTACAACTTCAAGGTTTAACAATTTTTTAAAATAATATTTAATATTTCTTATTCAACCTCATATGTTGTCCAACTAGGGATGTAGATTCATGTTAACTGTCAAAATTCAGTCTGGACAGGATGGTGCTAAGTATATTTAGAAAAAATAAACTATAACTTTATTCAAATAATTCTGGTTTTTCTTACCCAAAAATCTATGAAGTTGCCATTGAGTTTTCTAATTTTAATTGGTAGCAAGTAGTAAAACATCTTTTTAAACCATGGATACTAGAAAAAAATCACTTTATTCACTATAATGTAGACTTTTCCATGCTAATTTATTTCTGTAATCTCTATATGAACAGTATTAGTTTTCACTGAGTAGCCTTTGTTAGTTCAGCTCTGAGGTATCATTATAGAGAACATTTCCTCTTTTGATTGCCTAATGGTACCTTGCAAGTTATTTTCCCTACAGAGGATGGATGTGTTTACTTTCATAAAATCTTATACAAAGTTCTTGATTTTGAAGTAGACTTGTAACTCAATATTGCTTGTGAAGGAAATATAACATTGTTACGGTTCGCAGAATGGAAGAAATGTGAAATATTAGATATAGCACAAGAAAATGAGATTTTGAAAGATGTGAAGAATTTTGCTTCTAAATGTTAGTGTTGTGAAAGGAAATCATGCTTAAATATTCAAAAATGTTTTGAATATAATGAGAAGCAAAATTCTACCTAAAAAACCTAAAATTTCAAAACAATGAGTCAGCCTTTTCCACAAGTATTTACCATCTCATGCCCTTTGATGACCTCAATTATGTTCATGATTCCCAAATCTATTAACTTTAATTAAATTTTCCTCCAAACCTAAAAGTCCAAGAGCCTTTAAATATTTCAATATTTCACCTACATAACCCAAAGACAATTCAAACTCAACATGTCAATAACTTTCCTTTCTAAGCCTGTTCTAGTTCCTGTTTCTTCCTTCATACATAGGAACTATCCATGTGATTCTTAAGCCAGAAACCATACCTTGTCAATTTTACTTCCTTAAGAGACCTATTTCTCTCACTGATACTCCTACTATTCTAATATAGCTCTCAACACTGTTTTCTTAACTAGTGTCCCTGTCACTACTCTCATTTCCCTATAATCCATCTTTTATACGAATTTACAAATGCCAGAATATTTGTTATAAAATAAAGACCTAATTGTAACATTTCATTATCATTATTTCAGTGACCCTCTATATCCATGATGATAGATCTCACACTCAACATCACATGTACTTTTATGATTTTTTTGCTTAACTATCCCATCTCTTCATGTATCTATATCTCTATGGGATATAGATATAGATACATGAAGAGATGGGTTATATACATATATACACACACACATACACACACTGTAAGGTTGCAATGAGCATCACAGCAGAGAAGGGACTGTATGCCTATCCCATCTTTTCTTTGCCCTCCCATATCTATCTCTCTACAACCTGTTCTCTGGCCATGCTAAACTATCAGGAAGTCTCATGAAATTCTCATGAAAGCCACTGGACTCTCACTTAAGCTGTTCAACCTGTCTGGATCACCCTTTCTCATTGTCTTCTTTCCCTGACTACTATCTAGTCATTCTCCTGACTACTATCTAGTCATTCAGTGACTACTATCTAGTCATTCAAATATTCTCCTGACTACTATCTAGTCATTTTTCAGGGTAGTCCAGGCACCATCACTTAATGGAAGATTTTTCCAGACCTTCCTCCTCCCTTAACCCAATTCCCAGGCTGAATCAGGTGTGTTTTTGCCCAATTCCAACAACACATTGTGCATATGTCATTATGGCACTTAATGTATTCTGTCATAACAGTATCTTTATCTCTCTCCTTATTACACTAGAGGCTTTGAGAAGGCGGACCATTCACCTTTTTTTTTTTTTTTTTTTTTTTTTTTTTTTGAGACAGAGTCTTGCTCTGTCATGCAGGCTGGAGTAGGATGGCACAAACTAGGCTCACTGCAACCTCCACCTCCCAGGCTCAGGTGATACTCCTGCCTCAGCCTCCCAAGTAGCTGGGACTACAGGCATGTGCCACCATGCCCCTGCCTCACCCTCAGTTTCTAACATAACATCTGGTACATGTCAACAAATGTTTGTTGAAATAATGAATGGATGGATGGAAACATAAATTAATGAATGAGTTACCTTAGTAATAAAGTAAACTAATAAAGCCCTTATTCCAATGATGCTGCTTTTGCTTAAGATATTTGTGAAAACAGCTTAGGAACTGCTTTCAGAAATCAGTTTATAAGCTAGAAAATAATATCAGTATCTCTGCCTTGTTGGCAACACCTTTTATTTATTTTATTTATTTATTTTTGAGACAGAGTCTCGCACTGTCGCCCAGGCTGGAGTGCAATGGCCCAATCTCGGCTCACTGCAAGCTCCGCCTCCGGGGTTCAAGCGAGTCTCCTGACTCAGCCTCCTGAGGAGCTGTGATTACAGGTGCCCGCCACCACGCCCAGCTAATTTTTTGTATTTTTAATAGAGACGGGGGTTTCACTATGTTGGCCAGGTTGGTCTCGAACTCCTGACCTCATGATCCGCCCTCCTCGGCCTCCCAAAGTGCTGGGATTACAGGCGTGAGCCACCGCACCCGGCCTGCACGCGGCCGGCAACATCTTTTTTCAACAACAAAAATGTGGGATGGAGGTTATCATCCAGCTTTATTCACCAGCCCTATATGATCTATTCTCAAAGCCTGAGGATGATGTAAAAATGTGCTCCTAGGGCAGGGTGCAGCGGCTTATGCCTGTAATCCCAGCACTTTGGGAGGCTGAGGTGGGCGGATCACGAGGTCAGGAGATTGAGACCATCCTGACTAACATGGTGAAACCCTGCCTCTACTAAAAATACAAAAAATTAGCCAGGCGTGGTGGCAGGCACCTGTAGTCCCAGCTACTCGGGAGGCTGAGGCAGGAGAATTGCTTGAACCCGGGAGGCGGAGCTTGCAGTAAGCCGAGATCGCGCTACTGCACTCCAGCCTGGGCAAGGGAGGAAGACTCCCGTTTGAAAAAAAAAAAAAAAAAAAAAGTGTTCCTAGTTCTAAACACAATTACAAAGGGTAACTACCTGAAAATATGCTTTTAAGAAGAAATCAGTCTCACTACTTTATTGTCATGCTTTATATTTTGATATCTGAATTAGTTCTTGCCAATTGATATTAATTACTAATTCATGATAGAAAAATCAACTTAAAATATTAGCTACTAGATTTGTACACATGCTTCCTAAGACTATCTTAAAATATTTCAAAGTCAGATTTTGAAGTTCCAGCTTCTAGAAAAACATTTGAGAAAATTCAAATATTTTATTCAGATTCTAGTTCTTTTAAACCATAGTTTAACATTTAACATTTCATTTAAACGTTTCTTATAAACCACAGTTCTCAGAACATACTTTCATTGCCAAACTCTCTCCAAGGGATGCAATATTCTCAGATTTTTTATCCAAACATGCTTGCAGGCATTCCTTTTCTTTAGCCAGATCATTGAGGGTTCCACCAAGAATGCTGATTTCTTCTCGCTGTGCAATATTTTGCCTTGTAAAGTTATCTATGTATGCAATCATAAAAGTGTTGTTTTAATCAAAATAAAATCTTTTTTCTATTTCAAGCAGATTATCGTACTTTTTGAACTTCTCCTTACTTCTAATATATATTATATTCAATTACTAACAATGAGTACTATATCCCAAATTAAAAAAATTTTTTTGGTTAAAAACTACAGTGAATCACAAAACTCTAAATGATGCATAAACACAAAAGCACAATAACAATGAATTAGAATAGTGAAGGAAAGCTCTACATCGCAAGCTGTCAAAGTAGACTTAATGTATGATGGGAAAAGAGAGAGTGGGTGGATGAAGTAAGTGGAATATCAAAACAATCTGCGGCATTTCTCTCCTGTAGTTTCCCCTCCCCTCCCTCTAGCCTAGAATCACTGTTGTATATAAAGTTGGTAAGTAACAAATCTTAATAAAATATTCAATTAAGTCATCTTTAAAGTAAAATGTCTTCTAATATTCTGGTATTTCTAAAGTAGTGTTATAAAAATTCCTAGGAAAAAAAATCATCCCAGGAAGTATGATTCAATCTGTGAGAACTCTTGCAAGCCAGTGTCAACGTTGAAGGCCTGAATGATTGGTACAGAAGAATAGTTTTCAAATTGTGGTTTCTCAACCAGCACCATCAGCATCACCTGGGAAATGTACATTCTTATGCCTCCACTCCAGACCTACTGAATCAGAAATTCTGGGGGAGGGCACAGCAATTTATGCTTTAAAAACTCCTTCTTTCCCCAGTGATTCTAATGTATAATGAGGATTGAGAACCACTCGTCTAGAGGAGTTTACCTACTCTAGGTATTAGATTTACCTACAGAAACTGTTAGAGACACAAAAGCTCTGGTTCTAGCCTACTTCAAGGAGGCTGGCTCCAGTGATCTTTATTAGCTCTCAAGGTGATTCTGACACAGATGAAAGTTTGAGAACCACTGGTCTAGAGCTCTACAAGGGAAGCTCTGTTAGACAGACTTCTAGGTTAATCCCTACTAGGTTAATACCTGTGAGGGCCATCCAGGAGCAGTGCTATGGGAGATAATACCATATTGTCATATGCCAAAAGCTTGATCTATATAGTACTGGAGAATACACCATGTCTCTTTTTGCAGGCAGTATTGCCTTTAAGACAACCCGCAT
This sequence comes from Homo sapiens, assembly GCF_000001405.40. Lineage (NCBI taxonomy): Eukaryota > Metazoa > Chordata > Mammalia > Primates > Hominidae > Homo > Homo sapiens. Next base: position 99,079,958 of record NC_000002.12, read on the forward strand.
GTTTTGTGTGTCCTGATATCTGAGTTCATTCCCACTGGCAATCAAACAATCAATACATCTCTAAAATAGCTCTAGTATCTCCTAGCTTAAAAAAATTATCAACCTAACAGCCCACTCAAACTATTACCTTATTTTCTTGCTACCCTTTAATAGCCAAACTTCTTGAGAGACTTCTATTCTTTTCTGTCCTGACTTCACTTCCCATTTATTCCTCAACCCACTCTATCTTCTACATCCAACACTCCATTCAAACTTTTTTTTGGTGTTACCAAATCTTCCAATGTGCCAAATCCAATCAATATTTTTCTTTAGCCTCACTTATTTCACTTCTCAAAAGTGTCTGACAATTGATCATATCCTCCCCTTTTAAAAACACTTCGCTTTCTGGTCTTCCAAAATAACACTCACTTCTGGGTCTTCTTCCTACTTCTTTGGCTTCTTGTTACTCAGTCCTGGATCCTCTTCTCATTCTCTATATTTCCCTAGGTAATTTCACGGTTTTAAAATATCATTTATATGCTGATGTGTCCCAAATATGTATCTTTCTCTTCTGAGACACAAACTTAAATATTCAGCTGCTTACCTTAGATCTTTATTGGGACTTAAAATACCCAAATGTGAGTTCTCCTTCAATATTATCTTTTATATTTCTGTTTTAATATTTCCCGGTTTGATAAATAGTATCTCCATCTACCTAGTTGGTTATACCAGACATTCTTGAACTATATAATAGCAAGTGTTAACAATATTTCCTCTGCTTTAAAATAGGCTCTTCTATAGCCCTGACCAAAATTTTACCCTGTAAGATTAAGTTAGGACCATATTTTCATACTGATCACTAACAAGAAACATAAATAAGAAACTTTAAAAAAGTAACTTTCTCTATAAACCCCAGTAATATCATAGACATAACTAACACTATCCCCTTGGTGATAAGTGAGTTCTCGCTAGACATAACTAAACATATGTACACTTTCCACCAAAAGTAATATATAGGTACTGTTTCATTACAGCAGCTATGGACAAGCTACAATATTACACAAAAAATTCAAATTTAAGTTATCATCGTAAGTTTACAAACTGTTGCTGCTGAGTTTAGCTATTACTTCATTGATAAATTTTAACTTATCACTAAGTACTTATGGTGCTAAATCTAAAAAATTTTGCTGTCAAAGAAAAATGAATTTCTCTACTATTTTTTATTCATAAACTTAGTTAAGGGCTTGTTTCCAAGTTTTTCTATGTTATACTGAAGAGAAGAAAATACATCTTTGCTACCAAACTTAAGAAAAACTAAAAGTAATATTAAGAGAAAAAAACTCACCAATTTTTTCATCCAAGCACATAATTTTCTCCTGAGTAAGCTGTAGCTCATATTTTTTCTTAGCAAGGTGTCGCTGAGTATCAGAAAGATCTTTTTCTGTGTTTTCATACAAAAGTCTGCAAATATTTTAATAATAAAACTAATTCTGAAATTTTTGTTTTGTCATCTTGTAGTGTGTTTAAATCTAAAAACTTTTAAGGACACTAATATATTTATTTCCTCTTAATATTTTTATACAGTTTTAATATTTTCATTATAAAACCAGGAAGTTTAAAAAATAAAGGGTAAGAAGGGATCTTCAATCCACCACTCCAACATAAGCTACTATTAGCATTTTGGTCATAATACCTTCCTTAGGTCCCCTAATGCCAAATCAGAGCAATCAGATTAGGAACTACTATGTTAGCTCTGGTTGGGGTTTGTCTGTCTCAATAGCCTAGGGTTTTATGTTTTAATTCAGAAACAAGATGAGGCCATAGAGATGTCTGCAACACAGGAAATAGAACTAAGGTGTCCCATGTAAATATGGAGAGATATACCATTAGTGAGAAGGTCAGACTAGAGAAAAACACCTTGTCAATTGCTGCTAGGCTCAGGAAAATAATAACAACTGTAATGCCTAACCTTGTTTTTTACTAACTCTATTTTTAAATTTTCCCTTTTTGTCTCCTTAACTACCTAGCCTTGTTTCCCATATAAATAAGACTCTCCCTTAGCTGGGAAAGCCGGACAAACTCCATTTGGCCCCTTGATTTACAAGACATTAAGGGCTCCTTACCCGACCCCCTTCCTCAAGGAGTTAACCTGTGTAAGCAGACCCTCAGCATTTCAAAGGAGCCAAATTAACTGATAAGGTACTGGAACAAACAATGTGTGAAGTTCCCAGGATTTTGCTCAAAAAGATAACAACATAAAGCCTTGAGTCTGTGTCCAGCATAGCATCCATATCTAACAAAGGATTTAGAGCCCCGCACCTGGTTCCGTTGCTTTTTTTTGTAACCATTTGCCTTTTAAATTGTTAATCTCTCTGTAACCATTTGTTTTTTTGATTCTTGCATGTTTTTACTTCTGTAGAATTATTGCATTTGAGCTCCCCTCCCCTTCCTAAACTAAGGTATAAAGTTAATCAAGCCCCTTCCTCGAGGCTGAGAGAATTTTGAGCGTTAGCCGTCTCTTTGGCCGCCGGCTTAATAAAGGACTCTTAATTCGTCTCAAAGTGTGGCGTTTTCTCTAACTCGCTTGGGTATAACACAACAAAGAGTCTTAATCTCAATCTAAGCATCAAAATAAAATTTGGTTCCCGATTGGTCATATAATCAGGAACCCCTTGCAAAACTCTGGAGGCATGCTCTCAACCCAAGCACAGAACTAACCCCAGACAAAGGCCTATGGAAAAGGATCTCATAATTCAAAATTTAAAAATACATCAAGAAACAATCCAACCTTAGTGGGAGTCAAAAGACACACAAACTAAATTAGATCCCTAAGAACTTCAGACTACAGCACTATCAAATAGAAACTTAGAAATACATGTGTTTAAATACAAACACATAAAATAATAGGATATATAAAGAAAAAAATAATCAACAAATTTGGAAAAGAACCAAATAGAACTTCACAAAATTAAACTAACATCAAAATTTTAAAGATTACAAAACTCAGTGGACAAGTTAAAAATACAGAATAGACACTGTGAAAGAGATAACTGGTAAACTGGGGAAAAAAACAGATCAGAGGTCCTATATTAGAGCACAAATAAAACAATGAAAAAATACAAAATAGAGGTTAACAGACATAAAAGACAGAATAAGAAGGTCCAATATTTACCAAATCAAAATCCCAGTAGGGAAGAATAAAGACAATATTCAACAAAATAATACCTAATAAAAGATGAAATCCAAGACTAAAGAGGTATTAACCTGTATCTATTAAGACAATTATAAATGGGGGAGGATAAAAGGACTTAAAAGGAGACAAGATTTCTATACTTTATGCAAACTGATAAAATGTGACACCAGTGGATCGTGATAAGTAAGTACAATTCACAGAGCAACCACTGAAAAATCTATAGACACTCAAAAATACTACAGATATCAAAAATGGGATTCTAAAAAATGTCAAGTAATCCATGAAAAGGCAGGAAAACAAAAACAGAGACATGAGAAACAGAGGAAAGAAACAAACGAAAAACACCCCCAAAAAATAACATGGAGAATTGAGCCCTACCAATAATTATATTAAATGCATATGGTCTACCTTATTTTTAACAGCCAAAACCTGGAAAAAATCAAAATGTCCCTCACCAGGTGAATAGCTGAACAAATTATGGTACATTCATACTATGGAATGTTACTCAGCAATATTAAAAAGTAGCAAAATTTAATACTTGGCTGGATCTCAATGGCATTATTCTGAGTTTTCAAGCGAATCTTGAAAATCATGGCTGTATGACTCTTCCTATAACATTCTTGAAATGACAAAATTACAGAGTTGGACAACAGATTAGTGTCAGATATTAGGGATCATGGTGGGGGAAGAGGAGATGTGACTGTAAAGGAGTAGCATGAGGGATATTTTTGCGGTAATAGACTTTCCGTGTCTTGAATGTGGTAGTAGTTACATGAAACTACATATGTGATAAAATGACAGAACTATGCACACACATTGTACCAATGTCAATTTTCTGGCTTTGATATTGTACTATAGTGATATAAAATGTAATCATTGTGGGAAAGTGGGTGACGGGAATACATCGACTTATCTGTATATTTTTGTAACTTCCTACAAATTATGAAATTATTTTAAAGCAGCAAAACAAAAAAAAGTCCTAGAGTTAGGCTGCACAATTATGCCAATTAAATTAAAATCTCTGGGAATGAGAATTAACATCACTATTGTTTTTTAAAGCTCCTCATTTGATTCTAATATGCAGCCAAGGCTGTTAAGGAATGCATCTGATATGGTTTGGATGTTTGTCCGCTACAAATCTCATGTTGAAATGTGATTTCCAATGTTGGAAGTGGGGCCTGGGGAAGAGATGACTGGATCACGGGGGCAGGTCCCTCATGAATGGTTTAACACTATCCCCTTGGTGATAAGTGAGATCTCGCTAGTTAGTTCACATGAGATCTGGCTGTTCAAAGAAATCTGGGACCTCCCCTTTTCTCTTGCTCCTGCCCTTGTCATGTGATGCACTGGCTCCCCCTTTGCTTTCCACCAAGATGGCAAGCTGTCTCGTGCCCTCACCAGAAGCAAATGCCAGCACCATGCTTCCTGTACAGCCTGCAGAACCATAAGCTAAAATAAATTTCCTTTCTTTTAAAATGACCCACACTCAGGTATTTCTTTATGGCAACACAAGAATAGACTAATAGAGCCTCCTGATGTCTCTTCATCTAGGGTAGCAAAAGGTGAAAAACTGACAAAGCAGGTGTATATGAGGCAGAAAGTGATAGTGGTTTTATGGCATCAGCGTCTCTCCCATCCCCCCATACCATGAACTCAAAGAGGCTGATATTGTTAGTCACCCAAGAGCATTGTTTTACACAATAACTTATATCTCCATGGCAAAATGTGTCCCAGGGCCAAAATTATAAGACATTTGAGATGGCCAGTCATTTAAAAACGAAACAAAACCCACTGATTACAAAATCAAGCAGAAGCTGGTATATTAGAATAAGTGCATCCAGGCCGGGAGCGGTGGCTCATGTCTGTAATCCCAGCACTTTGGGAGGCCAAGGTGGGTAGATCATGAAGTCAGGAGTTTGAGAACAGCCTGAACATGGTGAAACCCTGTCTCTACTAAAAATACAAAAATTAGCCGGGCACAGTGGCATGCACCTGCAATCCTAGCTACTCAGGAGGCTGAGGCAGGAGAATTGCTTGAACCCAGGAGGCGGAGGTTGCAGTGAGGTGAGATCGCACCACTGCACTCCAGCCTGGGTGACAGAGTAAGACTCCGTCTCAAAATTAATTAATTAATTAATTTAAAAAATGCATCCAAAAAAGTAATTAGCCCAAAAAAATTTAAAAGAAAGGAGAAGCCAGGCATGATGGCTCATGTCTATAATCCTAGCACTTTGGGAGGCCAATGTGGGAGGATCACTTGAGGCTGGGAGATCAAGACCAGCCTGGGCAACATAGGAAGACCCCCATCTCTATAAAAATTTTTTTAAAAATTAGTCAGGCACAGCGGCACATGTCTGTGGTCCCAGCTACTTGGGAGGCTGAGGCAAGAGAATCACTTGTGCCTGAGAGGTCAAGGCTGCAGTGAGCTGTGACTGTGCCGCTATACTCCAGCCTGGGCAACAGAGGGCAATCCTGTCTTTAAAAAAAAAAAAAAAAAAAAAAAAAGTTGTTTTTTTGGAGGTTCTAGAAAAATTTAAAAAACTAAAAGACACTGCTAGATATTATCAATATGAAAAAAGACAAGGAAAAAAGTTACAAATAACAGTTATAAGAAATGTAGTAGATGAAGTTAAAAAAAATACATGTTGTAAATAGTAGAATGGATACACTTGATAAATGAATTAGCACACTGACAACAAATTGAAGAAATTTCAGTAGAAGGATAAACAAATAGAAAACAAGAAATAAATGTAGAAGACTTACCAAAGCTGACTTTGAGACTTACTACAGTATTCAAGATGGTATGGCATTAGTCTACGGATCAACAGACTAATAAAGCAGAATACAGAGCACAGAAATAGACCACAGATATATGGTCAATCGATTTTCAATAAATACACCAAAGCAATCCAATGGGGAAAGGAAACAATTGGTGCTAAAACAACTGCATTGCCCTGAGTGATGAAATATTCTGTACAACAAACACCCATGACAGGGGTTTACCTACATAACAAACCTATACATGTACCCCTCAACTTAAAAGTTGAAAAGTAAAATAAAATGAACAAAAACAAACCAAAAAACACAATTGTATTCTTTTGTGGAAAAAAAAGAACTCTGACCACTACATGACACCATACACGAAAAACCTAACCATAAAATGTAAAATTACAATGCTTTTGGAGAAAGCATAAACATGTATGTTAAAAGTTTTAACCAATCCTGGTAATCAAATCCAACCAAATCAGAATCTACTATGACCAAGTGGGGTTTACCCAGGCATGCCAGGTTGGTTTACAATTTGAAAACTAAAAATTAATCAATAATAACTCATCATATTAACAGACTGATAAAGAAATAATTATGATCATATCAACAGATGCAGAATAAGCATTTGACAAAATCCAATATCCATTCTTAATAAGAACACTCAGCAAATTACAAATAGAAGACACTTTTTCCAATCTCATAATAGGCATCTATGAAAAGCTTATTGCTGACGTTACAAAGATGAAAGGCTGAATTGCTTTCCTTCCAAAACCAGGAACAAAACAAGGATGACTGTTCTCATTCTTCTGTTGAACACTGTACCAGAGGTTCTACCAAGTAAATAAGGAAAGAAAAAGAAACACAAGGCATTAAGATTAGAAAAGAAGCAAAACTCTTAATTCACAGGTGACATGATAATCTACATAGGAAATCCTATAAAATCTACCAAAAAACTGAGGCTAGATGTTCAAGACCACCCTGGACAACAGCAAGACCCTGTGTCTAAAAAAAAAAAAAATTTGGGGGCCGGGCGCAGTGTCTCATGCCTGTAATCCCAGCACTTTGGGAGGCCAAGGAGGGCGAATCACGAGGTCAGGAGATTGAGACCATCCTGGCTAACACAGTGAAACCCCGTCTCTACTAAAAATACAAAAAATTAGCCACGTGTGGTGGTGGGCACCTGTAGTCCCAGCTACTGGGGAGGCTGAGGCAAGAGAATGGCGTGAACCCGGGAGGCAGAGCTTGCAGTGAGCCAAGATCATGCCACTGCACTCCAGCCTGGGCGACAGTGCAACACTCCGTCTCAAAAAAAAAAAATTTTTTTTAGGCCAGGCACGGTAGCTAATGCCTGTAATCCCGTCACTTTGGGAGGTCGAGGCAGGCAGATCACCTGCAGTCAGGAGTTCGAAACCAGCCTGACCAACGTGGAGAAACCCTATCACTACTAAAAATACAAAATTAGCCTGGTGTAGTGGCGCATGCCTGTAATCCCAGCTACTTGGGGGGCTGAGGCAGGAGAATCGTTTGAACCCGGGAGGCGGAGGTTGCAGTGAGCCGAGATGGCACCACTGCACTCCAGCCTCGGCAACAAAAGTAAAACGCCGTCTGAACAAAAAATAAAAAATAAAATTTTTTTTAAATTGGCCAGGCATGGTAGCGCATACCTTTACTCCCAGCTACCTAGGAGGCTGAGGCAGTAGAATCACTGGAGCCTAGGAGTTTGAGGCTACAGTGAGCTGTCATCGCACCACTACTGTCCAGCCTGAGTGACGGAATAAGACAGTGTCTCTAGAAAAAGAAATACTAAAATTTTTTGTTCATCAAAAACAAAGCAATTACAAGCAAAAAACAAGCCACAGACTAGTTTAAAAAAATCATACATTTCAGATAAACGGCTTCTACAATAATGCCTACAAATAAACAATAAAAACCACCAAGCAAAAAAATGAGCAATAGAACTGAACAGACACTTAACAAAAGAAGATATATAAATGGCACACAAACAGGCACTCAACATCATTAGGAATCAAGAAAATACAGATTAAAACCACACAATTATACCTCTTTACATCCAGTAAAATGGCTAAAATTAGAGACTGAAAACACTAAATGTTGCTAAGGATATGGATGGAACAAAGTAAACTCTTATACAACCTTTCTCACATGGGGTTCTGTGGGAGAAAGAACTAGATAAAATTAATTCAGTGACTATTTTCTCAATTCTCTCAAGGATAGCCCAAAGCTAGTACAATTCTAGACTCCTATGAATCTAAGAGAGATGATAATTCGGTGTAGTAGTCCCCTCTTATCTGTGGTTTCTCTTTCTGTGGTTTCAGTTACCCACAGTCAACTGAAAACAGAGAGACCACATTCACATGACTTTTACAATATGTGGTTATAATTAGTTATTGTTGTTATATTTTATTATTAGTTATTGTTGTTAATCTCTTACTGCACCTAATTTATAAATTAAATATTATCATAGGTATGTATATTTAGGAAAAAACACATAGTACATATAGGGTTCAGTATTAATATCTGTGGTTTCAGGCATCCACTGAGGGTCTTGGGACATATCCCCCCTCGATAAGAGGGGACTACTATACATACAATAGGTATCTTAGCAAATTAGAACTCAGTTCTCATTCTCTCTGAAAGGCCTGATTTAAAAGGGCTGCATTATAAATTGTTACTGGGACTGTAAAATCACACAATCACGTGGAAAACTGATCATTCCTTATGAAATTAAATGCATGCTTACCATGTAACCCAATAATTCCACTCTTATTTATTCAAGAGAATAAAAACATATGCCCATAAAAGGCATATGCAAAAATTTTACAGCAGTCTTATTCATGAATTACAGCTAAAAGTGGGTGACTAATCCAAATATCTATCAACAAAGTATTAATAAAAGCATGTGGTTTATCTATACTATGGACTACTACTTCACAATTTTAAAAAAGGATTGTGGTGGGGAAAATGGCAGATAGGAGGCAGGACTAATTTGAAGCTCTCACTCAGACGAACAAAGCAGTGTGTGGAGACTCACGTTGTGAACTTTTGCTTCAAGAACTACAGAAGGAACATACTAGGAAAGCCGAGAGAATCCACAGACCCTTTGAAGGAAGAGGATTGCTCCTGCAGGACCTGAGAGACAGCCCACATAATTTGAGTGCCCAAAGTGGGAAAGTGGGAAATGGGGATCATCCACCCCTGAACACACACCTTCACTGGGGAAAGTGAAGGTCCAGATCACGGGAGAAGGATTTGACCTTACCTGGAGCTGAGATACTTTAGAGAGCCAAGCGAAATACAGGAGTAGAGTAAGCAGCGGGAAGAGCCCTGTGGGCTCTCTCAGTCCCCAGGGAAGCCATCTCTGACATTGTCTCACAGGGGTCCTTGGGGAGGGCTGCCAGAGGAACTGGGAAAAGACCACAGGGAGAAGGAAACTTCCAACTGAATTTTGTAACAATTCCAACCAAATGTGAACTTTCTTGGACAGAACTCAGGGAAAGAGGTGAAGCTCAAGTGCAGATGCAGGCAGGAGGGGTGGCACAAAACCTGAAAGCCCTGCTTGCTTTCTCAGCTGGGAGGCTGGTAGCCTGGGGCAAGTTCTCAGCCCTGCTTGCCCACTGCCTGGAAACAAACTTGGTGTTGTTGGTGGGGAGGGCACAGTGGGAGTGAGATTGGCCTTTTGGGTTGCATGGGAGCTGGGTGAGGCCTGTAATTGCTGGCTTTCCCCCACTTCCCTAGTGACCTGCATGACACAGGAGAGGCAGCCATAATCCTCCTGGGAGCATAACTCCCTTGACCTGGGAACCACACTCCCATCCCCCAGAGCAGTGGTAGCAAGCCCCACCCAAGGAGAATCTAAGCTCTGACATGACTAACCCTGCCCCACCTGAGGGTCTTCCTCTATCCACCTGGTAGCTGAAGACAAAGGTCATATTCTCTTGGGAGTTCTGGGGCCCCACTCACCACCTGATCCTCCCTATACTACCATAGCTGATGCTCTCTTGAAAGTGCCACCTCCTGGCAGGAGGCCAACCAGCACAAAACCAGTGCAATAAACAACAATAATACAACCAAGGACCCTCACAGAGTCCATTTCACTCCCCTGCCACCTCCACCAGAGCAGGTGCTGCTATCTATGGCTGAGAGACCAGAAGATGGTTCATATCACAGGACTCTGTACAAACACCCCCCAGTACCAGCCCAGAACCTGGTAGACCCACTAGGTGGCTAGATACAGAAGAGAAATAACAATCACACAGTTTGGCTATCAGGAAGCCACATCCCTCTAGGAAGAGAGAGAGAATACTACATCAAGGGAGTACCCCATGGGACAAAAGAATCTGAACAGCAGCCCCTGAGCCCCAGATCTTCCCTCTGACATAGCCTACCCAAATGAGAAGGAACAAGAAAAACAATTCTGGTAATATGACAAAACAAAGTTCTTTAACACCCTCAAAAAATCACACTAGCTCACCAGCAATGGATCCAAACCAAGAAGAAATCCCTTTTAGATTTCTTCTTGCCAGAAAAAGAATTCAGAAGGTCAGTTATTAAGCTAATCAAGGAGGCACCAGAAAAGGGCAAAGTGTAATTTAATGAAATAAAAAAATGATACAAGATATGAGGGAAGAAATCTTCAGTGAAATAGGTAGTATAAATAAAAAACAATCACAACTTCTGGAAATCAAGGGCACACAGAAATGCAAAATGCACTGGAAAGTCTCAGCAATAGAACTGAACAAACAGAATAAAAAACTTTAGAGCTTGAAGACAAGATTTTCAAAATAACCCAATCCAACAAAGACAAAGAAAAAAGAATTTTAAAAAAATGAACAAAGCTTCCAAGAAGTTTTGGATTATGTTAAACAACCAAACCTAAAAATAACTGGCATCCTGCGGAAGAAGAGAAATCTAAAAGCATGGGAAACGTATTTGGGGGAATAATTGAAGAAAACTTCCCTAGCCTTGCTAGAGACCTAGACATCCAAATACAAGAAGCTCAAAGAACACCTGGGAAATTCATCACAAAAAGATCATCACCTAGGCACATAGTCATCAGGATATCTAAAGGCAAGACAAAGAAAAGAATATTAAGAGCTGTGAGGCAAAAGCATGAGCTAACCTATAAAGGAAAACCTTTCAGATTAACAGCAAATTTCTCAGCAGAAACCCTACTAGCTAGAAGGAATTGTTGTCCTATCTTCAGCCTCCTTAAACAAAACAATTGTCAGCCATTAATTTTGTATCCAGTGAAACTAAGCTTCATACATGAAGGAAAGAGTCTTTTTCAGACAAACAAATGCAGAGAGAATATACCACTACCAAGCCAGCACTACAAAGAACTGCAAAACGAGCTCTAAATCTTGAAACAAATCCTCAATATACATCAAACAGAACCTCCTTAAAGCATAAATCTCACAGGACCTATAAAACAACACAGTAAGTAAATACATACATGCATGCATGCATACATACATACATAAATACCAAGGTATTCAGGCAGTAAATAGCACAATGAATAGAATAGTGTGTCACATCTCAATAGAAACATTGAATGTAAATGGCCTAAATGCTCCACTTAAAAGATACAGAATGGCAGAATTGATAATTCACTGAACAAGTATCTGCTGCTTTCAAGAGACTCACCTAACACATAAGAATCCACATAAACTTAAGGTAAAGGGGTGGAAAAAGACATTCCATGCTAATGGACACCAAAAGCAAGCAAGAGTAGCTATTCTTATATCAGACAAACAAATTTGAAAACAACAGCAGTTGAAAAAGACAAAGAGGGACATTATATAATGATAAAAGGCCTTGTCCAACAGGAAGGTATCACAATCTTAAATATAGAACAGTTACTACTAAACCTAATAATTGACATAGACAGAAGCACAATAATAGTGGGGGACTTCAATACTCCACTGACAGCACTTGACAGGTCATCAAGAAAGAAAGTCAACAAAGAAACAATGGATTTAAACTATACCCTAGTACAGGACTATACCCAAATGGACTTAACAGGTATTTACAGAATATTCCACCCAACAACCACAGAATATACATTCTATTCATTAGCACATGGAATGTTCTTCAAGATAGACCATATCATAGGCCACCAAACAAGTCTCAATAAATTTAAGAAAATTTAAATTATATCAAGTACTGTCTCTGACCACAGTTGAATAAAATTGGAAATCAACTCCAAAAGGAACCTTCAAAACCATGCAAATACATGGAAATTAAATAATCTGCTCCTGAATGATTACTGGGTCAACCATGAAATCAAGATGGAAATTTAAAAATTCTTTGAAGTGAACAATAATAGTGACACAACCTATCAAAACCTTTGGGATACAGCAAAGGCAGTGCTAAAAGAAAAGTTCATAGCTTTAAATGCCTACATCAAAAAGTCTGAAAGAGCACAAACAGACAATCTAAGGTCACACCTCAAGAAACTAGAGAAACAAGAACAAACCAAACCCAAACTCAGCAGAAGAAAAGAAATAATAAATATCAGAGCAAAATGAAATGAAATTGCAACAAAAAACACAAAAAAATTCATCAAAAAGCCAGTTCTTTGAAAAGATAAGTAAAATTGATAGACCATTAGCGAGATTTAACTAAGAAGACAGAAGATACAAATAAGCTCAATTAGAAATGAAATGGGAGATATTACAACTGACATCACAGAAATACAAAAGATCATTTAAGGCTACTACAAACACCTTCACACGCATAAACTAGAAAACCTAGAGGAGACGGATAAATTCCTGGAAATATACAACCCTCCTAGCTTAAACCAGGAAGAATTAGAAACCCTGAACTGACCAATAACAGGGGGATTCAAATAGTAATTTAAAAATTGCCCACAAAAAAAGTCAAGGACCAGCTGAATTCTATCAGACATTCAAAGAAGAATTGGTACCAATTCTACTAAAACTATTCTACAAGATAAAGAGGGAATTTTCCCTAAATCATTCTATGAAGCCAGCATCACCCTAAATACCAAAACCAGGAAAGGACATAACAAAACATGAAACTATAGACCAATATATCTGATGAATATAGATGCAAAAATCCTTAACAAAATACTAGCTAACCAAATCCAACAGCATATCAAAAAGATAATTCACCATGATCAAGTGGGTTTCAAACCAGGGAGGCAGGGAAGGTTTAACATACGCAAGTCAATAAATGTGACAGACCACATAAACAGAATAAAAAACAAAAATCACATGATCATCTCAATAGATGGAGAAAAGGCATCTGACAAAATCCAGCATCCCTTTATGATTAAATCCCTCAGCAAAATCAGCATAAAAGGGACATACCTTAATGTAATAAAAGCCGTCTACGGACATACCCACAGCCAATATAATACGAAACAGGGAAACACTGAAAGCACTCCTGCTAAGAACTGGAAAAAGAAAAGGATGCCCACCCTCTCCACTTCTATTCAACATAGTACTGGAAGTCTTAGCCAGAGCAATCAGACAAGAGAAGTAAAGGGCATCCAAATCAGCAAAGAGGAATTCAAACTGTCACTGTTTGCTGATGATATGATCGTAGACCTAGAAAATCCTAAAGACTCCTCCAAAAAGCTCCTAGAACTGATAAATGAATTCAGAAAAGTTTCAGGATACAAAATCAATGTACACAAATCAGTAGCACTGCTATACACCAACAGCAATCATGCAGAAAATCAAATCAAGAACTCAACACCTTTTTTAATAGCTGCAAAGAAAAAAAAAACAACTTGGGAGTATACCTAACCAAGGAGGTGAAAGATCTCTACAAGGAAAACTATAAAACACTGCTGAAAGACATCACAGACGACACAAACAAATGGAAACATGTCCCGTGCTCATGGATGAGTACAATCAAAAATGTGAAAATGAACCTACTGCCAAAAGCAATATACAAATTCAATGCAATTCCCATCAAAATAACACCATCTTTCTTCACAGAACTAGAAAAGACAATCCCAAAATTCATATGGAACCAAAAAAGAGCCCACATAGCCAAGGCAAGACTAAGCAAAAAGAACAAACCTGGAGGCACTGCATTATCCAACTTCAAACTATACTACAAAGCTACAGTTATCAAAAAAGCATGGTACTGATATAAAAATAGGCACTTAGACGAATGCAACAGAATAAGAACGCAGAAATAAGGCCAAATGCTTAAAGCCAACTGATCTTCGACAAAGCAAACAAAAATATGAAGTAGGGGAAAGGACACCTTATTCAACAAATGGTGCTGGGATAATTGGCAAGCCACATGTAGAAGAATGAAACTGGATCCTCATCTCTCACCTTATACAAAAATCAACTCAAGATGGATCAAGCACTTAAATCTAAGACCTGAAACCATAAAAATTATAGAAGATAACATTGAAAAAACCCTTCTAGACATTGGCTTAGGCAGTGACTTTACGACCAAGAACCCAAAAGCAAATGGAACAAAAACAATAAGTAGGTAGGACTTAATTAAACTAAAAAGTTTCTGCACAGCAAAAGAAACACTCAGCAGAGTAAACAGAAAACACAAACAGTGGGAGAAAATCTTCACAATCCATATATCTGACAAAGGACTAATATCCAGAATCTACACGGAACTCAAACAAATTAGCAATAAAAAAACAAACAATCCCATCAAAAAGTGGGCTAAGGACATGAATAGATAATTTTCAAAAGAAGATATACAAATGGCCAACAAACAAATTAAAAAATGCTCAACATCACTAATGATCAGGGAAATGCAAATCAAAGACAAAATGTGATACCACCTTACTCCTGCAAGAATTGGCCATAATCAAAAAAATTAAAAACCAACAGATGTTGGTGGGGATGCAGTGAAAGGGACCACTTTTACACTGCTGGTGGGAATGTAAACTAGTACAACCACTATGGAAAACAGTGTGGAGATTCCTTAAAGAACTAAATGTAAAACCATTTGATCCAGCAATCCAACTACTGAGTGTCTACCCAGAGGAAAAGAAGTCATTATACAAAAAAGATACTTGTACACACGTTTATAGCAGCACAATTAGCAATTTCAAAAATATGGAACCAGCCCAAATGTCCATCAATCAATAAATGGATAAAGAAATTGTGGTATATATATACCATGGAATACAATCCAGTCATAAAAAGGAATGAAATAATCACATTCGCAGCAACCTGGATGGAACTGGAGACCATTATTCTAAGGGAAGTAACTCAGGAATGGAAAACCAAACATCTTATGTTCTCACTCATAAGTGGGAGCTAAGCTATGAGGATGCAAAGGCATAAGGATGATACAATGGACTTTGGGGATTTAGGGGAAAGGATGGGAGGTGGGGTGAGGGATAAAAGACTATAAATTGGGTACAGTGTATACTGCTCGGGCTATGGGTGCACCAAGATCTCACAAATCACTGAAGAATGTACTCATGTAACCAAACACCATCTGTTCCCCAAAAACCTATGGAAATTAAACAAATAAAATAAAATAAAAAATAAAAGGTTCATATTAGAAATATTAAAGATTGTACTATTAATACTTTTTTAAGTGATAATGATTCTTTAAAAAATTCTATTGAAACAAGCCAGATACAAAAAAGTATATACTTTATACTTAAAAAAGTATATACTTTAGTGAGATTTAACTAAGAAAAGAAGACAGAAGATACAAATAAGCTCAATTAGAAATGAAATGGGAGATATTACAACTGACATCACAGAAATACAAAAGATCAGACAGAGTTTCGCTCTGTCACCAGGCTGTAGTACAGTGGTGCAATCTCGGCTCACTGCAACTTCTGACTCTCTAGTTCAAGCGATTCTCCTGCCTCAGCCTCCCCAGTAGCTGGGATTACAGGCACACGCCACCACGCCCAGCTAATTTTTGTATTTTTAGTAGAGACGGAGTTTCACCATTTTGGCCAGGCTGGTCTCAATCTCCTGACCTCGTGATTCACCAGCCTCGGCCTCCCAAAGTGCTGGGATTACAGGCGTGAGCCACTGTGCCTAGCCAAAAAAAAGTATATTGTATCAGTACGTATGTAGGCAGCCCCAACTTTGACAGCCATGCAGGACCACAAAAATGACTGTACAAGCTGTCCAGGCAAAGTAATCTTTAATAATCAATGAGAAAAATAATTTTTCCATAATTTTTAAATTTTAAGTCAAAATATAACTTTATTACTGTCATTTATAAGTGTATAGCAAAATTTTAAAAACTAGTATTTATTGAGTACATTGTAAATTAAAACATTAGGTACATTGAGAATTAACATGTTTTATTCTTTATAAAAAGTTTATCAAGAGTAGTTTGAACAGTGCTTGCCGCCCCTTATCAAAACAAAATACAGAGCAAGCATGTTTTTTATGTCTTGGCAAGTTGTTATACACCTTTCTAAGTTTGGATCAGCTTCCGTGTTTTACCCTTTATGCTTTCAATGGCATGAAACATCTCGGAGAGTTCTTTTAATGTGATGGCTTTTGCCAATGTCACGTCTACTGGGCTGCCTTCATCCTTTTTGTCACAATCACTTTCTTCAATTATGTTGATAAGGTTGCCTTTATTAGTTTCCCTGGCTGCATATCTAGAATCTCTTTAATGGCAGCAGTGTCAACATTTCCATGACAGCTATTTCTTCCTTAATTCCCTTTACATTTGACTCAAATTTTGCTTCCAGTGTTGTAACTCTTGGTTTCTTTGTAGCATTTTCATCTTTGATGGCCAATTCCCCCCTTTCAACTATCCATTTTATAAAATGTCACATGTTCATCACTGGGAAACGAGGAGGCAACAGAAAACAGACTTTGCTATCTAAGCATAAACTGATTAACATGTCACTGATCAATCACCCACACACTTTAAAAGAAGTGATGTGATTGGTCACTGGTCATGATTTATATCTGTTATTTTCTTAGGGATTTGTAGATTAAAGAGCTAGCAGTAAGTTTGTACTTCATGCAATTACTCACAGTAATTACTCTGGTAACTGAAACTGTGTTGGTAGAGAACTGATATTACTAAACTAAACCCTACTAACCAAATTAATGCATATAGAAACCATGCAAAGTGGGGACTCCCTCTAAGAAACCCAGATACAGGCAAAATTTACCTATGGTAATAAGTGTCAGGCAATGGGGAGGAGGAGAACTGACTGGAAAGGAGAATAAGGAAACTATCTGGAGGGAAGGAAACGCTCTGTATCTTTTTTAAAGTATGGTTACACAGTTATATACAATTGTGTACATTCATCAAACTGACCATATGTTATTGCATATTAATGACCTGAATCTGAAAATATATATATATAGGACCCCAAAAACTTAAATTCAGACAAAATTCTAAAATAAATTCTAAAGGATATTTTTTCTAACAGAAAATAAAGGACCCCAGATCACTCAAAGGCAACAAAAGGAATGAAGGGCAATGAAAAGAATAAATGTACAGGTAAATCTAAACAAATATTGACTGAGCAAACAACAGTAAGTGTTTTATTCAGTTTATATATATAGTTATACACACATGTATGTATATGTGTTATTAAAATATTTGGCTAAAAATGGTACAGAAGTTAAGATGGGTAAATGGAGTTACTGTTCTAAGGTTCTTGCAATTCTCAGGTAATCACTAAAAGAATAATAAATGAGTTTATGACTTCTAGAATGATTTCTAAGCTGACAGAAAACAATAAAATGATTTTTTAAATACCCCATCAATCCAAAAGAAGGCAAGAAAAGAATCATACAATTGATAATAACAGAAAGCATACAAGACATTAGATTTAAACCCAAAGATATAAGTAAATAAAATACAAATGGACCAAATGATCCAGTTAAAATACAAAAGATGTCAGATTAAATTTTAAAAACTTAACATATGCTATTTGTGAAAGATGTCTAAAACATAAGGACACTGAAAGGTTGACAGCAAAAGAAAATATTTTTCATGAAAATGAATACTGAAAGAAAATTGGTATAGCTATGTTAATATCACACAAAGAGGTAAGAAATATGAGTAGAGATAAAGAAAGTCACTTAGTAATAGAAAAATTGTAAACGTATATGCACCTAATAACATACCATCAAAATATATAATGAAAAAATTGACAGGTCTCCAAGGACAAAAAATTTTTATACAGAAAATAGTAAATATCAAAACCTTTAGAATATACCTAAAGAAGTATTTTGAGGATAATTTAAAGCTTTACATGTTTCTATTAGAAAAAAAGGCCTAGCCGGGCACGGTGGCTCACACCTGTAATCCCAGGACTTTGGGAGGCTGAGGTGGGTGGATCACGAGGTCAGGAGTTTGAGACCAACCTGGCTAACACGATGAAACCCTGTCTCTACTAAAAATACAAAAAAAATTAGCCAGGCGTGGTGGCGGGCACCTGTAGTCCCAGTTACTTGGGAGGCTGAGGCAGGAGAATGGCATGAACTTGGGAGGTGGAGCATGCAGTGAGCCGAGATCGCACCACTGCACTCCAACCTGGGTGACAGAGAGAGACTCTGCCTCAAAAAAAAAAAAAAAAAGAAAAGAAAAGAAAAGAAAAAAGAAAAAAAGGCCTAAAAAGTAAAAATGTAAACATTCATCTGAAGAAAATTCAAGAAAAAAAGAAATCTAAAAAAAATAGAGGAAAGGAAATAATAAGAACAAAAGTAATGAAATAATAAAAACAAAAAACAAACAATAGGATCAAAACCAAAGCAAAATGTTGGTCTTTGGAAAAAACTAATAATAACCACCAACTGCAGAATAGAAAAACAGGAAATAACTACAGACTCTATGTACATTCAAATGTCCACAGGATATTATAAATAACATTATACTAAACATCCTTTTAAATTTAGACAAAATGAAAACTGCTTACATATATATACTAACTTGCGTAAGAAGGAAATTCTAATTATTTCTTTAATAAATAAATGAAATAAAACCTTCCCTTAAAGAAGAGATCCAAATGACTTTATTGGTAAGTTCTACAACTCCAATCTTATACAAACTGTTCCACAAAATGACAGAAGAAAAAATGAATTGAAAAGAGTATTATAGTATGAGTTTACATTACCTTGCTATCAAAATCTGATTTTAAAAAGCCATAAGAGACAGCTGGGCGTGATGGCTCACACCTGTAATCCCAGCACTTTGGGAGGCCAAGGCAGGTGGATCACCTGAGGTCGGGAGTTCAAGACCAGCCTGACCAACATGGAGAAACCACATCTCTACTAAAAATACAAAATTAGCTGGGGGTAGTGGCGCGTGCCTGTAATCCCAGCTGCTCGGGAGGCTGAGGCAGGAGAATCACTTGATCCTGGGAGGCGGAGGTTGCGGTGAGCCAAGATCGCGCCATTGCACTCCAGCCTGGGCAACAAGAGTGAAACTCCGTCTCAAAAATAATAAAAAATAAAATAAAGCCATAAGAAAGGTAAATTATCAGCCAATCTAAATTACAAAAATAGATGTAAATATACAAAACAAAGTATTAGTTAACATAGACCAACAATAAGTAACAAGCATAATATAGTGTGACCAATCTATATTTATTCTACCCTGTAAAGTTGGTTTAGTATTACAAAATTAATCAGTGCAAGTTCACATTTTAACAGAATAAGGGAGAAAAATAATGTGACCATCTAAATACATGAATAAAAATTATCAGATCAATTTCAACATTCATGTATGATTTTTTAGTATCTGGGCAAAATAAAAATAGGAGAAAATTTTCTTAAATCTAATATTACATAGTTATCAAAGAACCTACAAGAAATATATTGAATAGTTAATTAGAAGTAATTCACATATAACAAGGCAAGAAAAATAAAATGTATAAGAATTAGAGAGGCAGGAAAAGAATACTTGCAGATAACATGATTTTATGTACACAAATAAAAAAACTTCTGTAGGTGGGTTATTAAAATTAATGAAAAGTTAGCAGGACTGTTGGATACCACACCAAAATACAAAAATCAATTTTATTTTTACATAACAGCCACAATTTTTAAAAACAGTTAAAATCATCTCAAAATACTGAGTACCTACGAATTTAACAAAATAAATGTAAGACCTCTCTACACACAAAAAATAGGAAACATTATAGAGCAAAACTGAAAAATATAGAGAGATATACAATGCTTATGGTGGCCCAGAAGACTCAAATAACATAAAAATAAATGATTTAAAAATTAATCTATGATTCAACTCAATGCCATTAAAATCTTAATAGTGTTTTTCTTTTTTGGGGTGGACTTTGACCAGCTCACTCTAAAATTTATATGAAAATTGAAAATGCAAAGGGCCGGCAATAGTCAAGACTTTCTTGATGAATAACAAGGTAGATTTGTTCTTATAGGTTTAACACTTTTACAGTTATAGTAATTAGGAAAGTTTTGTAATGGTACAAGAACCATGTAAAAGACAAATGGAACAGATTATTGACCCTAGAAATAAACACATACATAGATATTTATTTTTAAGAAAAACATCTCTGCAGAGCAGTGAAGGACAATCTTTTCAACAAATATTACTGGGAAAATTGAGTAATCATGTATTAAAAAGCAAAATAAAACAAAACTTGACCACTGCCTCACAACATACACAAAAATACACTCCTGGTAGGGCCGGGTGCGGTGGCTCACGCCTGTAATCCCAGCACTTTGGGAGGCCGAGGCGGGCAGATCACGAGGTCAGGAGATCGAGACCATCCTGGCTAACATGGTGAAACCCCGTCTCTACTAAAAATACAAAAAATTAGCCAGGCGCGGTGGCGGGCGCCTGTAGTCCCAGCTGCTCAGGAGGCTGAGGCAGGAGAATGGTGTGAACCCCGGAGGCAGAGCTTGCAGTGAGCCGAGATTGTGCCACTGCACTCCAGCCTGGGCAACAGAGCGAGACTCCGTCTCAAAAAAAAAAAAAAAAAAATACACTCCTGGTAAATTACACATATAAATATGAAGATAATATAGGAACATACCTTCATGATCTTAAGGTACAAAAATATTTTCTCAGTTAAAAAAAAAAGCATAAATTAGGCTGGGTGAAAAAAAAAAAAAAAGCATAAATTAGGCTGGGCGCGGTGGCTCACGCCTGTAATCCCAGCACTTTGGAAGGCCAAGGTGGGCGAATCACGAGGTCAGGAGATTGAGACCATCCTGGCTAACACCGTGAAACCCCATCTCTACTAAAAATACAAAAAAAATCAGCCGGGCGTGGTGGCGGGCACCTGCTAAGGCAGGAGAATGGCGTGAACCCGGGAAGGCGGAGCTTGCAGTGAGCCGAGATTGCATGACTGCACTCCAGCCTGGGCGACAGAGTGAGACTCTGTCTCAAAAAAAAAAAAAAAAAAAAAAAAAAAGCATAAATCAAATGGGAAAGATGAATAAATCTGACTACATAAATAACGTCTGTTAATAAAAAGATACTTTTATTTTTGTAGAGACAAGGTCTTGCTATGTTGCCTAGGCTTATTTCAAAGTCCTGGCCTCAAGTAATCCTCCTCCCTTGGCCCCTCAAAGTGCTGGGATTACAGGCATGAGCCACTGTCCCCAGCCCAAGACAAGCTTTCTTGGAGAACATCAACAGTAGGCTAGATGAAGTAGAAAAAAATAATTTGTAAACTTGAAGGCAGGTCATTAGAAAATACCCAGAGGATAAAAAAGAAAAAAGAGTAAAAAGAAATGAAGAAAGCCTATGGGATATATGGGACACTATCAAGAGAGCTAACATTAACAAAGAATTATAAAAACAAAAGGAGAGAGAGAGAAAAGAACAAAAAGATAAAGAACTAAAGATTCAGCCTCAAGAAAGGAGGAAATTCTGTCATATGCTACAACGTGGACAAACACTGAAATTATGCTAAGTGAAATAAGACAACCAGAGAAATACTACTCAATACTCCACTTACAAGATGTCTCTAAACAGTTAAACTCAGAAACAGAAAGTAAAATGGTAGTTGCCAAGGATTGACTGGAGGGGGAAATAGGGAGTGCTGTTCAAAGGATACAGAGGTTCAGTTGTGCAACACGAAAAACTCTAGAGATCTGCTTTACCACACTGTTCTTACATTTAACAATACCGGATTATACACTTAAAATTTTGTTAACAGAATTAAAGAAGTACAGCCATGTTAACAAAAAGGCTTTGGATCAGTTTGTAAATTTCTCTGAGCAGAAAGAAAAGTTAATAAAGCGACAAGAAGAGTTAGATAGGGGTTACAAATCGATCATGGAGCTGATGAATATACTTGAACTTCGGAAATATGAAGCTATTCAGTTAACTTTCAAACAGGTATCCAAGAACTTCAGTGAAGTATTCCAGAAGTTAGTACCTGGTGGCAAAGCTACTTTGGTGATGAAGAAAGGAGATGTGGAGGGCAGTCAGTCTCAAGATGAAGGAGAAGGGAGTGGTGAGAGTGAGAGGGGTTCTAGCTCACAAAGCAGTGTCCCATCAGTTGAGCAGTTTACTGGAGTTGGAATTAGGGTGTCATTTACAGGAAAACAAGGTGAAATGAGAGAAATGCAACAGCTTTCAGGTGGACAGAAATCCTTGGTAGCCCTTGCTCTGATTTTTGCCATTCAGAAATGTGACCCGGCTCCATTTTACTTGTTTGATGAGATTGACCAGGCTCTGGATGCTCAGCACAGAAAGGCTGTGTCAGATATGATTATGGAACTTGCTGTACATGCTCAGTTTATTACAACTACTTTTAGGCCTGAACTGCTTGAGTCAGCTGACAAATTCTATGGTGTAAAGTTCAGAAATAAGGTTAGTCATATTGATGTGATCACAGCGGAGATGGCCAAAGACTTTGTAGAAGATGATACCACACATGGTTAATTGGAAAATACTACTTACTGGTTTGGGAGTTGTGTATAGTAATATGATTCTCATACCCAGAACTGTAAATATAAACCTAAATATTTGGCCAATAGTTTTCAGACTTAAAGCATCATAGTCCTTTTATATTTGTCTTTGTATTTTATAAGATACTCTGTAATGTCATGTTTGTACTTACAGTTTTAGAATTTAATTTCCTGTACAACTTTTTGTAAAATGTTCTGCTCCTATTTTAAATGTTTTGAAACATGCTAAATATTCTTTCCTAATTATTTTATCGCTTATACTGCCTTTTTTATAGCTTCAATTAAATAATTGGTTTTATGACTAAAAAAAAAAAAAAAAAAAATTGTTAAGAAAGACCAGGCCCGGTGGCTCATGCCTGTAATCTCAGCATTAATAGGAGTGTGAACTACTATTTTTCTTTCTTAAGTTCCGGGGTACATGTGCAGAACATGCAGGTGTGTTACACAGGTAAACATGTGCCACGGTGGTTTGCCGCACAGATCAACCCGTCACCTAGATATTAAGCTATTACTATTTTTCAATGTTCATAGATGCAATGAAATTCAACCTTACTGAATCTGTAGAACCTCTGTTTCTCACAGCAACAGATACTAAAAGTAAAACCACTCATGTAGAGGTCTTCAAAAACTCATTCTCCCAAGCTTATTGCTGTAGGCTGCTTCAATTGATACATCTTCGGCAACCATGCCAGTACACAGGAAAGGCTAAGTATAGTACTTGCATTCAATTAATAGATGCTCCATCACGTGCTCCTATTTCTCTGTTACGGCTTTTCATTATATTCTAAATCACCCTTTTTCTAAGCAACTGCCAAACCTGTGCTTTGTGTTTTCTTATACTGTTCATATCCCCAAACAGAATTTAAAGTTATAAAGGTAAACAATCAAAGTCAAATATATTCTGTACCCAGAAGAGCTTTGTAAAAGCTATTTCAGTTAAAAGTTGAAGTTTTTTACAAATGTAAAGTAAGATTACTAGAAGTGTGATTCCTAGTTAAGTGTGGCATTACCAGCCTGTGATTGAGCTCAGGAAAATTGTTCACTGTGTGCCAAGGGTTCCTACAACTGCTTTTCAATAATCCTCTCAGAAACTGAACTCAACAAATAATTTTCATTATAAAATACACTATAAAAAGCAGAGCTATAGTTATAGTAAACTGTTGGTTGTTTAAAGGTGATTTAGTTTACCTCAAAGAATTATTCTCTGCTTTTTGTCTGCCAAGTTCACTTTCGGTATCCATTGCCTTTCTTGCTAGTGATTTCATTTCTTTTTCCACAGTGCTTATGGTTTCCTTCATCAAAGTCATATTTGACATTTGCTCCATACGTTCATCATCAAGCTATACAAGTAGAATGACAAGGTTACTGCCATCACTAAAAACACCTTAGTAATCTTCCTGAAGGGCATACTCCCTCTGTACAAACTGGTTTATGGCAAGACTGACAGGATGAGATTATCAGGTTAGACCTGACTGCTGTAGAAGGTTTTACAGATAAGGTGTTGTGAAGTAGGACCAAGGAAAAGCCACTGCAAAGTAAAGCTTATCACAGTATATCAGTCTATATTTTTCAATCTGGTTCAATTTGACTATAGTATAAATATGCTGTTTGCAAAAGAATTTATTTGTTGCCCAACATTAATAAATTACACATATAATGTAGAATTATGAAAACAAAAATTATTTTCTCCTGTCTAGTAATTTTTTTTTTTTTTGAGACAGAGTATCGCTCCATCGCCCAGGTTGAAGTGCAGTGGCGCGATCTCGGCTCACTGCAATCTCCACCTCCCGGGTGCAAGCAATTCTCCTGTCTCAGCCTCCCAAGTAGCTGGGACTACAGGCGCATGCCACCACACCTGGCAAATTTTCATATTTTTAGTAGAGACAGGGTTTCACCATATTGGTCAGGCTGGTCTCAAACTCCTGACCTTAGGTGATCCACCCGCCTTGGCCTCCCAAAGTGCTGGGATTACAGGCATGAGCCACCGTGCCCAGCCCCTATCTCATATTTTTAACTCATTACAATAAAACAGTACAGATGAACTTATAAATATATTCAATTATATTTGGTAATAGAAAGTTAAATTCTCTTATGTTTATATAGTGACAATATCATCAATATATATTCGTAGCAATATCAAATCTGATTAGGAAAAAGGTGATGTTTCACATTTAAATTTAGTTTAAATAAACTTTGCTTATAATTTTTATTTCATCATAATTTTCTCTCCTTATCCACTCTTTAGGTAGAATAAACCATTTTCTTTACATCTGGCAATATTATCTTTAACAAAATATGGAGATGAGAAAGTAGATAAGATCCCTGAAAATGAATGCCTAATGATTTTTTTAAAGTACATACTTTGCAACCTAACACCAAAAAACATTTACTCACATTTTTAGAAGGAAATAAACAAATGAAAAAGTGACAATTTACACTATAAAATACCTTAAGTATTTTAGGACTATAAACACTATCTTAGAAAAATAAAATAACTTCTCTGAATACAGAAAAAGGAGAAAGGGGAAAGCCATTGAGTGTTTATAGCCAAAAGAGACTTTTCTTTTTTTTTTTTTTTACATTATGAACTGTACACTCCAGCTCCTCTATCCTTTGTTCCAGGTGAGCCTTCTCATTAAATGCTGTCTCTTGAGCAATCTGATTAAAAAGCAAAAACAAAATAAAGTGATTTCAATATCCCTGAATTTGTGTTTCACATATATTCACGTAAATAAAATCCTTTCCAACCTTTAGCCTCTCCCTTAGACTATCTCGTTCTGTGGTCATTCTTCGTAAATCAGTAAAGGCTACATCTCTTTCAGTCTCCACTCGCCGGAGAATAGCATGTGCCGTTGTTGATTTAGGACTCTTACAGCTTTTCATCATTTCTCGTCGAAGTCGGGTAATTTCTTCCTGTGCCTATTATTTAAATCATAGACTTTGGTTGAACAAGCTTTAGAACACATAAACATAAAAAATTTTATGTATCTAGCCAGTTAAAATGCAAACCTACATCAACATGCATGCAGCAGGGTAATGGTATCGCTTTTATTTTAAAATAAGCTTATACAAATAAATGAAAATGAATATATTTAAATAGAAGTTCATGTTACAACATCTTTGCCAAAAGTCTAAAATAAAATTAATTTGGAGGAAGTCATTGCAACAGAGAATGTTTTGCTAAGAAATATATTTGGTATACTCCATTTATTCATTTTGTAGTGTAAATTTAAATTCAGCACAATTTAGACAGACTACCGGTTTAATGAATATTATCATAGTGTTTCAGTCTTCCTAAATATAAATGCATATGCCATTCCTATGTCTTGGCTACTTCTGCCCTGACAGAAAGGCCCACCAATCCTTACTGATAACCCAACAGAGTCTCTGCACGTCTGTTCAACCATCCTTGGGTCCCAAATCTATTCCAAACCTGCAGATTATTTAATATCACAGTTCGCTGCACAGGTCTCTTTTCCTCTTGATTTTGATCACTGTCTATTCAGATAGTCTCCAAGCCCCAAAGGAAAATATATAACTTCCCAATTTCCACAGCTAAGCCTTCACCAGAACCCCAAACCTCATCTCCTAAAGTGTCTTCTAAGATCTCCCTGACTCAATTATAATTATTTCTTCTCATCTTGAATAGTACCCTCTCCACTGGCACTTTCTCCCCTGCCTTCAGTCATGTACAGTGCTCCCTTATCTTGAAAACCTGTCACTTGATCCTGCTGACCAATTTACCATCCTATGTCTCTTCTTCCTGCGACACATTAAAAAAAAAAAGTCCCATGGTCTATAACTATTGCCAATGGTTCCTTACCATCCATTCTATCACCCCAGAACAACCTGGCTCCCACCCTCCCACCTTCTGTGGAATTTCAACTAAAGACCTAACCAAATATAATGGTCTTTTCTCAGTTCCTGTTCTCCTTGATATTTCAGTGGTCTGTTGCTGCTCACAACATCCTTCTTCTTGAGATTCCTTCCTCCCTTTTAACATTGTTCCTCCCTAGCTGTCTGTCATCTTTGTCTCTTTCAAAGGTTCCCTTCTGCATCTTGAATATTATAACTTAACGTTTCTGCTCCTCTATGTACAGTTTTCTCATTCAGAGACTTCATCCACTCTGAAGGCTCGAAGCTCACCTCTAAGCAGATGACTTCCAAAGCTAACTATTTAACTCTTGCCTCTCTCTACTCCAGTCCCACATTTCTTACAGTCTGATGGCAATTACGACCTGAGTGTGCTATCATTATCTTACTCTGTCTAAAAACAAACTCACATCTTTTTCCTCAAACCACCAATGACTCTCCTATTTTTTATTTTATTACCACATTGCTGAGTCATTCAAGACAGAATTTTAGTCACTGTCATGCAACCCTCCTTCTTCCTAAAAGCAAATCATGTCAAATCTTCCTTCACAGGGTCTTTTGCATCTGTCCCTATATTTATCTCCATTGAAACACCCTTGCTTAGTCCCTTAATGCCTTATATGTGCACTAGTGTAACAGCCTTCTAAAGAGGAGTCCATGGTCTCTCCCTCCATCAATTCTCTCAAAGGAGAAATTGTTAAATAAGAAGACAGTATAGAAAGATTATGTGAGAAATAAAAATTTGCCATAAGGTTAAAATTGTAAAATTGTAAAAATGATACTTTGTTCATATTTTGCCTGCCTTTAAAAAAAAAAGATTGTTTGTTGCTTATGAAGCAAAATATAAACCCCATATAAGGCCCATTGAACAGCCTGTACCATTTAGTCCAGAAGTCAGCAAGCTATATATAACTCACAGGCCACATCTAGCCTGCCTCCTGTAGGTCTGTAAGTGGAGAAATATTTTTGCATTTTTAAATGGTTGGGGAAAATATCAAAAGAGTATTTTAAAACAAGTAAAAATGATGTGAAATTCAAATTTCAGTATCCATAAAGTTTTACTGTAATACAGCCAAAGTTATTCATTTATGTATTGTCCAAAGCTGCTTTCACCCTACAACAATAGGGCTGATTAGTTACAACAGAGACCACATGGCTTGCAAAGCAGAAGATATTTTTTGTCTGGGCCTTACAGAAAAAGTATATTGATTCCTGCTCTAGTGCAATCTTACCTTTCAAGTCTTAGCTCTCTCCCTTCTCCACTGACACATACCCTCTATTCTAGTCTTAAACCAATTTATTTATCTGCTGATTTTCCTACCTTTATCCTTTGCCTCATACCATTCCTTTAGTTTGGATTGTTCCTTCTAGCCCCTTTCAGGGTAATAGAAACTCCATTCATTTTTCAGGGCTCACACTTTGTATCTTTTAATAAAGATTTCCTTGATCACCATATCTAAAAATGCCCACTTCTTTTGTTTCTTATAATATCTTCTAGACCACTTAATAAAAATCAATAAATACAATATACTTTATCTCCCTAACTAGACTGTAAATTTATAGGAAAACATGGTCAGCATCTTATCATTTTTCTATCCCTTAGAGTAGTGAGCCTAGAACCCTGTGTATAGTAGCTATAATTTGTTAAAAAATTGTGATACTTTTAAAAGAAGTTATATGGGTGATTTATAGGATTTAATACTTGTTGGGTTAAAGAAGGTATTTGATTAATAAAAGCTATGCAATTCTAAGCTAGAAAGCAGAGATAAACTACATACTTCTTTTATTCTCTAAAATTAAGCAAATTATATAAAAGTTCCTAAAGTGATGTGATAAGGTGTGGCAAGTTCAAGGTAAAAAGGTCAGGATTTGATCTTTTTACCTTGAACTCATAACAACTTATCATTTAACGGTTTCTTCATATCTTATTCCAAAAATAAGACTATTTTTATACATGTGTATGATTTTTGGCTATGGGGATAACATACGTGTGTACTCACATACCTACTGTATTGGAAATGTACTACATTTCATTAAGAATATCTTAAAAACATATGTAATCCCCAAATGTTAGATTAACTTGATTTGCAGGTTTAAGCAGTCTCATAAAACTCAAAGAAGAATTACATAACTCTAGAACTCAATGTTATTACTTATATAATTTGTTTTTTGTAAGTTTACCTGTTCATAAAGAAGGAAGATCTTGTCTCTCTCAGATTTAAGAACCTTGACATTACCCTGAATTTCTGCCAAATGGCGCTCATATTTTTCCAGCATGCATTTAAGTTCTTCACGATCTCTTGTTGTTGTCTTCAAAAGTTCTACATCACAGTTTGCACCCTATAATTATATAAGGAATTTGAAATCTTCTTTGATATATAGTACTGATAGAAAGGTGCTACTGATGGTAGTGCCCAATTTCTATTTAAGAAAATAAGACTATATAATGAAAGGAAATTATAAAAAATAAGTTTAAAAACCACATCTTTTTAAAACAGCTTCATTCCAAATTATTCCACATTTGCCTGATTACCTCCCAAGTGCTAATTATGCTGAGGATAAAGAACCAATATCAGTAGTCTACTGTGCCATCAAAGAGACCTCTGTCTCTCAACCCCTTTGAAACAGCAATTCACAGCAAATCAAAACAAATTATTTTCAAATTAGGTAAAACAAAGAATAAAAGCCAGTGTCTGGGCAACAAACTCCAAAATATTTGTAAGTTTATAAAACCTACCCGGGCAGTTGGTGATGGGCGTCTTGGACTTTTAGACCTACTTCGCATCATCTTTCTCAAATGTTGAGCTTCACTCTTATAGTGATCTTTGTCTGCTTCCAAAGTCTTGACAAAGGAATCAAGTCTAGAAGGAGATTTATTTTGTGCTTTTTCAGTATCTAAAATTATCTTGCCAAAGAGGAAAAAATTAGACCATTATTTCAAGCTAAACTATAGCATCATTTTCTAAGTGAAATTGAAAACAAACAGGATCCTTAAAAACATTTAATTTGGTATTTTTTAAATACAACATTTAAAAAATTATATATCAGTAATTTTTAAAAAGCAGTTAGATATCTTTCTTTTCCAGGATTTCTGGGTATGCTATATTTTAACTGAAAGATAATTTTGGAGAAAAAATGGTAAAGAAATTTTAGAGAGGCCAGAAATGTCCACAGACCTAGCACACATCCTAGAAATGGCATGGATTTGCTTTAGAAAAACATATGCTACTAGGCTGGGCATGGTGGCTCATGCCTGTAATCCCAGCACATTGGGAGGCCGAGGCGGGCAGATCATGAGGTCAGGAGTTCAAGACCAGCCTGGTCAACATGGTGAAACCCTGTCTCTACTAAAAATACAAAAAAATTAGCTGGGCATGGTGGCGTGCACCTGTAGTCCCAGCTATTTGGGAGGTTGAGGCAGGAGAATCATTTGAACCCGGGAGGCGGAGGTTGTGGTGAGCCGAGAATGCGCCATTGCACTCCAGCCTGGGCAACAAAGCAAGACTCCATCTCAAAAGAAGAAAAACACATGCTACTACTAAAGCAACTGTTATAGCATCTAAGTTTTGTCCAATATTGTTCAATGCGTGAATAAATTAACTGAATGCTGGATATTCCATACTTGTAAGCATTCCCACAAATTTGCATTCACTTTCATATATTTAGAAACACTTCTTTGACAACATTTATTTAACAATACTTTATTGGGAGAAAATTATAGATATACTTTCAGATAGAGGGTTTTAAATATTTTAAATAACACTAAAATGTTTAAACAGAACAGTTTTCATTTCACATTGTTAGATAAATAAAACATTGTTTGGAATTATGTAACAAAATTTATGGCTTAAAAGTATTTACTATTAAGGGGGATAAAAGTTAATGTGTAAACAAACTTCATATTTTGAGAATTATTCAGTCATCATTTTAAATCAATTAACAGATAAGGACATTAATAAAACCAACCAAAAGTTGTTCTTTGCCTCTAGGAAACAAAGGAATAGTGATGAAAGCAGCAAAAAAAAGTCACTCTTACAGATGGGGGTTCCCCTGTGTCCCTAGCAGTTGGTGCAGATTTTAGAAAACAAACATATTTTATTCCTCACAAAACGTGTGAGAGCCAAAGATATAATTTTTTATAGCTTACTGACCAAATAAAAATGATTCCGTAACACATATTTATGAAAAATGTACTTACAGATTTAAGCCTTTTTATTGTATCTTCCAATACTATAATATTATTTTGCTGGCAAATGAGATCAATCTGAAGAAAAAGTAAAAAAAAAAAAAATTATTTCTATTAAAGATGTTTAAACTAATTGGAAAAAGAACATCAAAAAAAAGGAAGCCACTTAAAATAAAAACATGAAGGCAGTGAATATTTTAAAGAAGAAATAACCTGTTTAGCAACCTTTGATGATAAAAGATAAAAGATGATTTACCCAGAATGAAATAACAATTCTCTTAAATTCAATCTTTTGTATAAAATGTTAATTGATTGTATTTTACCAAATTATTCCCCATAAACTGGAACAAAATGTTAGTACTAATTACAATTCTGAAGATAATAGGAAAGCAATAAAAGAATGACTAGAATAAAATAAGTTGACCCAAATTACCCCATTCAGAAAAGATTGCTTTCTCTTCTGAACTCAACTGCTTAGTTCAATTCAATCCACAAAATACTTTTTGTATCAATTTATGACAGTGAACATACCCAGTCTTATAAGATAGGTACCTATAGTCATATATTTAGCATATGACTACATTATATGTTCCTACAGGACAGTGACTAAGTTTTTATGCAAAGCAGTAAAGTTCTTTGCTAATAGCATATTCACTTAATGTATTTTGCAATTCATCAACCTTTCCCTCATTATTCTAAACTGCATCCTGATCTTGCCTACTACATTTTTAATTTGAATTCTCTGGAATTATTGTACTTCATTTGTCCTTTAGACCAACGTTCTCTTCTACGATTTTTCTGGCAGTCATATTTTAAGTTTATGAAATATTAAGGGGTGCTATTATTTGCAACGTTTTTCTCACAAGTGAAGTACTTAGAAATAGAACATAATTACATAGAGTTTGGATAACCTTATGTATAGCCTTGAATAGACAATTTTCAATGTTTTAATGTATACTACTAAGTAGACACTAAAAAGATACAGGTCTACTCTGAATGTGTTAAGATTTCCACATTAAGTATAAAAATTCACTCTGCAAAACAGAGTATCTGGTATGACACATTCTCATAAAAAATAAATTTATACGCAGACATCCTACATATAAACATAACCAAATAAACTGAAGATTATGTCTAGGTATAACAAGGTATGATTATGGTAGATGTTATTTTCTTCATTTACTTTTCTATATGGACTAAAATTTTGTATAATAAATATGCATTAATTTTACAGTGATTTAAAAAAATGTTGATTCCACTCTGAAAAACAAAATAACTGGCCCAAATGAAAAACTGCTAACTCAGTGTTTTCACTTACTTAACAATTAATGAATGCCTACTACCTGCCTGCCATTGTGTTATGTGCTGGGTAAAGTAATGAATAAAAAAGGTAAAAATCTCTGCCCTCATGTAGTATATATTCTAGCCAAAAAAAGAAAAACAAAAGATAATAGTCAAAATATGTTAGTGATTGCATCCCTCAAAAAAATAATACAAGGAGCGCTCACGTTCTAAGCACTTGAGTTAAGTAAACAAGAGAGACAAAGATTTCTGCCTTTGTGGATTCTACATTCCAGCTAGAATAGACAATAATAAACCTAACAAATAATTATATAGTATACTAGAAAAAGAAGAGCAGAGTTAAGGATACTGGGAATATTTATGGAGGAACAGGTTGGAATTTTAAATAGGGTGGTCAGGAAGTCCTCATTGAAAGGTGACCTTTGACCAAAAACTTCAGAGGAAAGGAAGTCAATCATGTGAAAATCTGGGCAAAAAACATTGCAGGCAAAAGTTACAGCTCTAACAAAGGTCCTAAGGCAAAAGAAGGTCTGGTTGGTTCTAAGTATGGAGACCGGCATGGCTGGAGCACAGTGAGGGAAGGGGAAAGGAACAGCAAAGTGCTACAGGGAAAAATAAAGCGAAGGAGAAAGACAGGGAGTGTGTGCAGGGAATGTGGGGATGGGTATTTCAGAGCCCGCTGTGTGGAAGACATTGTGTAAAGTCTTTGTTGTCCCCCACCCCACCCTTTGTTTGTGGGGGACAAACAAAGACTTTACACAATGTCTTCCACACAGCGGGCTCTGAAATACTTTTTATTGAATCACACACAAAAGTAACAATAATGATAAGGACTATCAGAGATCCAGTCCAGTAACATAGCCCCTAGGTCAATTAAAAATATAAATTATAGGAAGAAATAATGGTAAAATTTTAATTCTGCTTCACATTTCATAGTGTCATGTTCAATTATCTGGGAAATGCCATGTTAACACATGAATGATAAACAACTCAAGATGAGAGAATAAACGAAGGCATATAGTTGAGGTGGTTTTAATGTATGTCCACAAATTCTAATACTCCTTCCTTCAATAGCTGGAGCTTAATTTCCCTCCCCTAGAGTGTGGGTTATACTTAGTGACTCACTTTTAAAGATTAGAATATGGAGGAAGTGATGAGATATAACTTTTGAGACTGGGTCATGCTAAGCCCTGCAGATCCTCCTTATTATCTCTTGGATTGTTGGCTGGGGGAGAGGGGAAGGTGGAGGGAGAATAAACTTCCACAAAGAATACATGAAGCAACCCTAGAGAGAGGTCCACCTAGCAAGGAACAGGCCTCCTGCCAATAGCCAAAAGCCATCTGAGTGAGCCATCTTAGAAGTAGATCCTCCAGTAGCAGTCAAGCCATGACTGTGGCAATCAGCTTTTTTGTTGTTGTTTTTTGAGATCGAGTCTCTCTTTGTCATCCAGGCTGGAGCGCAGTGGCGTGATCTCGGCTCACTGCAACCTCTGCCTCCCGGGATCAAGCAATTCTCTGGCCTCAGCCTCCCGGGTAGCTGGGATTACAGGTGCCCACCACCATGCCCAGCTAGTTTTTTGTATTTTTAGTAGAGACCGGGTTTCATCATATTGGTCAGGCTGGTCTTGAACTCCTGACCTGAAGTGATCTGCCTGCCTTGGCCTCCCAAAGTGTTGGAATTACAGGTGTAAACCACCAGCCCTGGCCATCATCTTGATAACAATTTCCTGAGAAACAGTGAACCAGAACAACCCAGCTAAGCCACTCTTGAATTCCCAACCCAAGAACCTGTGAGGTATCAATATTTGTTGTTTGAAGGCATTAAGGTTTCAAAGTAATTACATAGCAATAGCCAATAGTTAATATTGAAAATATTTTAATGAAGTAAATCATGGAAGAAGTTACTGTTGACCTTTAAAAATAAGACTAAAAGTAAATACTTCCCAGTGAATACATTTAATACTATCTCAATTCCAGACAAACTAACAGTAGCTTTAGCCTCAGACTCTACCTCCGCATACCCAGAGTATAATCTTAAACACTAGAAACCCAAATATTTTTTCTCAGCAATCGAATTAGAAATCTTGTTTCAAGTGCCACCCCACAAATTAGGCAAGGAATCTCTCCCACATAAATATAAACCTAAAATGCATATCTAATGTCTTAGGATGATGACAACACACACTGGAGTTCATATCCCCAGTGTTGGTTTTGCATCTTTCTAATCCCCATTCTACTTGGGGACATTCACTTAACTGAGGTTGGTGATTTCCTCATTTCAGGGCATTCTACCAACCCAAAGGCCTATTTCCATTTTGTTCTCTCTTTATTAAGTTTCTGATGTTTTTCCTGTGTCAGCAATGGTATCTCTACTCCAAGACTTACTGCTTACCTCTTTTTCACCCAATAGCTTTCCAACCCTCAAATACACCCAACATTCCACATTATTTATGAAGATCTATTTTCTAGAAATACTCTTTGCCAAACCAGGCAAAATTCCACCTGTAAATTTAATACTTACAGTTTTAGGTAAATCCTAGCTCTTATATTTTAGATGTTTTCCATTCCAAAAATTCTTCCTTTTGAAAGCAGAGAATTTACCCTGACATAGTACTTACTCTCTCTAGAACATAAACCCTAACAACCCTTTAAAAGTGATGTGATGACTTCTAAACAGGGCATTCTCATTGTTGGAATTCAGTCAACTTGGTTTCCCGCAGTCTGGGAAGGAGTGCAGTTAATTTTTAATTTGAAAACAAAAACAAGGAAGACATACTAAAACTCTTCAATATTGATATATATATATTTTTTTGAGATAAAGAGTCTCACTCTTTTGCTCAGGCTAGAGCGTGACGTGATTTTGGCTCACTGCAACCTCTGTCTCTCAGGCTCAAGCTATTCTTGTGCCTCAGCCTCCCAAGTAGCTGGGATTACAGGCGTATGGCAACACGCCCAGCTATTTTTTTGCATTTTAGTAGAAATGGGGTTTCATCATGTTCACCAGGCTGGTCTCAAACTCCTGGCCTCAAGCGATCCACCTGCCTCGGCCTCCCAAAGTGCTGGGATTACAGGCATAAGCCACCATGCTTGGCCCAATTTTGATAATTTTTATAATTAAGACAGATGGAAATCAATTTACCATTAAACTGTGAATGTTACTTTAAAAAAAGTAACAAT
The DNA here is from genome assembly GCF_000001405.40 of Homo sapiens. NCBI lineage: Eukaryota > Metazoa > Chordata > Mammalia > Primates > Hominidae > Homo > Homo sapiens. Next base: position 99,115,317 of record NC_000002.12, read on the forward strand.
ACATTCCACCTGAAGTGGCATTAAAAAATTAAGTTAAAAAAAATTTTAAAGTAACAATACAAACAAAAGTATTGAAAAATGTTTAAAATATTCAAGCTACTTTTAAATATCCTTCAAATACTTTAACAGCATCCATTTGAAGATAAATAATTCAAAAGTTAAAAACAAATCATTCTTATCTAGTATTTCAAGCAGTTCTAAGGACCTGTTCCAGACAACATGGTTAAAGAAGACTGTATCCTTAAAGTAATAACTCGTGTATTTAAATATTGCACTATTATGGCCAGGTGTGGTGGCTCATGCCTGTAATCCCAGCACTTTGGGAGGCCAAGGTGGGCGGATCACTTCAGGTCAGGAGTTCAATACCAGCCTGGCCAACATGATGAAACCCTATTTCTACTAAAAATATGAAAATTAGATGGGTGTGGTCGTGGGTGCCTGTAATCCCAGCTACTCGGGAGACTGAGGCAGGAAATCACTTGAACCCGGGAGGTGGAGGTTGCAGTGAGCCGAGATCGCGCCACTGCACTCCAGCCTGGGTGACAGACGGAAACTCTGTCTCAACAACAACAAAAAAGTTCTATTATTTGACTTTCCACTAATTTAAACTCATCCATTAAGCAGTCTCAATGAGGTTACTGCATAAAAATACATACAATCCTAGAGGTCATCAATTGGACTCATATTTCAAATTACTTTAACAGTGACTTCAATAACGTTTCACCTGATAATTTAATTGCTTTATTATTTGCTATAAGAGTCCTGTTACATTAAAAGAATGTTTAAGAAATAACACGTAATAACAATTAGCTTTGGGAAATTACTCTGTTACAGACACAATTTACTAATTTGGTGATTAATAAAATCAAGACAAATAAGCATGTTCACAAGCTATCATTTAAAAATTCAACAGGTTGTTTTTTGGCCTTCAAATATGCTCTATCTTGCTTATCAGCCATTAGGCAGCAATGGAGAAGTGAGACTGTCATTTTATAATTACATTTAATCTCTAGTTTCTAAATTTCATGGCAAAGTACTCAATCAAGAAAAAAAATGTTGATCAAAATATCATAAAGCTACAGTAACTAAAACAATGTGATGGTGGCACAGAAAAAGGCAAATGAATCAATGAAAACAAATAGTCCAGAAAGTCACAGATATCTGAGAATTTAGTATCTGTTAAAATGATATGTCAAGTCAGTGGAGAAAGGACTAGGCAACCCTACCTCATATTAGAACAAAAAGAAACTAGCAGTATCAACAGAAGGAAAACTATTAAAAAGTATTAAAAGAAAACTTTAGAAAGTATATCTGTAGTTCTTGAGGTGAAAAAAAAACCTTCCTGAACAAGAACCAAATCTCAGACATCAGTAAGAAAAAAAAAAGATTGGCAAATTTTCAAATGTTAGTTAAAAAAAAGTTTTAAATTGACTTTTTATTGATACATAATAATGGTACATGTTTATGGGGTACATGTGATATTTTAATACATGCATCAACGTATACTGATCAAATCAGGGTAATGGGGATATCCATCACCTTAAAAATTATTTCTTTGTTCTGGGAATACTCCAAATCTTCTCTTTCAGCTATTTTTAAATATGCAATAAATTGTTAATGATAGTCACCCTACTGTGCCATCAAACACTAGAATTTATATCTTCTCTATAACTGTATTTTTGTACCAATTAACCAGCCTTGATTCCATATCTTGGCTATTGTGAATAGTGCTGCCATAAACACGGAAGTGCAGATACCTCTGTGACATACTGATTTCCTTTCTTTTGGATGTATACCCGGCTGCGGTGTTGCTGGATCACATGGCAGTTCTATTTTTAGTTTGGTAAAAATCTTTTTTAATGGGTATTGAAATCAATTACATATGTGAAAATAGACGAAAATAAATGTATCTATTAGTTTGTAGATATCTCTGCAGAGGAGAGAGGAATTGGGAAGTGGGAGCAACATTTAGTTCACGGAACATTCCTGTTGCTTTCAAATTTTTTACAATGACTGCATATTACTTAGGAAATGTTTTGAGTAGAATTTGTTAAAAGAAGTAAAATGTGAGAAACAATTTAATCCTTAGAACAGACATTTAAATATACTGTCAAATCTAAAAAGCTTCCAAATTATACAAATGAGAATGCTACTTTTTCCATTGCATTTAAAAATTACATGATGTTTAAAGTAAAATTAAAATCCTTATCCGTGGTAAATCTGGTACCTTGGCTTCTTCAAGTTCCTTGTTGGCGGAATCCACCACAAAATTTTTCTCTTTTTCGAGTTGCTCTGCTAGTTGGTCAATTTTAATCAATTCTTTACAAAGATGCTCATTGTGGCTGGTTAAATCATCTACTTGACTGCTTACCACCTCCTTACTATCCAAGAGTTTCCTAACATATTCTTCCAAGCCATGATTTGTCTGTTTGAGATCTTCAATCTGTTATTATCAGAAAAAAAATCACATTAAAATAATTCCTTAGCTTTTTTCTGGGGAGCAGCTGTGTGACTGGAATCAGGAAGGGAGATTTGCTTCCCTGGCAAAGAAACTTAACTCTATACCTTTTTGTGCCTTCTGAATTTTGTACCATGTGAATGTATTACCTATTTGAAAAAATATATTAAATAAACATTTTAAATTTTATAGCAATATCTTTCAAGACAATTTATAGTTTATTTTAAAAAGAACTTAATTACTATTGATTTTTAGCCAATCTATTAGAAAAATGGCCAAATATTTATATCTGCAATAAAGAAACTTCAATAGCTTTGAAATTAATTTTAATACCATTAAGAGTTCTTTTAATTAAATTTCTAATTATTGTTATTAAAATATATTAACTCTTTTAGGCCAGGCATGGTGACTCACACTTGTAATCCCAGCACTTTGGGAGGCTGAGGCGGGCAGATCATCTGAGGTCAGGAGTTTGAGACCAGCCTCGCCAACATGGTGAAACCCCATCTCTACTAAAAATACAAAAATCAGCCGGGCATGGTGGCGAGTGCCCGTAGTCCCAGCTACTTGGGAGGCTGAGGTACAAGAATTGCTTGAACCTGGGAGGCAGAGATTGCACTGAGCCCAGATCCTGCCACTGCACTCCAGCCTTGGTGACACAGCAAGACTCTATCTCAAAAAAAAAAAAAAAAAAGTATATATACATATATATATACGTATATATATGTGTATTATTAACTTTTTAAAAAGTCCTTTTGAAAGTATCAGTAACTTACTTGACTAAGCTAAATATCAAATCAATCAAGTATTTGCTGCCTAATGTGGAGGAACACAGCTTTCCTTCCCAGCCCACTATCAAACCATCAATGGATGAAGAAAAGGGCCTTTTCTATCACAAAGGTATCCAAATGCCTTTAAAGGAAAAAAAAAATTAGACCCATTGAACAATGATTATGTCAGGAACTATATTAAATTCCAAAAATACAAAGATAGGTTAGATACCTGCCCTCAGGGAACTCTTTGTTTACTTGAGGAAATACAAAGACAACATGTTAAGTGCAATAACAAAAATAACTACGAGGTAAAGTCATGGTACAAATTCTTTTCCATAGTACTTGTCTCTCATTGTGTATTTAACAAATATTTATTGAGCACCTATTGTGTCTAAGATACTGTGTTAGTACCCTGTAAAAGATGCATTAAAAACAACAGCAACAAAAAAAAACACTCGCACACAGAAGTTTCAGTCTGTAAGGAGCATCTGAAATTGCTAAATACCTGACCTCTTAGTTCTAGCATTATTCTTGCCCTGAGGTTGCCCTTTTCAAACAGCTATAGAGTTATCGTCTTCCAAACCATTAAAAACAAAGTTGTCTTCAAAAAAACTTTATAAGTTGTCACTACATAAAAATATCCTAAGTCATGAATTATTTTTAAATATGCTACAATGCCATTTATTGTACCCAGTAAATAGCCCACCAAGAGGCATAATTAAAGTCATTATTTTAATCCAGTGTCTCCTACTCTCTTCTCTTTTGGCCTTCTCCCATCTGCTCTCAAAAATTCTTCGAAAATGCAAATTTGAGGTCATTCCTATAACCTTATGTTGCCTCATGACACTGAGAATGAAATTTTAAAATGCCATTTATGATCCAACTCGACTTAGCTGTCCAACCTAACTTCCCACCACCAGACACACTATAAAAAACAATCTCATTAAATTCATTTAAAAACTTCTTTTAGGGGAGTTATTGAAATGTACACACTTGAAATTGAAGTGTTATCAAAGAACCCTCCTTATGAGAATCCTCAAGGAAAACCCTACTTAGGCTTCAATTTCAGGAAAATACGTGCCTTTTTTGGAAACCTGGTTTGTTCTTACCCTAACAATCATTAATTATTTAACTAATATTTCTATTTGCCTTTGCCTCTAGAAATTTTAAAGCTTAATCCAAAGCCCACCTCTAGCAACATGCACAGAAACTAGGTACAATGATCTGTTCGTTATTGTCATCCCAGGCTTTCACTGTTTACTTATTTTACCCTACCCTTATTATTTCAGCTACTTTCTTTTAAAACAAACAGACAAACTACAGGACGTGAAACAGATAAACTTCAAGTTGTGTTTTTCATCTTTGTTCGTGGCTTTTCCTATGCCATGTTTCTCAGCAACAAGAGCACACTAAAAATGTCTGTTAACTTCCCACTGCACCAGGAGATGTTCTTGGTGCTTCTCCTTTCCAGTATGTGTGCCCATAAAGCCTCTTATATAAGTTTATCTCAATATTTTATAAGATGCATTAAAATCATTTATTTCCCTGTCCCTTCTACTAGATTCTAAACAACTTAAAAGACTGTATTGTCTCATTTCTGTATCAACACATCACTTGTTTCTGCATCATTTATTACGTATCTCACATATAATCCTCAAATTATTAAGTAAGCAAATAAAACAAATTATTAGTAATATAAATGAACACTCCCCTCCCTTCTCTCATGAACTTTACTTTTACTCAATTCCAAGACAAAAGTACTTTAGAAGAGGCAGTCTGGAGTAACACAAAGGATATGGGCTCTGGACTTCGGCAGAGTTAGGTTTAAATCCTGTTGTAGTTCTTTACCAGTTATGTAATTGGGGAATTTACCATATTTTCTTGATCCTAGAAGATGCACCTGACTTAAGAAAAAAAATAAATGAGAGTCTCTTGAGTTTCTTCTGTTAAAGGGACAGAATGCCTAGAATTTGCAGAATTGTCATTAGACATTATATAAGAGCTCAAGTAAAATTTCCAGTATTATAGGTACTCAATTAGTTTTGTTAAAAATTTTTATTTTTAAATAAGATTCACAGGAAGCAAATGTAGTACAGAGAAGTCTCATACGCCCTTTACTCAGTTTCCGCTGATAGTTGTGTCATAAACAACATAGTATATCATACCCAGATACACCATGTGCATGGTGTTCTATATGATTTTTCTCACATGTGCAGATCTCTGTAACTACCACCTCAAGATATAGAACTGTTCCATTACAACGAGACCATTCTTCTGCTGCCCCTTTATATTCTCCTTCCCCGCCCTCAATTCTTCCCACCAATGTGTACAATTTTGTCATTTTGAGAATGTTACATAAACAAAATCATAGAGCATGTGATCTTTTGAGATTGCTTTCTTTCACTCAGCACAGCGTCCTTTAGATCCACGCAAGTTGTTATTTGAACCAAATAGGATCATTCCTATTTATTGCTGAATAATATTCCATGGTATGGAATACCACAGTTTAACCATTCACCAATTAAGGAAAACTGGTTGTTTCCAGTTTGGGAATATAACAAAGCCGCTATGAACAACTGAGTAGGATATAAGTTTTGAGTAGATATAAGTTTTCCTTTCTCTGGAATAAATGCCCAGGAGCACAACTGCTGGGTTGTATGGTAAATGTATGTTTAGTCTTACCAAAAACTGCCAAATCATTTTCCAGAGTGGCTGTACCATTTCATATTCTTACCAGGAATGGATGAGTGATCCAGTTTCTCCTCATCCTTGCCAGCATTTGGTATTGTCACTATTTTTTATTTTAGTTACTGTATTGTTATTTCATCATGGCCTTAATTTGCATTCCCCTGATGTTTACAGAGGCTGAACATCTTTTTCTAGTATACCAGACATCCTTCTGTGAAGTATATATATTCATATATATATATGTGTGTATATATATTTGAGACAGAATCTCATTCTCACCCAGGCTGGAGTGCAGTGGTACAATCTCAGTTCACTGCAACCTGCCTCCTGGGTTCAAGTGATCCTCCCACCTCAGCCTCTCAAGTAGCTGGGACTACAGGCATGCACCACCTGCCTAGATAATTTGTGTAATTTTTAGTAGAGATGGGGTTTTGCCATGTTGGCCAGGCCGGTCTTGAACTCCTGGCCTCAAGTGATCCATCCACCTGCCAAAGTGCAGGGATTATAGCCACGAGCCACCACACCCGGCCAAAAACTTCAATTTTGATTAAGTCCATATTACCAATTTTTCCTTTTATGAGTCATGCTTTTGGTATCATATCTAAGAACTTTCCATCCAAGCCTAACTTCCTGCAAATTTTCTCCTATGTTACCTCCTAAAAGTCTCATAGTTTTATGTTTTACATTTACATCTATGGTCCATTTAATTTTTTATGAAGTGTGAGATTTAAGTGGAGGGTAACTGTTTTCCCTGTATCTAAATGCTCCAACACCACTTGTTGAAAAGACTATCTTCCACTGAACTGCATCTGCATCTCTGTCAAAAAATCGTTTGGCTGTACTTGTATAGGACTATCTCTAGATTCTCTGTTCTGTACCATTCATGTATGTATCTATCCCTCACCAATATCACAGTCTTGATTACTGTAGTTATAAGTGTTGAAATCATGAAGAGTTTTGTTTTTGGTGCCTTCCTGTGGATTATCTCAACATTTTTTAGAATTCTACGTTGATTTATTTATAGTGTTTCTGAGTGTAACTCTTGTTTGATCTTTTTCTACCAGTTGTTCTAGGCATTACATTATATATACAGAACTTATCATAGCCTACATTTTAACAGTTCAAGTGAAAGTACAGAAACCTTACCTGTTAGCTCCCTTTACTCTCCCCTATTAATAAAATAATTTAAATATTTCCTGTACATGCATTTAAAACCACATTCGACAGTTAAATACAATTTTGTAAAATTAAAAAAAAATTTGAATCGGAGTAGTGGCTCACATCTGTAATCCCAGGACTTTGGGAGGCTGAGGCAGTGGATCACTTAAGAATGGGAGTTCAAGACAAGCCTGGGAAACATGGCAAAACTCCATCTCTACCAAAAAAAAAAAAAAAAAAAAAAAAAATCAGCCAACCATGGTGGTGCATGCCTGCAGTCCCAATTACTTGAACGGCTGAGGTAGGAGGATTGCTTGAGCCCAGGAGGCCAAGGCTGCAGTAAGCAGAGATGATGCCACTGCACTACAGCCTGGATGACAGAGCAAGACCCTGTCTCCAAAAAAAAAAAAGAAAGAAAGAAATTCTGTTTCATTTACCCATATTTTTTGCTCTATATATTGTTCTTCCTTCCTACTGCTCCAAGATTACTTCTTTTATCACTTCCTTTCTGGTTAGAGAAATACTTTTAGCTATTCTTTTAGGGTAGCTCTGCTGGCACAAATTATCTTAATTTTTCTTTATCTGAGAATGTCTTTACTTTCCCTCAACCTTCAAGGATACTTTCTCTGGATATAAAATTCTGAGTTGACAGGTTTGCTTTTTTCTAGCACTTGAAAAATGTCGTGCCACTTCCTTCTTACCTCCAGTTTTTCAGATGAAAAATAACTGCTGTCACTTGAATTGGTGTTCTTCTATAGATAATGCATGGTTTCTCTCTGGTTACTTTCAGGATTTTTTTAGTGTCTTGGCATGCATTTCTTTGGGTGACTCCTGTTAGGTATTCCATCACCTTCTTTCATCTGTTTTATGTCTTTGTGTCAAATTTGTGGGAAATTCAGCCATTATCTCATCAAATTTTTTTAGCACCACTTTCTCTCACTTTTTTGTCGAACATAGTTTTACCTGTCTCTGAGGCTCTATTCAAATTTTTTTCCATCTATTTTCTCTCTGATGTTCACATTAGGTAATTATTTTTCTAGTCTCGTGTTCACTGATTCATTCCTCTCCTCCATTCTATTGAGAACATTGAGCTTTTATTTTCAGTTACTTTATTTTTAAAGCTTGTTTTATTGTCACAAAATATATATACATAATTTTCATTTTAACATTTTTAAAGTATATAATTCAGTGGCATTAAGTATATTCACAATGTTGTACAACCATCACCACTACCTATTTCCAGAATTTTTTTATTCCCCTCCCCCAAAAAACTCTGTACCCATTAAACAACAATTCTATCTCCATAATTTGCCTATTCTAGGCAGAGGTGGAATCAAGCATTATTTGTCTTCCTATGTCTGGCTTATTGTACTTAGTATGTTTTTGAGGTTCATTCATTTTGCAGCATGTATCAGAATGTCATTCCTTTTTGAATCTGAGTTATATTCCATTGTAAGCACATGCCATATTTTGTTTATCCATTCATTTGTTGACATTTGGGTTTTTTCTACCTCTTGGCTACTGTGAATAATGCTGCTATGAGCATTTGTATATACGTATCTACTGGAGTCCGTGTTTTCAACTCTTTAGGATATATACCTAGGAGTGGAATAGCTGGATCATATTATTAGTCTGTCTTTAAAATTTTGAGAAACCATCAAATGATTTTCACCAAGGTGGCTCCATTTTACATTCCCATCGGCAATGCAAGTGTTCCAATTTCTTCACATCCTCACCAACACTTGTTATTTTCCATTATAACAACCACCCTAATGGGTATGAAGTGGTATCTCATGGTTTTGATTTGCATTTCTTTAATGGTTGATGATGTTGAGCATCTTTTTCATGTATTTATTGACATTTGTATATCTTCTTTGGAGAAATGTCTGTTCAAGTCCTTTGCCCATTTTTGAATTAGATTTTTCTGGGGGGAAAGGGGCTAATTGTAGGAGTCCTTTGTATATTCTAGATATTAAGCCCTTTTCAGATATGTAATTTGGAAATATTTTCTCTCATGTAGTTAACAGACTAAGTTTTTGGAGTAGTTTTAGGTTTACAAAAAATTGATTAGGAAGTACAAAGAGTTCCCACACACTCCTCTCTCTCTTCCTCAACACAGTTTCCTCTATTATTTACATTTTGTATTAATGTGGTATATTTGTTACAATTGATGAAATAATACTGTTACATTATATATATATATTTTTTTGAGACAGAATCTCGGTCTGTCGCCCAGGCTGGAGTGCAGCGGCATGATCTTGGCTCACTGCAACCTCTGCCTCCCGGGTTCACACAATTCTCCTGCCTCGGCCTCCTAAGTAGCTGGGACTACAGGCACCCACCACCATGCCCGGCTAATTTTTTTCTATTTTTAGTAGAGACGGGGTTTCACCGTGTTAGCCAGGATGGTCTCGATCTCCTGACCTCATGATCCGCCCGCCTCGGCCTCCCAAAGTGCTGGGATTACAGGTGTGAGCCACTGCGCCCGGCCTACTGTTACATTATTAATAACTAGTATCTATAACTTACCTTAGGGTTCACTCTTGGCGTTATTCATTCTGTGAGTTTTGACACACATAGGATGACATGTATCCACTATTAGTATATCATACAGAATAGTTTCACTCCCCTAAAAATCCTGTGCTCCACCTATTCATCCCCTCTCCCTCCAATTCCTGGTAACTACTGCTCTTTTTATGGTTTCTATAGTTTTATCATCTCCATATAGTTGGAATCATACATTTCGTAGCCTTTTCAGCTTTGTAACATGTTTTCAAGGTTCACTCTGGGTCTTTTCATGGCTACGTAGCTCATTTTTAAAATACACTGAATACTATTCCACTGTATAGGTGTACAACAGTTTGCTTATCCATTCATCTATTGAAAGATATCTTGGTTGCTTCCAAGTTTTTGGCAATTATAATAATGCTGCTATAAACATTCATAGGCTGATTTTTGTGTGGACCAGTTACTTTATTTTTTAGTTCCAAAATGTCCATTTGGTTCTTCTTTACATCTCTTATTTTTTCCTGAGACAACTTTTCTTCATTCGTTTCCAGCATGTTCATAATTGCTTGCTGAAGCATTTATATGACTGCTTTAAAGTCCTTGCCAGATAATTGTAACATCCGTTCCATTTCAGTGTTGGCTTCTCTTGTCTTTTCTCAAATCTTCCTGATTCTTTGGATTACAATGCCTTTTTTAAAAATTGAGACCTAGCATTGTAAGACTCTGGATCTTATGTTTTAGCAGGCCTCCTGTGACAATGCTCCAACTAAAAAGAAGGGACATTGCCTTATTTCTGTTAGATCAAAGTAGAAGTCCAGTTCCTCTACTTGGCATCTGTTGATATCTGGAAAGGGTGGTGTTCCTAGATACTGCTAGGCAAGAATGGGAGTTCAGGCTCCCCACTAGGCCTCTGCCATTACCACCAGCCTGGGAAGAATCCCAGAGGTGCCTCATTACAGTTCCCTACGTGTCCCCCACTGACACCATGGATGGGTGGCCTTTACTGCTGATAGGTGGTAGAAGTTCAGGTCTCCACCACAGCAAGAAGGAGTGCCTCTTACTATAAAGTAGGAGTAGATGGCTTGGCTCCTCATGTTGTCTCTGCTGACATCACGGGGTTCAGGGCCTCCTTATCCCCTGGTGAGGATAAAAGTCCTAGTTTCCCACTTAGCCTTCTCTGATATCACCCTGGTGTGGGAGGAGTGGGTAGGTGTAGGCACAAGTGGGGCACAAGTGTGTAGGTGAGGCACAAGTGGGGCTCCTTGTTATAGTCTGGCAAGCGTGGAAAGTGTAGGCTCTTTACTTGGCCTGAGCTGGCAGGAATGGGGCTGTAGTTTTTTCTGTGGTATTTGCTTGGAGTGGATAGTTACTCTCTTAAAAGTTGTCTGCCTTGATAGGCTGCTCCTTTCCTGGTCCTTTTCTTCGGTCTTTCTTTTGTGCCTATTGTTATTTCTAGTTGCCAGTTTTTCTAGCAGCTGTCTGCGACATACGGAGAAAAAGAAACCCAGGAACAAACATGTTGTTCTTTGTGTCTTGAGATCCTTAGCCAATGTTCCTTCTCCTCTCCACCTTTCAAAGTCTTAAATTCTTTTATACATAATGTTCAGAGTTTTTAGCTGTACTTAGCAGGAGGAATAAAAAAAAGTAAGTCTACTCTATCTTCCTGGAAAAAGAAATCTCTTTTAATAGCCTTTATTAATAGCTATATTACATGTCAAGCATCAGGAGAACAGGAACAATACTGAACTTGAAGTTCAGAGAATTGAGTTCAAATCCCGGCTAACACGGGAGTTTGGAGAAATCGTAGTTCTGTCACTTGTTACTCAAGTGTCATAATTATTTAACCTCTTAGAACTTCAGCTTCCACATCTATAAATGGAAACGGCATCACTTTTTCGCAAGTTGGGGATGATTAAGTAAAAACTGTATACCTGAAAACATCTGACACAACACTTGACACGTAGTTTGCACTCACTGACTCTGACTCTATGTTTATCAAAATGGTTAAGATAAAAATTGAATGATTTTAGACCCATAACATTTAAATGAGCTCTGAATTAGTAGTTATTTATTCTCTATCTTCTTGTTTCAAAATAGGCTCCCACCCCAAATTAAGTCAGGAAAATATGTTGTAACTAAACGCAACCTGTAATTTCAGTGTCGAGATGAATCTATCTTGGTTTCTCACTTCTTGTTCTAGCTGGAGAGTATTCTGGTAGTTTTCAGCTTCAGAAACTGGAGCCCCTAGACCAAAATCATATTCTTTGGTGGTAACCTAGTACAAAGAATGGGAAATAATACAGAGGCATTCAGTTTAAAACAGCTCTGTGATTTCTTACATCAATACATTTTGAAAATTGATAATATTCTTAGATTTTTTTTAACCATTTCCCACCAGCTAAGAGGATTTCATCAAACTTTACCTTCTTAAAATTTATAAAACTTTTTCTGTGTGTTGTCCAAATGGTACTGAACATGCTTTTCAAAGACATTCCCTACACTATCCTTTTGGTAATCATGGTTCTACAGAAATATGGATCAGTAGCAAATTAAAGAGTCTACCTCTAGGCTTGTGTTGTCCAAAATAGCTATTAGTGAGTTACGTTTGCTGTTGCTACTCTATACAAGAAAAAAGGTTTGCAATTAATATCACAAAGAGTGAATTTCCTGAATATAGAAATAATCCCTAGAAATAAAAAAGATTAAAAAAGTACTCTAATAGAAAAATTGGCAAAGAATGTGAACATTTACAGAAACGGCTCCTAAATATTAAGATGTTCAATCTCAACCTTTAGTGACACAAATTAAAACACTGAGATACCCCCTTTTAACCATCACATGGCAAAGATCAGTAACATGGATATAGCGTCCTTACGTATCACCGGTGGGAGAGTAAACTGATACAATATTTATGGAGAACAATGGTATAAAATCTATCAACATGACAAATGCACATAGCTTCTGTTCAAATAATTTCATTTCTAGAAATTTATACTACAGCTATATATATGTACACTTATGCAAAATAACAAATGTTAGAGATTTTTCACTTTAGCATACTATACATACTATTCTGCATCACGCTATTTTACTTGACAACATATCTTAGAGACTGTGTAACTTAGGAAAACAATTTTTTCTTTCCTTGAATCAAGGCTACCATTGTGTTAAAAAAGAATTTGTTATGAGCATCTTAGATCTTTCCTCAAAACACAGCTGCTGTTCTCCAAAATCCTACCTAGGGAATTACAGAATCAGGATCTCCCCAGTCACTGACCTTATGATGCACTCTGTGTAACCCAGCACTTAGACAGGCCGGCAGATTTATTTCCCTTTTTTCTCTTCTCTAAACAAGACACAACTCTTCTTCATTGCAACAGTTACTGCCCCACCTGGAACCTCAACATTAGATCTCACAGAATATTTCAAATTATGAAGCATTTAAACCCCCAGGGGCTGGACTGAACTCCTAACTACCATTTCTTACATGGTTTCTGTTAAAAATGTATTGCTAGTTATAAACATGATTTAGAATAACAGAATGAAACGACTCCTCACTAGAGCAGTACTGTTCAATTTTTACTGAATTTAAGAATCATCTGGGAATGTTGTGTGAATGCAGATTCTTATTTACAGGCTGAGATTTGACATTTCTATAAAGCTGCTTGGAGATCCCTATTTGGTTGGTACAGAGACCACATGTTGAATCATGCTGTGCTGTAATTTCTGATTTATTTGAATAGCAAGGATCTATTTAAGTCTAAACCCATCCAATATTCAGAGTACTTCTGTAATTTTGTCCCTTCCTACTTCTCCAAATTTACCTCCTACTTGATACCTCCAAGAATCCCTCTATGAAAGACAAACTATGCAACACTTAAGGGTCTCACCCTGTCACCCAGGTTGGCATGATCACGGCTCACTGCAGCCTCGAACCCCAGGCCCAAGCAATCTTCTCACCCTAGCCTCCCAAATAGCTGGGAACACAGGCATGTGCCACCACAATTGGCTAATTGTTTTAAATTTTGTAGAGTCAGGGTCTCCCTATGCTGCCCTGGCTGGTCTTTAACTCCTGGGCTCAAGAGATCCTCCCGCCTAGGTCTCCCTGGGATTACAGGCATGAGCCACTGCACCCAGCCAACACATTCTTAATACATATATTCAAAAGTATTTTATCATCTGTTCAATGAGCCTTGCCCTCACTATTTTCTCCATTTAACTTAAGACATTTTTAAGGCTCAGCTGGAATTCCATATTCTCCAGGTTTTCTCTGTCTTCTCCACTGCATAATGATCATCTCTTAATTGATATTTATATATATAGAAGAATTTATGTTCTAAATTTTTCTGGATGTCTTCCTCACACATTTATTAGACTCTTAAGAACAAGCAATGTCCAAAAACTCTCTCTATCCCCATTAACCTGCACAGTTATTTACGTAATAAAAAGTGTCAAAAAATTTGTTGAGGTTGATAATGAAGCAGTGTGATAAAGCATACAAAATTAAACTTTCTTCCTCCTCTTTGGTAAACCGAATAAAGTGGGGCTTTTGCAAAATTACCTATCAGGCCCAGCTAGGAATTAAAAATAGCAAGAGACCACAAGTCCACCTGACAATCCTAACCAATCATGCTGGAGTTGCTATCCTCCCTCCACCAGCTTTGGGGGCAATATCACTAGAGGAAAGACACATCAGTGTATCTGAAATTCCCATGCCTGGTCTGCCAGCTTCCCTACCTCAGGCCACATAAATATCCTCAACCTTGCTGCAATCTCATCATTAGAATGGAACTTGTGCTCCTGTACCGTTCTCAGAGAAGGCAAGTGAAACAATGTTCCTTCTTAAAAAAAATTATTTTTTCTTTTTTATGCTATCCCTCCCCTAGGCCCCCAACTCCCTGACAGGCCCTGGTATATGATGTTCCCCTCCCTGTGTCCATGAGTTCTCACTGTTTAACTCCCACTTATGAGTAAGAACATGCTGTGTTTGGTTTTCTGTTCTTGTGTTAGTTTGCTGAGAATGATGGTTTCCAGCTTCATCCATGTCCCTGCAAAGGACATGAACTCATCCTTCTTAATGGCTGCACAGTATCCATGGTGTATATGTGCCACATTTTCTTTATCTAGTCTATCATTGGTGGGCATTTAGGTTGGTTCCAAGTCTTTACTATTATGAACAGTGCTGCAATAAACATACATGTGAATATGTCTTTAGAGTGACTTATAATCCTTTGGGTATATACCCAGTAATGGGATTGCTGTGTCAAATGGTATTTCTGATTCTAGATCCCTGAGGAATCGCCACACTGTCTTCCACAAATTAGTTGAATTTACACTCCCACCAACAGTGTAAAAGCGTTCCTATTTCTCCACAACTTCTCCAGCATCTGCTGTTTCCCGACTTTTTAATGATCGCCATTCAAACTGGTATGAGATGGTATCTCATTGTGGTTTTGATTTGCATTTCTCTAATGACCAATGATGAGCTTTTTTTCATGTTTGTTCGCTGCATAAATGTCTTCTTTTGAGAAGTGTCTGTTCATATCCTTTGCCCACTTTTTGATGGGGTCGTCTGTTTTTTTCTTGTAAATTTGTTTAAGTTCCTTATAGATTCTAGATATTAACCTTTTGTCAGATGGGTAGATTGCAAATATTTTCTCCCATTCTGTGTTTCCTGTTCACTCTGATGATAGTTTCTTTTGCTGTACAGAAGCTCTTTAGTTTAATTAGATCCATTTGTCAATTTTGGCTTTTCTTGCCATTGCTTTTGGTGTTTTAGTCATGAAGTCTTTGCCCATGCCTATGTCCTAAATGGTATTGCCTAGGTTTTCTTCTAGAGTTGTTATGGTCTTATGTTTTATGTTTAAGTCTTTAATACATCTTGAGTTAATTTTTGTATAAGGTGTAAGGAAGGGGTCTAGTTTCAGTTTTCTGCATATGGCTAGCCAGTTTTCCCAACATCATTTATGAAGTAGAGAATCCTTTCCCCATTGCTTGTTTTTGTCAGGTTTGTCAAAGATCAGATGGTTGTAGATGTGTGGCGTTGTTTCTGAGGCCTCTGTTCTGTTCCATTGGTATATATATATTGGTATATATCTGTTTTGGTACCAGTACCATGCTGTTTTGATTACTGTAGCCTTGTAGTATAGTTTGAAGTCAGGTAGCATGATCCCTCCAGCTTCGTTCTTTTTGCTTAGGATTGTCTTGGCTATATGGGGTCTTTTTTGGTTCCATGTGAAATTTAAGGAAGTTTTTTCTAATTTTGTGAAGAAAGTAGATGGGGACAGCATTGAATCTATAAAATACTGTGGGCAGTATGGCCATTTTCACAATATTGATTCTTCTGATCCATGAGCATGGAATGTTTTTCCATTTGTTTGTGTCCTCTCTTATTTCTTTGAGCAGTGGTTTGTAGTTCTCCTTGAAGAGGTCCTTCCCATCACTTGTAAGTTGTATTCCTAGGTATGTTATTATTTTTGTAGCAATTGTGAATGGGAGGTCACTCATGATTTGGCTGTTTGTCTATTACTGGTGTATAGGAATGCTTCTGATTTCTGCACATTGATTTTGCATCCTGAGACTTTGCTGAAGTTGCTTATCAGCTTAAGGAGATTTTGGGCTAAGACAGTGGGGTTTTCTAAATATACAATCATGTCATCTGCAAACAGAGACAATTTGACTCCTCTCTTCCTATTTGAATACCCCTTATTTCTTTCTCTTGCCTGATTGCCCTGGCCAGAACTTCCAATACTATATTGAATAGGAGTGGTGAGAGAGGGCATCCTTGTCTTGTGCTGGTTTTCAAAGGGAATGCTTCCAGGTTTTGTCCATTCAGTATGATATTGGCTACAGGTTTCTCATAAATAGCTCTTATTATTTTGAGATACATTCCATCGATACCTAGTTTACTGAGAGTTTTTAGCATGAAGGGGTGTTGAATTTTATCGAAGGCCTTTTCTCCATCTATTGAGATAATCATGTGGTTTTTGTCATTGGTTCTGTTTATGAGATGGATTATGTTTATTGATTTGCGTATGTTGAACCATACAACTTCATCCCAGGGATGAAGCCGACTTGATCATGGTGAATAAGCTTTCTGATGTGCTGCTGGATTTGGTTTGCCAGTATTTTATTGAGGATTTTCACATCGATGTTCATCAGAAATATTGGCCTGAAATTTTTTGCTGTTGTTGTTTCCCTGCCAGGTTTTGGTATCAGGATGATGCTGGACTCATAAAATGAGTTAGGGAGGATTCCCTCTTTTTTCTATTGTTTGGAATAGTTTCAGAAGGAATGGTACCAGCTCCTCTTTGTACCTCTGGTAGAATTCAGCTATGAATCCATCTAATCCTGGGCTTTTTTTTTGGTTGGTAGGCTATTAATTACTGCCTCAATTTCAGAACTTGTTATTGGTCTATTCAGGAATTCAACTTCTTCCTGGTTTAGTCCTGGAAGGGTATATACCCTTCCAGGAATTTGTCCATTTCTTCTAGATTTTCTAGTTTATTTGTGTAGAGACGTTTATAGTATTCTCTGATGGTAGTTTGTATTTCTGTGGGATCAGTGGTAATATCTCCTTTATCATTTTTTATTGTGTCTATTTGATTCTTATTAGTCTGGCTAGCGGTCTATTTTGTTTATCTATTCAAAAAACCAGCTCCTGGATTCATTGATTTTTTGAAGGGCTTTTCGTGTCTCTATCTCCTTCAGTTCTGCTCTGATCTTAGTTACTTCTTATCTTCTGCTAGCTTTTGAATTTGTTTGCTCTTGCTTCTCTAGTTCTTTTAATCATGATGTTAGGGTGTTGATTTTAGATCTTTCCTGCTGTCTCCTGTGGGCATTCAGTGCTATAAATTTCCCTCTACACACTGCTTTAGCTGTGTCCCAGAGATTCTGGTATGTTGTGTCTTTGTTCTCATTGGTTTCAAAGAACTTAATTCTGCCTTAATTTCGTTATGTACCCATTATCATTCAGGAGCAGTTTCTATACAGTTGCGTGATTTTGAGTGAGTTTCTTAATCCTGAGTTCTAATTTGATTGCACTGTGGTCTGCGAGACTGTTATCATTTCCATTCTTTTGCATTTGCTGGGGAGTGTTTTACTTCAATTATGCGGTCAATTTTAGAATAAGTGTGATGTGTTGCTGAGAAGAATGTATATTCTGTTGAGTTGGGGAAGAGAGTTCTGTAGATGTCTGTTAGGTCCGGTTGGTCCAGTGCTAAGTTCAAGTCCTGAATATCCTTGTTAATTTTCTGTCTAGTTGATCTAATATTGCCAGTGGGGTGTTAAAGTCTCCCACTATTATTCTGTAGGAGTCTAAGTCTCTTTGTAGGTCTCTAAGAACTTGCTTTATGAATGAGGGTGCCCTGTATTGGGTGCATATATATTTAGGATAATTAGCTCTTCTTGTTGCATTGATCCCTTAACCATTATGTAATGCCCTTCTTTGTCTTGTTTTGATCTTTGTTGGTTTAAAGTCTGTTTTATCAGAGACTAGAACTGCAACCCCTGCTTTTTTTTGCTTTCCATTTGCTTGGTAAATACTCCTCCATCCCTTTATTTTGAGCCTATGTGTGTCTTTGCATATGAGATGGGTCTCCTGAATACAACACAACAATGGGTCTTGACTCTTTATCCAATTTGCCAGTCTGTGTCTTTTAGTTGGGGCATTTAGCCCATTTACATTTAAGGTTAATATTGTTATGTTTGAATTTGATCCTGTCATTATGATGCCAGCTGGTTATTTTGCCCATTAGTTGATGCAGTTTCTTCATAGTGTTGATGGTCTTTACAATTTGGTATGTTTTTGCAGTGGCTGGTATGTTTTTCATTTCCATGTTTAGTGCTTCCTTCAGGAGCTCTTGTAAGCCAGGTCTGGTGGTGACAA
Organism: Homo sapiens; assembly: GCF_000001405.40. Classification (NCBI taxonomy): domain Eukaryota; kingdom Metazoa; phylum Chordata; class Mammalia; order Primates; family Hominidae; genus Homo; species Homo sapiens. The sequence continues at coordinate 99,133,789 of NC_000002.12, forward strand.
AATATCTCAGCATTTGCTTATCTGTAAAAGATTTTATTTCTCCTTTGTTTATGAAGCTTAGTTTGGCTGGATATGAAATTCTGGGTTGAAAATTCTTTTCTTTAAGAATGTTGAATACTGACCCCCACTCTCTTCTGGCTTGTAGGGTTTCTGCAGAGAGACCCAATGTTAGTCTGATAGGCTTCCCTTTGTGGGTAACCCAACCTTTCTCTCTGTCTGCCCTTAACATTTTCTCTTTCATTTCAGCCTTGGTGAATCTGACGATTATGTGTCTTGGGGTTGCTCTTCTCGAGGAGTATCTTTGTGGTGTTCTCTGTATTTCCTGAATTGGAATGTTGGCCTGCCTTGCTTGGTTGGGGAAGTCCTCCTGGATAATATCCTGAGGATATTTCCAACTTGGTTCCATTCTCGTCACTTTCAGAGTATACCAATCAAAGGTAGGTCTGGTCTTTTCACATAGTCCCATATTTCTTGGAGGCTTTGTTTGTTTCTTCTCATCCTTTTTTCTCTAATCTTGTCTTCATGCTTTATTTCATTAAGTTGATCTTCAATCTCATAGCCTTTCTTCCACTTGATTGATTCAGCTATTGATACTTGTGTATGCTTCACCAAGTTCTCACGCTGTGTTTTTCAGCTCCAACAGGTCATTTATGTTCTTCTCTAAACTGGTTATTCTAGTTAGCAATTCCTCTAACCTTTTTAAAGGTTCTTAGCTTCCTTGCATTGGGTTAGAACATGCTCCTATAGCTCAGAGGAGCTTGTTATTACCCACCTTCTGAAGCCTACTTCTGTCAATTTGTCAAACTCATTCTCTGTCCAGTTTTGCTCCTTTGCTGGCGAGCAGTTGTAATCCTTTAGAGGAGAAGAGGCGTTCTGGTTTTTGAAATTTTCAGCCTTTTTGTGCTGGTTTTTCCTCATCTTCATGGATTTATCTGCCTTTGGTGTTTGATGTTGGTGACCTGCAGATGGGGTTTCTGGGGTTTCTGTGTGGACGTCATTTTTGTTGATATTGATGCTATTCCTTTTGTTAGTTTTCCTTCTAACAGTCAGGCCCCTCTGCTGCAGGTCTGCTGGAGTTTGCTGGAGGTCCACTCCAGACCCTGTTTGCCTGAGTATCACCAGCAAACAGCAGAAGCTGCAGAACAGCAAAGATTGCTGCCTGTTTCTTCCTCTGAAAGCTTCGTCCCAGAGGGGCACCCACCAGATGCCAGCCAGGGCTCTCCTATATGAGATGTCTGTTGACTCCTGCTGGGAGATGTCTCCCAGTCAGGAGGCATGGGGGTCAGGGACCCACTTGAGGCAGCAGTCTGTCCCTTAGCAGAGCTTGGGCACTCTGCTGCTCTCTTCGGAGCCAGCAGGCAGGAACATTCAAGTCTGCTGAAGCTGCACCCACAGCCACCCCTTCCCCCAGGTGCTCTGTCCCAGGGAGATAGGAGTTTTATCTATAAGCCCCTGACTGGGGCTGCTGCCTTTCTTTCAGAGATGCCCTGCCCAGAGAGGAGGAATCTAGAGAGGCAGTCTGGCTACAGCAGCTTAGCCAAGCTGTGGTGAGCTCCACCCAGTTCGAACTTCCCACCAGCTTTGTTTACACTCATTTGGAAATGCAGAAATCACCTGCCTTCTGCATTCATCTCACTGGGAGCTGCAGACAGAATAGAACAGTTCCTATTTGGCCATCTTGCCAGCCACTAAAAAATTATTTTTAATTTATTCTTTATTTTTTTCAATGTGAAGTCTAAAATAAGGAAGAACTTTTATTCTCAATTAGGAAGTCACACAGCAGAGTGGTTAATATCATGTATTTTGGTATCAGCCTGCCTACATTCATTATCCTAGTTCTGCCACATCTTAGCTGTGTGATCTTGGGCGACCTGGTTACTTCTCTGACTATAGCTTCCTCATTTATAAAACAGGGATGATAATAAGAGTATCTGCATTGGCTGGGTGCAGTGGCTCATGCCCATAATCCCAGCACTTTGGGAGGCTGAGGCGGGCGGATCACCTGAGGTCAGGAGTTTGAGACCCACCTGGCCAACATGGTGAAAACCCATCTCTACTAAAAATACACAAATTAGCTGGGTGTGGTGGCAGGCACCTATAATCCCAGCTACTCGAGAGGCTGAGGCAGGAGAATCACTTGAACCTGAGAGGTGGAGGTTGCAGTGAGCCAAGATTGCACCATTGCACTCCAGCCTGGGGGACAAGAGCGAGACTTCGTACCAAAAAAAAAAAAGGGTCTGCATCATAGAGTTGCGTGAGGAGTAAATGAATTAATATATGTTTTAACTTTAGCACTTAGAATAGTGCCTGGCACATGATAAGCACTATATATATTATTTACTATTATTACTAATTCCTCTCACTGAGTCAACTTATTTAATTGGCTATCAAGTCCTACTGCTCTTTTCACTAAAAATTATCTCAGTTACATTTCTTCCATCCCTACTATCACTGTTTTAGTTCATGCTTTCAGACTGTAGCAGTCACATGTATTCACTTTATATGTAAACTTATAAATAGCTAGAATAAGAATGAACCAGAAATATGTTTCTGGGGATAAAAAGATGTAAAACAAATAGAATCTTACAATTTCAACCCTAAATGAATCTAGGAAAGTCCAGAACAAATAAATCAGAAATTACACCACAGCATGATTACTGCTACATCAGAGTAATGCACACAGATGCTAAGGTAACACTGAGAAAGAAGCTACAAAAAAAGTATTTCTGCCGGGCGCGGTGGCTCACGCCTGTAATCCCAGCACTTTGGGAGGCCGAGGCGGGCGGATCACGAGGTCAGGAGATCGAGACCATCCCGGCTAAAACGGTGAAACCCCGTCTCTACTAAAAATACAAAAAAAATTAGCCGGGCGTAGTGGCGGGCGCCTGTAGTCCCAGCTACTCGGGAGGCTGAGGCAGGAGAATGGCGTGAACCCGGGAGGCGGAGCTTGCAGTGAGCCGAGATCCCGCCACTGCACTCCAGCCTGGGCGACAGAGCGAGACTCCATCTCAAAAAAAAAAAAAAAAAAAAAAAAAAAAAAAAAAAAAAAAAAAAAAGTATTTCTGACTTCTACTTCTTCAAAAAAGACTTAGGATCTACTCTTCATTCCAAAAGAACTATGAACATATCCCTTCTGGAGCACTTAATGCATTATATTACTTTTATGGGATGTCCACAGCCATGGCTACTTTAACGTGTCTAAAACAGACTTCCTTTTTTTTTTTTTTTTTGAGACAGTCGTGCTCTGTCACCCAGGCTGGAGTGCAGTGGTATGATCTCGGCTCACTGGAACCTCCACCTCCCAGGTTCAAGCAATTCCCTGCCTCAGCCTCCCAAGTAGCTGGGATTACAGGCACCTGCCACCATGCCCAGCTAACTTTGTATTTTTAGTAGAGATGGGGTTTCACCATCTTGGCCAGGCTGGTGTTAAACTCCTGACCTCATGATCCACCCGCCTCAGCCTCCCAAACTGTTGGGATTACAGGCGTGAGCCACTGCACCCGGCCAAGACTCTGCCTCTTAATGTGATCACCTTAGGGGTTAGAATTTCAACCTAAAAATTTTGTGAGGACACAGAAATTCGGACTGAAGCCACACATTAGAGGAACAGAAAGAAAAAGCTATTGGGCGAACAAAGAAGGGAGTACTAGATCTTGTAAGTGAAGACAAGGGCCAAATCATGTAAGGCCTTACAAAGTTTGGATTTTATTTTTAATTGCAGTGGGAAGCCATTGGTGTATTTTTGAGCCAGGATCATCTTATTATAATTTTCTTTTTCATTTTTTTTTCCCTCTCCCTTCTCCCCTCCCACAGGATCTCATTATTTTGAAGTGATTGATATGATATCAGTGTGGAGAATAGGTTGTAGGGAGCAACAGTGGAAGCGGAAAGATAGCAGGGAATGGTTGCAGTATTTTAGGTGGGAGATGATGGTGACTTGGACCAGGGAGGTGGTAACAAAAATATAGAGAAGTGGATGGATTTAGGATATATATTTGAACCAACAACATTTGCTAATAAATTAGAAGGGATTTATTGCAGTGAGCCGAGATCGTGTCACTGCACTCCAGCCTGGGCAACAGAGTGAGACTCCATGTCAAAAAAAAAAAAAAAAAGGCACAGCCATGATGAGTTGCCTGTATATAATAGGCCCCAGAGAGCTCCCTTGCCCCTTCTAACATATGAGGACAGAGTCTGAAGGTACCATCTATGAACCAAAAAACCTCAGACATTGATTCTGCTGGCAACTTGGATCTTAGAATTCCCAGTCTCCAGAACTGTAAGAATTAAATTTCTGTTGCTTATATGTTATTTCATTATAGCAGCCTGAATGGACTAAGATATTTGCCAGTAACATTTGACTTCAGGTCCTCTGCTCTTGCTTTTCCTCTCTCAGGAACACTTTCTACCCAGCCTTTCACATGGCTATCTTCTCACCCTCAGCTCTTTGGCTGAAATGTCAGAGGGTCTTCCCTGACTTCTTACCTAAAGTAGCCTCTCTCCTAGTCACTCTCTCAAATAAGTGATAAGCTATTTGCACTTATCACTACTTGAAATTATATCATTTGCTGACTTGTTTACTATCTCCCCATACTAGAATATAAAATTCAAGAGCTCTAGGCTTTTGTCTTGTCTCTGTTTTATCCCTAATGCCTTAAAAGTGCCCAGCACAAAGGTGAAACGCAATAAAACATTTTCAAAATAAGAAAATTTAATGATTCGAACAAAGCAGTTTCAATGGTGGGTGAAAACAAGTCTGAAGGGGACTAATGAATGAATAGTAAAGAAAAAGAAATGGAAAATGTAAACTTCTTTTAGGAAGCATGATTGTGAGAGGAAGAGAGGTACAACAAAGGTGGAAGACAACCAAGGTTGTGGAAACGTCATTATGGGAAGAGAAAAACTTGTTCCTTAATTCTCTTTACATAAGGATCCTCTTTCAGAATTAAAAGTCCTGCATCCTCTCCTCAGAAAAATGCAAATACACCTTTACAAACAATTTCAGGGGATTTAAGACTCTATAAGGTCCTTGGACTCCAGGTGAAGAAGCCCTACAGTACAGAAACAATGAAGATTCCTAAGGCATGAGTTAATGTTAATTGATGGAGAAAGACAGCTGAGGTAATAAGAGGAAACCCAGATAAAGATGTATTGCCCCGACACAAGAAAGACAAAAGCAAGGACAGGTGAAGATTTAGACACTTGTAATCCCAATAATCCCAACACTTTGGGAGGCCAAGGCCAGAGGATCACTTGAGCCCAGGAATTTGAGACCAGCCTGGACAACATAGTGAGTTCCTGTATCTACAAAAATTAAAAAATAAATTAGCCAGGCATAGTGGCATCCACCTGTGGTCCCAGCTACTTGGGAGGCTGAGATAGGAGAATCACTTGAGCCCGGGAGGTCAAGGCTGCAATGAGTCATGATCGCACCACTGCACTCCAGCCTGAGCGACAGTGAGATCATGTCTCAAAAAAAAAAGGTAAGTGTCATGGAAATCTGAGGAAGTTTCTGTCTGGTTGAATTTTAATTTTTCAGTGAAACAGGAGCTAAGATTATATAATAAAAAGTATCATCGGTGTTGAGCAAAATATGAAGCACATAATATGTATTCAACAAATTATTGATTTTTTGATAGAATGGAAAATACTGGAGTACTTCAATGGAATTCTGAAATCTGGTTCCACAAAAGCTTACTACAGTTGAGGTGGGTTTTTCTTTTTAAAAATATTGTCTCCAAAAGTGTAGACTTATAGACATTGAAGTAGAAAGGAACTGCCTCACTAACAGAAGGATGTGGAAAACCATACAAGATTTATGAATAATTCTGAGAGAGTATTTTATATAATAAAAATAAGTGGATAAATATTTTGGGAAACAATCAGCAAACTAAATACTGCGAGCAACAATAAAGATTAATCTTAAAAAAAATGTTGAGTAAAGAAGCAAGATGTAAATGAATACTTAGTACAATTCCATTCGAAGTTCAAAAACAAGCCAAACTGTAATGTGCATGTTCACATACAATGATGTGAAACATTAAGGAAAATCAAGGAAGTGGCTATCTTAGAAGTCAGGAGAGTGGCTATCTCTGGGGAGGGAAAGAAATATGTAATCTGAAAAGGTGATAAATAGTAATACCTCTAACTGCCTCTGTGTATGGAGGACTTCAAAACCAAATCGTCCTAAACAAACTAGTCTAAGCAACTCAAAAAGAAGACAGAAAAGATCTCCCAGAGAATCTCTACACCTGATTATATTCTGGGCTACAGGCAGTGATTTTTCTTCAGAAGGTAAACAGTACGCGAGATATTGTGGAAGCTGCCATTAAATAATGCCAAAGTTTAGGATTTAAAATTAATATTTAATTAATGTACCGTCCTAGTTATTTCCCACTAATTAAGACTGAAGAGTTTGGCTCATTAATCAATTAAAATACAAACAAGAATCTGTCTTATCCTGGAAGCAGATTCGAATGCGACATCCTACTTCTATAACTAACCTGTTTTTTTCTACTTACAAACCTATTGTTATTCTACTTATGTCCTTACACGTAAACAAAGTATACTTGAAATGCTGAACACCAGTACAGAAAATTTTAAACAAGGAAATCTCCTAGGATATAAGGTCCTGGAATGGAAGAAGGAAAACGTTGGGACACTATAATCTATGCAAACTTTCCCGAAGCTGCGAAAAAAAAAAAGTGAAAAAAAACCATATTTCTGTGAGTTTTTAGGTATCAAGTCCATGATCACCTAGTTATCCAATTTAAGTCTCAAATAGTTTTTCAACAAAAGCCAGCTTTCCCTGCCTTTACTGTGTATAATTTTTACTAAAATTATCTGAGATTTTCATGCAAATGCCTATGTAATCTCAGCCTTTCACCACCCCAAGTCTAGAAAGAGGCTCAGAAATGAGCGATCGGGAGTCAGGCTGAACTCCCAAATCTGTGACTTCCAAATTCCTCGGCTCCACCAGAGCTTCCAGAGCGTTTCTAAACTGAACAGTCTCCCCAACAACCAAGCGGAGAGCTGCGGGAGGACGCGAAGCAGTGACCATAGGAACTGGGCTCAAACCTAACCTCCCAAGAAACAGGGGCAACTCGTGCTGCCGAGCTTCCGGCCGGCAGCTGTGCCCGCCGCTGCCCCTCACAGCCGCTCCCGCTGCTAGCGCCCAACTCCGCCCGCCACGGCCCCGCACCCGCCACTCCTGCCCGCTTGCAGCCGCCTTCTCAGAGACCTTCCAGTCCAGTAGCAGCACTCTCCCCACCCCGCGCACCTCCGCAGCTTCTACCTGGAGCTCCGGGTCCCTCCCCGGGCTCCTCGGCCCGCCGTCCTGCCCAGAGCTCATCCCCGCGACTGTCAGCTCTCGGCCTCAGCGGGGGATACAAGAACCGCCCACTCTCCATCCTCCGCCCCTTTCTCCTCCCTTCCCACCCCCAAATCGTCCTGGCCCCGCCCCGGCGGATCGGAGGAAGGACGGAGCCCGCGGGAAGGAGGAGGGGGCGGTTAGCGCCAGCCAGTGCCGCCGTGGCCCCGCCCTCACGCTCTGTACCGGAGTGGGGCTCGTCTTCCACCTCCCCGGCGCCCCAGCTTTGCTTCCGTCCCGCTCGCCCCCAGGCCCGGTGCGCACGCGTACCTGGCTCGACCTTCCTTCTCGCGGGGTCTACAAGCCGTGCGCGCGCTCCTACGCACGGAGCGACGCGTACGTCTACCTGCCTGCCTTACAGGGCACCTAGGAGGGACCCCTTCCTGGCCCATCCGCGCCGCGCAGGCGCACGCCCACGCAGCGCCTAGACGCCCGAGCCGAGCGTCCCGTCTCCTAGTAACCAGCCGCTAGCCCCCTTTTCCACGACTCATTTCTTAATCTCTGCCTGAGGCTGCCGCACCTGGATGGAACGCGCATGCGCAAGGCTGTCTCTCGCAGCCCCGCCTTCCCTCAGCTTGAAACACCTGCTGCTTCGCGGCGGTGGCTTTGTGCCACTTTTCCCAGGGCTTGGGCATCATTCTGGACCCATGTTCGGTGAACCGGTTACTCTCAGAGCTGCTTTCGGGCGCAGCTCCTGCTGCAGCCAGGGCCCGTTTTAAGAGAGGCTTCCAGGTCCAGCCCTCCCGCTGCAGCCTGCAGGGAGCGAGCCGGCCTGTCCCGGTGAGCGTGGGCAGCCTGGAGTCAGGGGAGCCTGGGGACCACGGCCTTGGTCAGCTCTGCACGATCAGGGCTGAATCAGGAAGTGGCAGATCTAGCAACAAAGTCCAGATTCCTGACCGATATTCCTTCTCCACATGCCAGTCCTTTTCCAAATCCCCTCACCTTAAAGTGACAAATGAGCTTTTTAGTGAAAAAGAATGAGCGCTGCATTCTTCTACCAATTTTTTGGAGCCCAGAATGGGGGGGAAAAAAGTCTTCTTAATTTTTCTTAATACCTACCATGTCCCTTCTTAAATAACTCAAGAGCTTCTGGATGATAATGGTGACTTTATCTCCTTTTCCTGCAGATGACATAGACACTAGGTTTTTACAGCAATTCTCTGATGACCTTGATATGGTAGAACGCTGTGTATTTCAAGAGTAAGCTCTCGTTTGAGGAGACTAACAATTCCTGTTTTCGCCAGGTGAGTACTCATTTTTCCCCCCACAAGATATCATTGGCAGGGATAAACAACTTTTGTGTAGAACAAATTTAGTCATAAAAATACATTTAATATAAATGCCATGTTTTTCCAATGTCTTTTCATCGTGTTATTACATGGTCTCATATTTTGTCGCATTTATTTTCAGATATCATATACTTTGTAAGTATAATTAGATACCAAAAAAAATTAAGTGTCCCTGTTATTTTAGATTAAGAGGTTAGAGGACACAAGGAGCACATATCCTCGGAAATGTAATTTTTTAAATGCACAAAATAACAAACTGAGAAGTTATGTTAGAGGGAATAATGTATAATCTCATTTCCTCTTCAGATACTAAGATTATTTTGAATACATTATCTAGCATTATTAAAAACAAATAGGAAAGAATGTTCTAAGTTTAAAACTATCAGCTGGAGTTGAAGACTTCGGGGGTGGGGAGATTATTAATATAGGAAGTAGGAAAGTACTTCCCTTATAGAAAGAATAAGAAAAGTTTAAGCACTTATGTATGCCACCTAGACGGTACTGAAGATTATTTGGAAAGAATATAAGGAAATGATCATTTTAAGGCCAAAAGAGGGTGAAAAGATTTTCCTTTTTTTTCCTATCAAGAACTGTTGACTTTCTCCCCTAACCTGAGAAAGTAAAAATTTCCTTCCCTCTGTGGAAACCCAAGGGGTAGTGAGTGTCCCACCCTGCCCCAACTAAACCTTTTTTTTTTTTTTTTTTTTTTTTTTGAGACAGAGTCTCACTCTGTCGCCCAGGCTGGAGTGCAGTGGCACGATCTCGGCTCACTGCAACCTCCGCCTCCCGGGTTCATGCCATTCTCCTGCCTCAGCCTCCCAAGTAGCTAGGACTACAGGCGCCCACTACTACGCCCAGCTTTTTTTTTGTTTGTTTTTTGTTTTTTGTATTTTTAGTAGAGACAGGGTTTCACTGTGTTAGCCAGGATGGTCTTGATCTCCTGACCTCATGATCCACCCGCCTCAGCCTCCCAAAGTGCTGGGATTACAGGTGTGAGCCACTGCGCCCAGACTTTTTTTTTTTTTCCTTTTTTTTAAGACAGAGTCTCACTCTGTTGCCCTGTACCCAGGCTGGAGTGCGTTGGCATGATCTCAGCTCACTGCACCCTCCACCTTTCAGGTTGAAGCAGTTCTCCTGCCTTAGCCCCTTGAGTAGCTGGGACCACAGGTATGTGCCACCATGCCCAGCTAATTTTTGTATGTTTTTGTAGAGATGCGGTTTCACCATGTTGCCCAGGCTGGTCTTGAACTCCTGGACTCAAGTGATCCACCCACCTCAGCATCCCAAGTGCTGGGATTATATGCATGAGCCACTGTGCCTGGCCCAGGCTAAGCCTTATATAGTACCCTGTGCTTGCTCTCTCGTGACAGACACCTTCTAAGGTCTTGGTTTTCTAGTCCCTTAATTTTTCCATCATTTCAAAAGCTTCACTACAAAAACCTCTGTTATTACTATTTTTTGTTTTGTTTTCACTGTCCTCTTCCTGATCCCCTCAAAAAAAAATCTGGGACTCCAATTCCATATGTGTTAAGCCACTTGATCTTGTTCCACAGCTCACTGATGCTGTGTTCCTTTTTTTTGTTTGTTTTTTTGAGATGGAGTCTCGCTTTGTCTCCCAGGCTGGAGTGCAGTGGCGCGATCTCCGCTCACTGGAAGCTCTGCCTCGCGGCTTCACGCCATTCTCCTGCCTCAGCCTCCCGAGCAGCTGGGACTACAGGCGCCCACCACCACGCCCGGCTAATTTTTTTGTATTTTTAGTAGAGACGGGGTTTCACTGTGTTAGCCAGGATGATCTCGATCTCCTGACCTCATGACCTGCCCGCCTCGGCCTCCCAAAGTGCTGGGATTACAGGCATGAGCCACCGCGCCCGGCCTGTGTTCCGTTTTTTAAATCAGAGAGTTTCCTCCTTATGCCGAGGCCTGAAAGTTCCAGGCAATGTCCATTCATAGGGCTCACTTTATTTCCTGTTTCTCAAGGATCACTCTCCCGAACTGCCTGTTGTCCAATATCTAAAAGCCATTGCTTCATGTGTTTTGTGTTTTGATGCTGAAAGCAGGCGGGGCACGGTGGCTCATGCCTGTAATCCAGCTACTCGGGAGGCTGAGGCAGGAGACTTGCTTGAACCCGGGAGGCAGAGGTTGCGGTAAGCCGAGATCGTGCCATCGCCCTCCAGCCTGGGGGACAAGAACAAAACTCTGTCTCAAAAAAAAAAAAAAAAAAAAAAGATGCTGAAAGCATGAGGATAAGTCTGGTCTCTGTTACTCCATCATGACTAGCAGCAGAAGTCTGCCATTCTTCACAGTTCCAGGCCCCATGTCACTAACTATCCTCAAGGGATGTGGTTTGCAATGCAAAAATTGCTTCAGGCTGGGGGAACTGTAAGTGCAAAGGTCCTGAAGCAGGAGAAGGTTTGGCATAGAATATGCTTGAGGAACAGCAATGGGGTGATAGGTCTGGGGTCGAATAAGGCAAAGAGACAGGAGAGAGTGCTTGCTAGTAGAGTTGTTTGCTACGGCTGTGCAACAATTTACCACACACTTGGTGTCTTTAAGCAACACAAATTTATTATCACACGGTTCTGGAGATTTACAAGTTCAAATTGGGTCTCACTGGGCTAAAATCAAGATGTCAGGCAGGTCTACATTCCTTCTGGAGGCTCTAGGGGAAAATCCCCTTTCTTGCCTTTCCAGCTTCTACTGGCAGCCCATGTTCCTTGGCTTGTGATCCCAGTCTATATTCAACGCCAAAAATGGCCAGTCAAGTCCTCCTCACATTGCATCATGGCTAACACATTCTACCTCCCTCTTTCACTTCTAAAGACTCTTGTGTGGCAGGTGCGGTGACTCACACCTATAATCCCAGCATTTTGGGAGGCCAAGGCAGGTGGATCACTTGAGGTCAGGAGTTCAAGACCAGCCTGTTCAACATGGCAAAACCCTGTCTCTCCCCAAAAATACAAAAATTAACTGATCGTGGTGGCAGGCACCTGTAATCCCAGCTACTTGGGAGCTGAGGCACGAGAATCACTTGAACCCAGGAGGCGGAGGCTGCAGTCACCCTAGATCACACCACTGCACTCCAACCTGGGCAACAGAGTGAGACTCTGTCCCAAAAAGAAAAAAAAAAAAGACCCTTGTGATTACATTAGTACCACCCAATTAATCCAGGAGAATTTTCCCACCCTCAGAGTCAGCTGATTAGCAACCTTAATTCCCCCTTGCCACATAACATAACATAGTCCCAGCTTCTGGGGATTAGGACAAAGACATCTTTGAAGACTATTATTCTGCCTACCACAGCTGGGGACCAGATATGTAGATAATTTTTTTCTCTGATATGGGAAGCAACTAGAGTGTGTTGAGCAGAGGACTGCTGTGATCTGGGTTTTGTTATAAAAGGTTCAAACCAGTCCAGGCATGGTGGCTTACGCCAGTAATCCCAGCACTTTGGGAAGTGGGAGGATTGCTTGAGTACAGGCATTCGAGACCAGCCTGGGCAACACAGTGACACCCTGTCTCTACAAAAAAAATGAATTTTAAAAATTAGCCAGATGTGGCCAGGTACGGTGGCTCATGCTGTAATCCAAGCACTTTAGGAGGCCAAGGAGGGCAGATCACTTGAGGTCAGGAATTCGAGACCAGCCTGGCCAACATGGCGAAACATCGTCTCTACTAAAAATACAAAAATTAGCCGGGCATGGTGGCAGGTGCCTGTAATCCCAGCTACTCGGGAGGCCTCAGCAGGAGAATCATGTGAACCCAGAAAGGCGGAGGTTGCAATTTCTTTGCAACTTGAATTTCTCTGATTCCTAGTTAATTATCTGTTTGGGATTCCTCAATCTGTGAATTATGTTTTTATATCCTTTGCCCATTTTTCTATTGGGTTTTCTTTTTCCTTGCTAATTTCTAGGTGTTCTCTTTTTATTCCAGCCATTAAATACCATCAGCTTTGGACACAGAAAATATCTCCTTCCAGTCTCTTATCTATCTTTTTGTTTATATTTTTTTCATTGAATAGAAATTCTCAATTATGAGTAATCAAACTCACTGTTTTCCTCCCTTATTGTTTAAGCTTTTTAGTCTTGTTCAAGAAATCTTTCTTCACTCCAAGGTAACAGATATTTTCTTCTATTGCATTTACAGTTCTGCCATTCACATTTAGGTCTTTAATGCATTTGCACTCCACTTTTTTTTCTTTTTGAGACGGAGTCTTGCTCTGTCGCCCAGGCTGGAGTGCAATGGTATGATCTCAGCTCACTGCAACCTCCACCCCCTGGGTTCAAGCGATTCTCCTGCCTCAGCCTCCTGAGTAGCTGGAATTACAGGCACCCGCCACCACACCTGGCTAATTTTTGTATTTTTAGTAGAGACAGAGTTTCACCATGTTGATCAGGCTGGTCTCGAACTCCTGACCTCGTGATCCGCCCACCTCAGCCTCCCAAAGGGCTAGGATTACAGGCGTGAGCCACCGCGCCCAGCCTACTTCTGTGTTTAAGATCCTGCTTATGTCCACATAGTTAGCCAATGTTCACGATACCATCATACTAAACTTAGTCTGTTCTATCTCCTTTGTCTTATAGTGCCACCTGTGATATATGTGAAGTTCCTGAAATACCTAAGTCCAAGTTACAGCTCTGTCATATTCTACTGATTATTTGTTCCTGTACCTGTACAAGGTTATTTTTATTACTTTCACTTTGTGGCATATCTTTTTGTTTTTTTTAATTTTTTTCTGATAGGGATGAGGTCTCCCTATGTTGCCCAGGCTGGTCTCAAACTGCTGGACTCAAGAGATCTTTCCACCTTGGCCTCCCAAAGTGCTGGAATTACAGGCGTGAGCCATTGTGCCCAGCCGCGTAGCCTATCTTAATATCTAGTAAAGAAAGCCACTTTGTTCTTTTTCTCCAGATTGATTTATCTCTTTATGTACCTTTATTCTTACATATATATTCCAGATTTCTTCTTGAATGGCAACCTAAATGCCAGTCCAAAGAGGCCCCCAATAGACTTGTTCACCCTTCATGTCCTCAACTCTGGGGAAGTTAAGGTAAGACTCACAGGGCCAAGTCTACCCTATTATACTTGGTTCCTCCTCAGTCCTTTTATTAGATTGAAGTTTAATGTGCAAATTGATAATTATATGTTACCATTCTTTTACGTTTGTTGATTTCAAATGCCATGTTTTAGAGTTTTGTGTTTTTTAAAACGTTTTTTCAATTTTGTATTTTGAAAAAGTTTTAAACCTACAGAAATGTAATAATAATAATATGTAGAACAACTTTTTAAGCTTTACCTCCTAGATTTAACAGTTGTTAGCATTTTGCATATTTTACTGTCTTTCTGTATCTATGTATCTATCTATCTATTGCTAAACAATTTGAGGGCAAGTTGCAGATACAATTCTTCACCCCTAACTATTTCAGTATGTATTTCCTAAGAACAAGGACATTGACTTATATAACCACAATACAATTATCATATTCATGGCATTTATCACATTGATCCAATATTATTATCTAATATTGTCCCATATCCAAATGTTTCAGTTATCTAAGTAATGATCTTTGTAGTACATTCCATCCCCTTCCCAATTCAAGAGCATTGGTTGCATCTGAAATAATGTATCTTTAGCCTCCTTTAATCTGAAACAGTTCCTCAGCCTCTCTGTGTCTTTCATAACATTGACATTTTTAGGTAGAAGCTATTTGTTTCATAGAAGATACTTCTGTTTGGGTTTATCTGATTGTTTCCTCATGTTTAGATTCAAGTTATGCATTTGACAGGAGTATTTCCTTTCTAAGAAAAAGAGAAACCAAATAGAATAAACTCAATTTTATTCATTTGAAGGCAGTATTAGATATTCCTTTGATGAGGAAGAAAAATTCATCTTCAAGTTCCAAATCTAAAAATCAAATATACCCATATTTCAGAATTTCATCAGAGATATTAAAAAATTTAGCTAAGTTGTATTTGAGTCCCAGAAAGCCAAATATATACTATTTACCTAATTGTTATATTAATATTTGAGTAAGTACTATATTTAGGCTACTACAGTAGACCCAGGACTCTGTTTTGTTATAAACACTGATATTCAGTCACAAATATGGATAAACAGGGTTTCAAGATGATTCTTTAGAAATGTTCAGTCAGTAATTACAGCTTGATGAGTATGAAATTGTAAACTATCAAAGATACCACAGTAGGTAAATATTAAAGACATAATACATTCTAAAAAGTGGGTGAGGCTGAGCGCAGTGGCTCATGCTTGTAATCCTAGCACTTTGGGAGCTGAGGTGGGTGGATCACCTGAGGTCAGGGGTTCAAGACCAGCCTGGTCAACATGGGGAAACCCCGTCTCTACTAAAAATACAAACGTTAGAGTTTCTGTTTGGGATGATTAAAAGTTCTGGAGATGGATGACCATGATGTTTGCACAAAAATGTAAATGTACTCAATGTCATTGAATTGTACACTTAAAAGTGTTTAAAATGGTAAATGTTATATATATTTTACCACAATAAATAAAATATAGACTGGAAAAAAAATAAATAAAAATAAAAATAAAAATACAAACATTAGCTGGGCCTGGTGGCGGGCACCTGTAATCCCAGCTACTCAGGAGGCTGAGGCAGGAAAATCACTTTAACCTGCCGGGTGGAGGTCCAGTGAGCCGAGATCGCACCACTTCACTCCAGCCTGGGTGAAAGGGTGAAACTCCATCTCAAAAAAAAAAAAAAAATGGGTGAGGGATTTCGATCGAAGCTGTGGAATCTGCTCCAGATCTCAGGTTGCTACTATAGCATCTTGGGTAGATCACTCTTCTCCAGTAAGCCCTGGGCTTTCTCAAACCTTTTCTGTACAGGAAGCCTGTCCCTTCTGCCATCCTGGTCAACTCTGCCTACCAAATTCCTGCCCATCTTTGAAAGCGAAACCCTAACCTAGGCTCCCCTCCTTTGGGAAACTTCCCAAGGCCTCCCTCCATGCTACATGATCATCTTTTTTTTTTTTTTTTTTAAGACGGAGTCTCGCTCTGTCGCCCAGGCTGGAGTGCAGTGGCGCGATCTCGGCTCACTGCAACCTCAGCCTCCCGGGTTCACACCATTCTTCTGCCTCAGCCTCCCGAGTAGCTGGGACTACAGGTGCCCGCCACCACGCCCGGCTAATTCTTGGTATTTTTAATACAGATGGGGTTTCACCATATTAGCCAGGATGGTCTCGATCTCCTGACCTCGTGATCCACCCACCTCAGCCTCCCAAAGTGCTGGGATTACAGGTGTGAGCCACTGCGCTCGGCCGATCATCTCTTTTTACAGACTAGACATCCTTAATCACAAGTATCTTTTTTTTTTTTTTTTTTTTTTTTAAGACAGAGTCTCGCTCTTGTCGCCCAGGCTGGAGTGCAGTGGTGCAATATTGGCTCACTGCAACCTCCGTCTTCCAGGTTCAAGCTATTCTCTTGCCTCAGCCTCCTGAATAGCTGGGATTTCAGGTGCATGCCACCACACCCAGCTAATTTTTGTATTTTTAGCAGAGATGGGGTTTCACCATGTTGGCCAGGCTGGTCTCTCAATCCTAACCTTTGGTGATCCACCCGCCTCGGCCCCCAAAGTGCTGGGATTACAGGCGTGGGCCACCGCACCCAGCCAATCACAAGTATCTTTATAGGACATCTTTATTTTTTACAGAAAATAAAGTACTAGCAGAGTACTTGGCCTTCAGTCGTTATTTCTTTAGCCCATTAGTAATGAATAAAGAGGTTTCGCTAGCAAGAATGAAAGAAAGGACTAAGAGAAGCTCTACTATTTTCTGAAAGGTGATAAAACATACAATCAGATAAATTTCCTTTTAAAAAGACTTTCAAATAAATCTTTAGAACCTGCAAACCCTCCCACAAAGAAAATGTAAACACTGAAAGGTAGGAGGCAATTTTACTTTATATTTCTAGTATCACCACAGCTTTTCATTCAAACAAACATTGCCATGAAGTTAGGGAAATTCCTGCTGCATTCACTTGTTACTTTTTTTTTTTTTTTCAGTAATCAAGTTGAAGAAACACTTCCACTACTTAAAAAGGTACCTGCAAATTACTTTCACATTTGTTCAGCTATCCTAATGGGATTTTCACTTAGTAAATCTGCTACTCAGGTATCTGCTATACATATGGATTCAAAAGTGGATGATCACTTAATACGAGGGACTGAAAAAAGCAGGTTGGAACCAGCGACTCAGTTATTTCAAAACACCAAGAAAATAAGATTAGAAGACACAAATCAAGAAAACTTTACAAGGATTGAAGGGACTGGCACAGGATCTCTTTCTGGGAAAGCCTTGGGTTCAGTGGTATATGTCAAAGAAAGTGATGGACTAGAAATGACAGATGTGGAATGAAGCAATTTGTACGTATTACCAAAGAAACCAAAAACTGCCTTTGACTAAGGGGGGTGTTGAAAGAGAACTTAACCTTATTAGGAAACCCTGACAAAATGATGGAAGACTATTGCCTTATTTTGCACTATTTGTGAATCATCTTACACTGCATTTTTTTATGATGCTTATTCAAAAGGCAGTTGCTTTAGGGTGAAAAAGCCTTCCAAGATTCAAAGCAGATTTCTCTGGTATTATATTATATCCTTCTTAAAAACCAGAGTTTTTAAGTAACAGTATTTGAATGGCATCAAAACATTTTCATTTTAATGTATTTCTTTAACAAGTGGTTAAAAAAAGTGTCCAAGCAGCCGGGCGCAGTGGCTCACACCTGTAATCCCAGCACTTTGGGAGGCCAAGGCGGGTCAATCACCTGAGGTCAGGAGTTCGCAACCAGCCTGGCCAATATGGTGAGACCCCATCTCTACTAAAAATGCAAAAAGTTAGCCAGGCATGGTGGTGGGCACCTGTGATCCCAGCTACCTGGGAGGCTGAGGAAGGAGAATCGCTTGAACCCTGGAGGCGGAGGCTGCACTGAGCTGAGGTCATGCCATTGTACTCCAGCCTGGGCAACAAGAGCAAAACTCCGTCTCAAAAAAAAAAAAAAAAAAAAAAAAGTCCAAGCAATGTGACATCCGTATTTCACAATATTTCTGGTGTATCAGTTTTGTATGTTACATTTCCATTTTGGGATTCTGCTTTATGATACTTTACTTTCTTACATTTTGCATTTTTGTTCTGTAAAAGATCACTGCCAATAAACTGCAAAAGACCAATAAATTGCATATCTTCAGAAGGATTTCACATTTTAAATCGTGCCTTTAAAACTGCTTTTTCCCCCCACATAGAATCCATTTTAGAGTTAGAAAAGTGTTCTTTCCAAGTGTTAATAGTTTGTCTTGCAGATGGTACCATTTTATGTCACCAATATTTAATATGAGAAAAAACAACCTGTTTAAAAACCTTGTTTTGTATATCAGTTATGAAAATATCTGGTAGTTGGAAATCTCTTTAATATTCATTTTAAAAGAGGAAAGGGCATCTTTTCCGGGGGGAAGCTATATTTTATTAATCAGAAAAATACTAAACAAATGTGTTTGTAGGGAATATTGAGAGTGAAAAACAATTGTTGAATGGGACATAAGCCAAAAAGACAATGCTTTTTATTATTTACAGAACGTAATTCTTTAGAAGAGAAAAAAAATACATAAATCATTCATTTGTTCACCTAGCCTGGCACTGTGCTTGGTGCTGGAGATACAGTAGTGAATAAAATAGCCAGTGCCTTGTAGAGTTTTGTGCCTGTCTACTAGGAAAGACAGGAGATTATACAGTAATTATATAAGATGCAAATTGTGATATGCCATGAAGAAACGTATAGCATTCAGAGGGACATAACACAACACAAGACATACCACATAAAACTGATTTTTTTTAAGATGGTCTCACTCTGTTGCCCAGGCTGGAGTGCAGTGGAGCGATCATAGCTCAGTGCAGTGTCGAATTCCTGTTCTTAAGCGATCTTCCTGCCTCAGCCTCCTAGTAGCTAGGATTACAGGCATGTGCCACCATACCCAGCATGTTTTTGTATTTTTTTAGAGACAGAGTCTTACAATGTTACCCAGACTGGTCTCAAACTCCTGGCCTCAGGTGATCCTCCCACTGGGCCATAAACTTGATTTTAACGTGGGAAATGGGAAAGCGTATCTCAGGACATTTTTGAAAGCAAGTTGATTAAGAAAGTAAAGAAACAGAATGGCTACTCCATAGAGCAGCCTCTGAGGACATTTATAGCTTTTGCAGTGACATGGTTGTCTAAGTGAATGATGGTGATGGTCATAAAAGTGGAGAGAAGGGGATAGAGTCCAGGTGAAGTCTGACAGGATGTAGTCATGGTTTGGAAGCGGAAAGTGAGGAAGAAGAAAGGGCTTCTGGCAAAAAAGGCTTTAGCCTTTATGCATGCAGGATCCCTGGGGGGAAAGAGTGAGTTCAGGAGCATGGCTTTTAGACTTACCAGGTTTACAAGGCAGTTGTATCTATGGAACTAAAAAATATAAATTTTGAAGTTGTATACAGAAATGGTACTTAGAGCCATAGAATGAATGAAATTGCTTAAGGAAAATGTAGTGTGAGATAAAGATCTGAGGAACTCCAACATTTAGGGCTGACTAGATCAGGGTAGCTGGCAAAGGGGACTGCGGAGTTGGCAGTGAGGCTGGAGGAAAACCTGGCAAAAGGGACTGAGGAGTTGACAGGGTAATGTCAAAGTTGTCCACAGGAATCTCCAGGTTGAGGTAGTCAAATGAACACTTAGATGAATACTGAAAAGTCCAGTGGATCTAGCAATATGAATGTCACCCGTGACCTTAGCAAAAGCACTTTTGCTGGAATAATGGGGAAAAGCCATTTTGGAGTACGTTGAAACAATGAATGGGAAGTGAGAAAGTAGATACTGGATGTATAGCAGTTTTTCCAAGAAGCTTGGCTCAGAAGGGTAGCAGACAGGATGACAAGTGGAAAGAGAAATGAGGTCACTGGAGGATTGTTAAAGAGTACAGCATGTTTGAGTGTCACTTGAAAGGTTCCAGTGGAGAAGCTGAAGAAGTAGGTAAAGGTAAGAATAACCAAGGGACAGAAGTCCTGGAGCAGGGAGGAGGGAATGGGATTCTTTAAAACCTCTTCATCAAGAAACTAGGAAAAAAAACCAAAGTTGTACCATCTCAGATTTCAGAGAAAGGGAATTTAGAAGGAAGTAATATAAGCAAAGAGCAACAATATTCTGTGACTGTTTTTAATAATAACTAGGAAAATTCCTAGTGCAGTTAACTCTGAACAAAATTCATTCCCACCTGCATAATACAAGATAGACTTACTCAGAGTGACCTTGGTAAAAGGTGTGATAATAAAGAAAGGAGGTGTCATTATGTCTTCATTGTAGCTTTATATGAAGCCCTGGTCATTTACCGTATCAGCATCAGCAAACTGAACACTGAATGATTCTTACTCCAAGAGGCAAGTCTTAGTGGTTTCTATTTTAACTGAAGGAGAGATTAATTTCTGTGCAAGGTTGAAAAAGGTGACCACAAATTCTTTGGGCTTCTTTCATCAAGAGGTGAAGTCCATTACCCCACGCCTTAACTCTGGGCTGGCTTTGTTGTTGTTTTGGCCAATAGAATATGGCTGAGGCGCTGCTTCCAAGATTAGGCCTGAATTGAGATGCCCTAGCAGCCAGGCAGCACCTGCCAGAGCATGAATAAGGCTATCTTGGACCGCCCAGCGTAGCCAACCTGTGCTGAATGAAGCCACATGAATATGCCCAGGAGAAACTAGCAGAAGAATCACCCACCTTGCCCACGTTAGAGATATAAACCACTATTTGAGGCAGTTTGTTATGCAGCAAAACTTAGCCGAAACTATTACCTTGCTACCTTGACTGCTGGTGTAATTTCCCATCTCATGGAGTCACAGAGTTTTCTTGCCAACTGCAGTGAGTTGGCAAATGGGAATGATCAGTAGCCTCAGTGTGTTTTCTGATCCACTCCATCCTGTATTATCATCTGCGAATACCGTTTTTCCTTTAAATGCAATGTGTCTTTCAAAGCTGACTTGAATTTCTCACCTTTCGAGTTACCTGCCATTTGGACTCACTTATTTGGAGGAGATATGTAAAGACCCAGCGTAATACCTGTATGCTCAATAAAAAGTATTTGCTGGTACTCCTTCCTGCCCGTCGTGTGACCTGACTGCTCTGGGCTTCTGGGGGCTCCCCCTAAACTCGCTCCACGAAATGACCCCTCCAACCTGGCACGCCCGCTCTCCTACCTTCGCCCAGGGCTGGCCGTTATCTCTGTGCTGTCACGCGGGGAAGTCCCATCTGAACTGGGGCCTTATGACCTTCGGTACTTTTATTCGAACGTAGCCTGCGTCCCTGCCTGGAACCTGGTTCCCGCCCTGAAGGACCCTTACTTAGCACTCCTGCGGGCTGCCGGGACCCCACGGCTCCGCAGGCGGAGAGACTAGGCGCGATCCCTGCGCGCCCCTCCTTCTCTTGCGCTTCAGGGGGCCGGCCCTCAGGGGGCGGGGCAGCATCGCGCGCAAGGCCTGCCGGTTGCTCGGGGTCGTATGACGCACTTTTCCAGCTCGAGCCCTCACGAGGCCGTGGGTACGACCGGAAGCCGCAGGTGGGTGAAGCGGAAACGCTTCAAACCGGGATGTTGCGGGCCGTAGCGCGTGGGCGGCCGTGGGGTCTTGGGCGCGCGCGGTGTTTCTGGCGGTGGGTCAGGACTTGCGGGTCGCCTCCGCCGGTGTTGAAGCCTCTTGTGTGCACACTTTCTCCTCAGCACTTGGGACGACCTAATTTCACTGTTAGGAACGGTTGATCCCGAACACAGGAGGGAGGGTAAATATCGTAAAACATGTTGGACGCTAGCTGTGTGCACGCCCCCTGGGAGCCAAAAGGGCGAAGTAAAACATGCACACGACCGTAATGAGATTCTGAGTAAGTTGTATATCATTAGAGAGGGGACAAAATAATAGGGTCTTGGCGAGGTCTTATGAAGAAGCTGCGCCTGCCTAGAAAGATAGATGGGATTGTGCTGTTTTCGCTTTCAGTTCAGTGATGGGGAGCCGTGTTTGGCAGTGCAGAGGTAGCGAAGTGTCCCAAGAACATGGAAGGTAAGGAAGTCTTCCGAGGAAAAACTTCAAAAAATTAGTCATTAAAGGGTGAGAGTAGAAAGATTCAAAGTGATTTTGAAGGAACAAAATTTAACCAGAACTTCAAAGGCTTGACACTATCCCAACGACTGTGAAATATCCTGAAATACCGTGCATTACTCAGTCGGGGTCTGATCCGCTACTGGAGCATAGAATAAAAAAAGAGGGGCACACCTGTGCCAGATGAATCCACGCCTTCTCTAGGGGAGAGAGGGTATCCCGGCTTAAGAGCAGGGGCTCTCCTGAGTTAAGGAAGTGTCTTCCCCAGAGCCCATTCCGTCAGACGTTCATATCATGTAACTCAGTCCTTTTCTGATTATGTATTCACCAAGCAAACTTAAGAGTTGGCTTGTCACCAGACCTACAGTGAATAATTGCACAGGCTCATCTGAATATCTGATAGATGGTCTATAGTTCTCTTTGTAAATCAATAAGCTGGCAGTCAGGGATTTTTGGACATCCCTTTGTTTTCACTTTTTCTCACTCTGTGTGATTTTTTCTTATCTTTCGGGGTTCAACTGAAATGTCACATCCTCACTGAGGTCTGTTTATTGGTTTACGTGTTCAGGTGCTTAGAACAGCTTCTTGCATCTTTTCTCACATGATGCCTTTTTAATGAGGCTTAGCCTAACAACCCTATTTAAAATTGCAATGTAAGTTTTCTCACATACACAGTTACAATCCTCCCTTTATCAGCTCTACATTTTTTTTTAATAGACTGAATCTCGCTCTGTTGCCCAGCCCATCTCGGCCCACTGAAACCTCCACCTCCCGGGTTCAAGCGATTCTCCTGCCTCAGCCTCCCGAGTAGCTGAGATTACAGGCGCCTGCCACCACGCCCAGGTAATTTTTGTATTTTTGGTAGAGACGGGGTTTCACCATGTTGGCCAGGCTGGTCTCAAACTCCTGACCTCAGGTGATCTGTCCACCTTGGCCTCCCAAAGTGCTGGGATTACAGGTGTGAACCACCTCGCCCGGCCATCTACTTTTTTTAATAGCCCTCCTTATCACCTTTATTCATTTGACTCACTGATGATTCCCAAGTGCTAAGAACAATGTCTGTCATGTAATTGATGAAAACTTTGTTGAATTAATACCTTTGTTGTGTTTTATTCACACTGTATATACAATACCTGGATGAAGAGAGATATTTTTAGCACTATTAAAATACATGCATTGGCTCAATACATGAATTGGATCAATTCTGGAACCCTAACAAGATCACATTTTTGACCAAAGTCAATATCTTGGACTATAGTTAATTTATCAAGGTAAATGCCACTTTGATGTGTCTTGGTTAGGAATCTTTGTTCACTTGAGGGAATACATGGTATATGATAGGAACAGTAAGCACAGAATAGAGATGGGAAAGGGAGAACCCTGTCATAACAGTTAACATTTCATATTTGCCAAACATGAATGGCTTATGCATATTAACACATTTAATTCTCTCAACCATTTTATGACGTCTGAGGCCACTGAAGCAGCTAGAGGTTAAACCACTTCCCTAAAGTCATTAGTAAGTGGCAGAGCCAGGATTAAAAATTTAAGTCCTTAACTACTTTGCCATCCTGCCACACTCTGCACATGCAGACAAGAGTAAGAGCCTTAATCTTGGGAAAAGATATTTCACAAGATCTTTGACAATTTCCATATCCACAGACACCATCCAGCTTATTAGTGACCACCACTCCTATTTGTTACTTTCTCCTTTAAGGCTGCCCCTACCTGAACTCTGGATCCCAGTACCATCACTTTCTCAAGGACCTCCCTTCTCCAGTGTTGCCCTCTCTTGACTCCCCTACCAGCATCTAAACATGCTCAGATCTATTGCATCTTAAGTCCTCTCCTAACTCCACATTCCTTTCTACCTACTGCCCTAGCTTTTCCACTTCACAACTAGAATACCCTCATTGTATCCACCTTGGGCCTCCTATTTACTCAGTACATCTGGTTCTTACCAAGATCACTGATAACCTTCTTGATACTGTTTAATAGATCCTTTTCAACCCTCATCTTATTTGCTCAATCTTTGGCATTTGGCACTGTTGACCATCTTGTCTCCTTGAAGCTTCCATAATAGCATATTTAAAATTTTTCTGCCTTTTCTTCTATCCTCAGCTTCCTTTGGGAGCTCTCCCTCCTTCTTCTGTATGTCCGTTAAATGTTGCTGCTCTTCAGTCTTATGTCGCAGGCCCTTAAATCTTCTCACTGAACCACCTTCCTGTGGCCTCAGTTACCATCCATTGAGCTCTGTGCCGTTGGCCGCTAGTTCAACAGTCAAAATGAACCAATTATCTTAACCCCATACTTCCTCTTCCTATAAAATCTGTCCTAGGAAATTTCACCTCTTTGCCAGGCCAGAAATCAGGGCATAATATTAATAAAATAGTTAGCACATATTGTGTACTTTCTTCAGTGCCAGGCACTCTTCTAACCACTTTATATGTATTAGCTCATCAGACTCAGCCTGATAATATGAGATGAGTCCTGTCATTATCCACATATTAGATAACAAATCTGAGACATAGAAAAGTAATCTGCCTTAGGTCATTCAACTGATAAAGGATAGAGTTGGGATTTGAATGAGGGCACTCTGGTTTGAGCTTGTAATCATTATATCATAAAGGACATGATGCTTGACTTCTCTTTCTCTCACCCTAATTCAACCTATTGCCAAGTATTGTACATTCTCCATGCTTAAAATCTCTAGGCGGTGTCCCTGAAGTATAAATCCAAAGCCTTCATGCCTGTAATCCGAGTGCTTTAGGAGGCCAAGGCAGGAGGACTGCTTGAGCCCAGGAGTTTGAGACCAGCCTGGACAACAAAGTGAGATTCATCTCTACAAAAAAAAAAAAAAAAAAAAAATAGCCAGGCGTGGTGGCACATGCTGGCTAAAGGGGGAGGATTGCTTGAGCCCAGGAGGTCGGGGCTGCAGTGAGCCGTGATCACACCACTGCACTCCATCCTGGGCAATAAAGTTCAAGCATTTCACTTGGATTTAAGGTTCTTTATAATCTAACATCTACTTCTCTTGCCTTCTTATTAACTCCCCATTCTTGTATTCCTAATAACCAGCCAGTAGAATTAAATTATTTGCATGGGTCCTATCTCCTTTTCCACTAAGCTGTTGCACATTGTTAGAATTCTTTTCTTTATCCCTTTTATGTCTCAGCTTCAATGTCACATCCACTAATTAGAGCATTAGATGGCGCTCTACTGTACTTAACACCTATCACAGCATTTAGGACACTGTATTTTAATTATTGCCTTACTTGTTTTTTAGTATCTCCCACTAGATTGTGGAGGTACTTGTTTCTTGAAGGCAAGGACAGGTTCACCTTCTTTTCTTTTTTTTTCTTTTAGACGGAGTCTTGCTCTGTCGCCCAGGCTGGAGTGTAGTGGCACGATCTCGGCTCACTGCAAGCTCCGCCTCCCGGGTTCACACCACTCTTCTGCCTCAGCCTCCAGAGCTGCTGGGACTACAGGCGCCCGCCACCATGCCCGGCTAATTTTTTGTATTTTTAGTAGAGACGGGGTTTCACTGTGTTAGCCAGGATGGTCTCAATCTCCTGACCTCGTGATCCGCCTGCCTCGGCCTCCCAGAGCTGCTGGTACTACAGGCACCTGCCACCATGCCCGGCTAATTTTTTGTATTTTTAGTAGAGACGGGGTTTCACTGTGTTAGCCAGGATGGTCTCGATCTCCTGACCTCGTGATCCGCCTGCCTCGGCCTCCCAGAGTCCTGGGATTACAGGCATGAGCCACTGCGCCCGGCCAGTTCACCTTCTTAATGTCACTCATATCCATCCCCTTCTCTCTCTCTCTCTCTCCTACCGTACTTTAGGCCCTCATTATCTCTAGCATGGACAACTGCCTTAGTCCATTAACTGTTCCCCCTGTCCCTAGTCCATCCTTTATTTAATCCATACTCAACCCTGCAGAGGCAGATTCGTATAACAGCTGAGTTAACACTTCCTGCTTAA
The DNA here is from genome assembly GCF_000001405.40 of Homo sapiens. Lineage (NCBI taxonomy): Eukaryota > Metazoa > Chordata > Mammalia > Primates > Hominidae > Homo > Homo sapiens. The sequence continues at coordinate 99,159,570 of NC_000002.12, forward strand.
CACTTCAGTGGATCTTAGCTGCCTTTTAAAAAGTCCAAATATTTTGGTTCATTACATGAATTTATCTCCTCCCATTTTCTATCTCCTTATTACCTTGTACCTAGTAGGAACTCCATAAATACTTGTTGAATGAATATGGTACTGTGTCAAAGTCAGTCAAGCAGAACCAAGAACAAAGAGGTTAACCAAAGTAATGCAGTCTCGGTTGCGAGGCTTCCTAGGACAGTATAGCCATAGGCTTAAGTGGAAGTCGAAGACTAGTAGTGTAACTCTTTCTCTTAGGAGGGAATCCCCAAACATACCTTACTATTAGATGACTCTTTGTCTTTGCATATGCCTGGAATATGCTCCTCGACCTGGCAAACTTATCAGATTTGGTGACTCAGTTCAAGTATTCCTTCCTCTATTAAACCTCTCCACACCTTTCTAGACAGAATGTAAACTGATTCAACTTTTTGTAGGTTAGTTTATAAACTACAACAAGAGTGATGAAAATATGAAGACTCTTTAATCTAGAATTGTACTTCTAAGATATTACTTAACTAAATGATTTGGGGCCAGGTGTAGTGGCCCATGCCTATAATCCCAGCACTTTGGGAGGCTGAGGCAGGAGGATCACTGAAGCCCAGGAGTTCAAGATCAACCTAGGCAACGTAGGGAGACCCCCATCTCTACAAAAAATTTAAAAATTAGCCAGGCATGGTGGCGCATACCTGTAGTCCCAGCTGCTTCAGAGGCTGAGATGTGGAGATTGCTTGAGCCCAGGAGGTCGAGGCTGCAGTGAGACAATTACAGAGTGATACCCTGTCTTAAAAATAAAAAATAAAAAAGCCTAGCTACCTAGTTATGAACTTTCTTTATTTAGAACCAAACTCTTAACCTCAAGTTATACACTTTAATAATCCATTCTATTCCCAGTTCTTCAACCTGAAGGAAAATTATATTCTAAGAAATAGAATTGGAATAGAATGATTTAAGACCATAAGTAATCAAAATACTTCATTTTCATAGCTAGTATTTTCAACCTTTTGCTGCCTAATATTTCATTAGCAATGGTAACATGAATAATGTGGAAAGCATCCAAACATAGTGAATTTATTCTTAGCCTTTGTATATAAACCTGCATACTCCCAGTTGCCTCTCTCTCTGACCTCAAGGGTTCATCCTAAGTTAATATTGATCTAAATAAAAGTTATGCTGCCAGTAAATCATATATCCCAAAGTCAAACAGGAAATTATTTTTAAAGTGTTATAAAGACATAATGAAAGCTTTCCACGGAAATGTTCATGAACACATCGTTGATAACCAGAAAAACTAGAAGCCACCTAAAATTACAGACTAAGAGACTGAGTAAACTTGTTAACAATGGAATATTAAACAGTCATTAAAGCTGATGCAAAATAGATTTAATGGGCCAACGCGGTGGCTCATGCCTGTAATCCCAGCACTTTGGGAGGCTGAGGCGGGCAGATCACCTGAGGTCAGGAGTTCCAAGACCAGCATGGCCAACATGGTGAAACCCCATGCCTACTAAAAATACAAAATTTAGCCACACGTGGTGGCAGGCGTCTGTTATCCCAGTGAGGTAGGAGAATCGCCTGAACCTGGGAGGCGGAGGTTGCGGTGAGCCAAGATCACGCCACAGCATTCCAGCCTGGGTGACAGGGCGAGACTCCGTCTCAAAAAAAAAAAAAAAAAAAAAAAAAAAAAAAAAAAAAAAAATATATATATATATATATATATATATATATATATATATATATATATAGATTGAATGTCGAATGAAATAATAGTATGGGGAGGGAAATGTGTGTGCGTATACATGCTTAGAAATAAAATGGGTTTACACCAAAATGTTAATTGTGATTAGGACTATCAATGCTTTTATTTTTTTCTTCTTGCTTGTCTGTATTTTCTCATTTTTCTCGATGAACATTTGTTACTTGTGAATTCAACATAATTTGGCTTTAAGATATAGGTAATGTGGCTGAGTGCAGTGGCTCATGCCTGTAATCCCAGCACTTTGGGAGGCCAAGGTGGGAGGACTGCTTGAGCCCAGGAGTTTGAGACCAGCCTGGGCAACATGGTGAAATCCTGTCTGTAAGAGAAAAAAAAAAGATATATTACATAATGTATTTGCAGCAGACTTATTGTTTGAAAACTGTGAAATTATTTCAACTGAAATTATTTGAAATTTGTCTTCATTTATTTCTTTTGAATACTTGGTTATAGCATTGCTAAAGACTAATTGTAAAGCTAAAAGCCAAAAGCAACTGCACTGGATACTTTAAGTTTGGATTAAATAACCGATAATTGATAGTTAGAAAATAGAATTTAATGTTCCTTTTCTCGATGAATTAATTTGTTTGTCTTCCATTTTTAAAAGCATGCTGATCCCATTTTCAATGAAGAATTGCTTCCAGTTACTTTGTAACTGCCAGGTCCCAGCAGCTGGCTTTAAAAAAACAGTAAAAAATGGGCTCATTTTACAGTCAATTTCCAATGATGTCTATCAAAATCTGGCTGTGGAAGACTGGATCCATGACCATATGAATCTAGAAGGCAAACCAATTCTATTCTTTTGGCAGAATTCTCCCTCTGTTGTAATTGGTAGGCATCAAAATCCTTGGCAGGAATGTAACCTGAATCTAATGAGAGAAGAAGGTATAAAACTGGCTCGGAGAAGAAGTGGAGGAGGAACAGTCTACCATGATATGGGTAATATCAATTTGACTTTCTTTACAACCAAAAAAAAGTATGATAGAATGGAAAATCTGAAATTAATTGTGAGAGCTCTGAATGCTGTCCAACCCCAGCTGGATGTGCAGGCTACCAAAAGATTTGACCTTTTACTTGATGGACAGTTTAAAATCTCAGGAACAGCTTCTAAGATCGGCCGGACTACTGCCTATCACCATTGCACTTTATTATGTAGTACTGATGGGACGTTCTTGTCTTCTTTGCTAAAGAGCCCTTACCAAGGGATCAGGAGCAATGCCACTGCTAGCATACCTTCCTTAGTGAAAAATCTTTTGGAAAAGGATCCCACTCTGACCTGTGAAGTACTAATGAATGCTGTTGCTACAGAGTATGCTGCTTATCATCAAATTGATAATCACATTCACCTAATAAACCCAACGGATGAGACACTGTTTCCTGGAATAAATAGCAAAGCCAAAGAACTGCAAACTTGGGAGTGGATATATGGCAAAACTCCAAAGTTTAGTATAAATACTTCCTTTCATGTGTTATATGAACAGTCACACTTGGAAATTAAAGTATTCATAGACATAAAGAATGGAAGAATTGAAATTTGTAATATTGAAGCACCTGATCATTGGTTGCCATTGGAAATACGTGACAAATTAAATTCAAGTCTTATTGGCAGTAAGTTTTGCCCAACTGAAACTACCATGCTAACAAATATATTACTTAGAACATGTCCACAAGACCACAAACTAAACAGTAAATGGAATATTCTCTGTGAAAAAATTAAGGGAATAATGTGATTCCAAGTAAATGTCTTAATACAGTTTCAATTAGAAAATAAAATGTCTCATACTTGCACATTGTATGTCAAAAAAAAACCTAGTCTCTTTTAGTAACGTCAAAAAAAAAAAACAAAACACAACAACCTAGTCTCTTTCAGTAACTTCTCCCCATCTGAAATTCTTTATCACCTATCCCTATCTGTGTATTTCTTCTGACCTCTAGGATCCTCTTTCTTCTCTTTCTTCCTTCATTTATTTTATTTTATTTATTTCATTTATTTATTTTGAGACAGAGACTCACTCTCACCCAGGCTGGAGTGCAGTGGTGCGATCTTGGCCCACTGCAACCTTTACCTCCTGAGTTCAAGTGATCCTCATGCCTCAGCCTCCCGAGTAGTGGGACTACAGGGTTTTGTCACCATGCCCAGCTAATTTTTTCTATTTTTAATAGAGACAGGGTTTCACTGTGTTGGCCAGGCTGGTCTCAAACTCTTGGCCTCAAGTGATCCGCCGACCTCAGCCTCCCAAAGTGCTGGGATTACAGGTGTGAGCCACCATGCCCTGTCTGTTCATTGATTTTAATACCTGGCATGTATTTATATTTCAGCTGCTGCTGCTTTTACTCTCTTGGGGCTATATATAATATTGGACACTCTGACCTCAGACTTAGTTCTCTGTTTTTCTTATCTCTCGGAGATATAACCCAGATTTCTTGCCACCTCTCCTCATATCTCAAACTCTAAAATTCTCCCTTTTAGTTATATTTTCTTATCTTTCTACTCTCCCACTAAAAATCAAGGCTGTTGCACTTTTCTAAGCTCTTAACCCTTCCCTAATCTCTCCTTGCATCATTTCCCTTCTATCCCAGCCTGAAATTTACTTTATGCTTTACTTTCTTACCAGTATTCTCATTTGCTTCTCTCCTTTGACCTTCTACCATAGCCACTTTTTAATTTTAGTCTAAACAATTGATTTTCTACTCTTTTTGGCAGGTGATGCTGGGGGGAAAGATCATATAATCATTGAAGATTAGCCCAATTTGATATTTATAATTTTCAACTTATGTATCTTTCTGCTGGTGTCAGATTTAATTCATCTCTGGTTGAGTTCCCCTCATTCTTAAGGGGAATGTTTCCACTCTTCTCAAGCTCAGAATTTCACTACTCTTACCTTGTCACAAACCTTGATTCATAATTTGGTGAGAGTTGAGGCCTTCAGAAATGAGTCCCTCCAGCCCCCATGGCCCCCCTCCTCCCCTCTCCACTCCCTTTCTCTTCTTTCAAGACAGGGTCTTACCCTCACCCAGGCTGGAGTGCAGTGGCATGCTCATAGGTCACTACAGCCTTGAACTGGGCTCAAGTGATCCTGTTGCCTCAGGTTCTGGAGTAGCCGGAACTACAGATGCTCAACACCATGCCCAGCTCCCTCTGTTTATGAGTTATTTTCTTTTAATATATCTCAGTAGTTCCAGGCCCCATCCTTTTTTTATTTTTAGGAAGAGCAGGCATGGACACAGGGTTTTGCCTACAATTGATTATCTCAGACTGGGGGTAGGGTGAGTGATTTTATTTTTCAAGGTGTTCTTGGGACAAACATGATTGGCAGTTTAGCAGGTTTAATGGGCAGGTCCTTTTGTTATTTAAAAGCAATATTAAATACCAAGTAAACACAACTTTGAAGAGATTACTCATGAACATTTCACACTTGTTACCACCTATGAAAATTATTTTTTGAGAAAGGTTAAAAATCCTGATATGATGTGCTTTGGTGCAGTAATACCATGTTTCTCCAGAGAGAGGATATCATCAGGCAAAGGGTGTTAAGGGCTTCGAGTTCCAAATTGGAAATTTGACCAAGTAACCCCTGAAACATATGGACTCAAGGTATGTTTTGCAGTGGTTTCCCCAGAACTTTCTGAATGTTTGCATATGGGGATGAGAGAGGAGTCAAAATGGCATACACACACACACACACACACACACACACACACACACACACACATATATATATAGTCTTATTTTTTTGAGACAGAGTCTCATTCTGTCACCTAGGCTGGAATACAGAGGTATGATCTCAGCTCACTGCAACTGCTGCCTAGTGGGTTCAAGTGATCTTCCTGTCTCAGCCTCCCAAGTAGCTGGAACTACAGGCTTGCACCACCACGCCTGGCTAATTTTTGTATTTTGAGTGCAGACAGGTTTCACTATGTTGGCCAGGCTGTTCTTGAACTCCTGACCTCAGGTGATCTGCCTGCCTCAGCCTCCCAGAGTCCTGAGATTACAGGTGTGAGCCACTGCACCTGGCCTTTACTCCTAGATTTCTTATGAGATTGGATGGATGGGAGTATACATGGGGAGTAGGGCAGTGTATATCAAAAGTTAGGTTGGGGTGTATTATATTTGAAATGTTTGTGTGCTTCTGAGATGTCATACAGGCAGTTGAATAACTCCAAGGAGAAGTCTTGGCTTAATTTATAAATTTGAGGGCTGACCGCATATAAATAGTATTTTAAGTCATGAGAATGAATAATTTTAGACTTTTATAATTCATCTAAAGTTTAAATTTTAAACTATTAAATATTCAGCATCTGGGTCCCCTTATATGTTTGCGGACTTCTCCACCTGGTAGGAGGTAGAGCCTACTTCCTTCTATGGAAACAAAAGTTTACTATACTCTTTGCTGGCCTTCCTTGAAGCTCAGACGTGGGCACATGACTTAAGCTGTGCCAATCAGATGCAACTGCTCCATATTTTGAATTAGACACTAGTGATGCAGAACATCTGGAATGATGAGAACCCTTCTCTGGAAGTAGCGACAGGGGCCTGAATTTCTGGGGTAATGAAGGCAGTGAGGCTAGCGTGATAGTTTCCAAGCCAGTGATATCAGTGGTGTAGGCTACTGCATCCAGCCCTTGCATCAGTGTCAGCAGGGGTGTCATCTGATTAGTTCTGGGTAGTGATTCTAGATGTGATTTTTCACTCCAAAACCTCTGTGTCTCAGTCTATAGCTCAACTACCTACTATTCTTATAATAAACCCCTTTTTTGCTTATATCAGGTAGGAGCAGTTTTTGTTGTTTTTTACTAAGAACACTTAACCATGTAATCACTTAGGGAAAGAGTGTGAATTAAAAAAAAAAAAAAGAGGTTACTACCTAGTACCTAGCTTGGGAGAACTTCGGTATTTAAAATGTAAGAAGAATGGAGGAAGAGAGTGTGTTTCATGAAAGTCAAGAGTTTCAAGAAGGGAGTAGCCAACTGGGTCAAATGCTTCTGAAAGGTCACATAGTACGAGAGTTTAAAAGTGCCCATTGAATATGGTAGTACAGAGATCACTGTTGACCTTAGCAAAAACGATTTCAGTGGAGTACCTGGGGCAGTCGCCAGACTGAAGTGAGTTAAAGCAAATAGGTGGTGAGGAAATAAGAAAAAAAAAAAAAAAAACATACAGAGAACACTCTTTGAAGAAATTTTTCATGAAGAATGAAAAAATAGGGTGGCATCTGGCTCGAGATGTGTGTACTAATAGGAATGATGCAGTACAGCAGGAGAGATTGCTCTAAGGCCCAAGTCCTTGTGGAGGCTAAAGGAGGTCAGATCAAGGTCACTGCTAAAAATCTGGCCATCATCCTTATATATTAGGAATACTGACTCTAATTTTATAAATTTGATCTCTCATTTTTTTAACTTAGCTTATGTTTCCTTTTACTCAAGTTTTGTATATTTACATGACCAAGTCTTTTGCTCTTAAGAGTTCTGGGGCTTTCTGTTATACTCAGTTCATTAAGTGGGGTTTTAAATATATATATATATATATATATATATATATATATATATAAATTTTTCATTAATTAGCTCTGTAATACGTTTAGATTTCTTTGTATGGTGTCAACATCATTACAGAAAAATTTCTTTATGCGGAGTAAGACAGAGGCCTTAATGTTATTTTTTCCAACCATTTGTTGAGCTCTTTCTCCACTAACTTAAAATGTCACCTTTATTACATATTAAATACTCATTCATACACAATTTCTCTCTTTCAAATGTGTTTCTGGACTCTTTTATTCTATCCCACTGATTTATTTGCCCATGCCTATGCCCATACATTTTTAAGAAAATTATTGTAGCTATGTCTTTATAGCTGGTCAAGCAAGTCTCCTGGTGTTACTCTCTTTTGTCATTTAATTTATAAATTAAGTTAGAGAGAACTGACATTAAGTCTTCCCATTCAGGAATACAATTTGTCTTTCTAGTTACCCTAATTTTCTTTTATGTCCCTCCATAAAGCTTATAGTTGTTCATATAGTTCTTAACACATTTCTTGATATATTTAAGCTGTACCTGGTAGGCTTCTGGTGCTCTAATTAGATCTGGGGATAGAACTCCAAATATCTAGAATGGATAGCATGTCTGTAGACTCTTTTCTTTAAATATCACTATGTCTTAGCCAGGATTTTTATAGAAGTTGGATAAAAGTTAATTGCACAGGGTTGTGGATTGCTAATTCTCCATAGTAACGATTCATATGCTTTAGAAATCAGAATTGTTATTTTAACATGAAGGTAAAGAGGCCTAACACATGTTCTTACCTTAATTAAGAGCCACTCCATTTCCACGTGGCATCGGGTACTGGGCAAGATAAGCAAAGATACTCTGCAGAAAGGAACTTCGGATCAGGCCAACACTTGTTCAAGTGTTTTCCTGAGACCCTGAATTTCCATATGATACAGCTTAGTAAATTAGTTTGAGTCTAAAATTTTTCAGATTCAGTATTATCAGCACCTGAACCTGAAAAGATTTAAAAAAAAATCAGGAACTGTTCTGGAAGCCCTTCCTGGCCTTTTATGCCAGCTCCATCTTGTACCTACCAGCTGTCCCACAAAAGGAAAACAGTGTCCAAGGCTTGCCCAAGACCACTCTGTCCAACCTTGTTCCCATGGTCTCTACCTTTGGTCCTCTACACTGTTTTAACTCTGTTGAATAGTCCTCAGATGTGACATTTATATGTGCACTCTCCAATACTGAACACTGGTACTATAGTTTTCCTCTTACATATGTTAGCTTAGCTGGGTTTTTTTATTTGTTTCTTTTTTTATTTTGAGATGGAGTTTTACTCTTGTTGCCCAGGCTGGAGTGCAATGGCATGATCTCCGCTCACCGCAGCCTCCACCTCCAGGGTTCAAGCAATTCTCCTGCCTCAGCCTCCCAAGTAGCTGGAATTACAGGCATGCGCCACCACGGCTGGCTAATTTTGTATTTTTAATAAAGACGGGGTTTCTCCATGTTGGCCACGCTGGTCTCAAACTCCTGACCTCAGGTGATCCGCCTGCCTTTGCCTCCCAAAGTGCTGGGATTACAGGCGTGAGCCACTGTGCCCAGCCAGCATGTTCTTTGAGCTGTGGACCGCCCACTACCTCTAGCATACAACCCCTCTTCAGCCTGTCTCCATGGAATCTATTCTGTCTCCAACCACACAACTGGCATCTGGATGAAAAGCTTACCCAGAACAGTTGATTCTAAGCTGCAAGGCTTTACAAATGTGCCAGCCAAAGTGAATGAGCTGCAAAATGCATTTGGATAACTGAATGGGTTGATTTGCCTTCATGGAGTTAGGTAATACTGCACAACTGCATGATGGTAAATGTTTACCAAAGACAATTCTCTTAATTGTAACAAAATTAACATTTTACTTTCCTGTTTATTAGACCCCAAGCCCATCTGTCTCTTTTTTTTCTTTTGAGACAGGGTCTGGCTCTGTCACCCAGGCTAGAGTGCAGTGGTGCAGTCTCAGCTCACTGCAGCCTCAACCTCCTAGGCTCAAGTGATCCTTCCACCTCAGCCTCCCAAGTAGCTAGGACTATAGGCACATGCCACCATGCCCGGCTAATTTTTTTTTTTTTTTTTTTTTTTTTTTTTTTTCTGATACAGGTTGCCCAAGCTCCATCTGTCTCTTTAAAAGCACTCTAATCCATGGTGTCTTTCCCTCCTGGACTTAAAACTCCCACAGGCAAAATTAAGATCTAATTCATCTTCCTAATAGATGCTTATTATTTGTTGACATGCTCCCGCAGCCAAGTAACAGAGAAGCTGGTAAAATGTTTAAATTAGCTGTATTACTTGAAAGAAACATTGTAAATCTGCTGAGTAATATATTTACAAAAATATTTAGGATTGTTCCCACAACTGAATGATGGATCCATAAATTAGTAGAAATATAAAAGTTTATTGTTAAATTCATACATTATAAAAGTGATCTTTTAAAAAAAATCCAATATTCACTTAAAGTAGACATAATACAAATTAGGCTACCACCCATCATATATTTTTTGTATGCTTCTTATGAAAAATGTCTACTGTTGTTTCATGACATGGTCTTAAATCAAAATCACAATATCCAAGGGAAAAACGACTCTAAGAAGAGAAGAAAAGAGTATCATTAAAAATGATACAAAAACAGTGCTACACATTTACTCATAAGATTATATCCTACCTGTGGTTTCTTAAAATAATCAAGTCCCCTTCCAATCTTAATCATCCATCCATTGTTGAACCTGTTGAAATTAGTATATAGTATTATATTCAAGACATTTAAGTCAGACTATTAATAAAGCTGTAGTGTATTAAGTGTCAGCAAAATTTCCCCCTAACAAAGCAAACCACTTCCTCCAGTGGCATGAGTTGAATCAAACCTGGGGTTCATTATGAGCTGTGTCCACAATGAAAACAGTCATAGAAACAATCAGTTGATTTAATTATCTGATAGTTTAATCTTGAATTTCAGCTTGTTGATAAAACTTTTTCGTGTTCTGCTAACAAGTGGTGGCAAAGTGTATTCAGGGAAACTGGTGGTGTTTCAAGAGTTCCCCTACCTAGAGATGGGGAATGTGCAGGAGGAGCCCTGGACCCTGACCTCTGCTTTAACTACAGCAGCTGCATTTTCATCTGTTTTGCATATTTAGTTTGTGATTAAGTTTTTATTAAAACTGAGTGCCCTTGCTATAAACATAACCACTGTGCTAAACAAAAGGAAGATATCACTAAAATAACTGCATATTCTGTTTTCTTATAGACTCAGCAAATTGTCATGCCTACTAGAATATTTAATAACCCCTAAGAAGTAAAGCCACATTAAGTAAATATTAAGTTCACTAGAAAATAAATTATCCTAATATCATAACACTATATATACAGTTGAGTAGACAGAAAAGTGTTCTCTTTTTCTATATGACACAGAACATGTAAATACTATTCCATTAGGAAATATTAAACTCACACACAAAACACTTGGCTTACTTTGTCAAAAAGAAAGCCAAGTGTTTTTTTTCTTCTCAAAAGTGAAAAAGTACTAAATGGAGTTTTATTTGAATTTTAAATATTTATAAATTATTAAATATTTATAGGCAATTATATAAAACATTTACAAAAATTTTAAGTATATATCAACTGCATAAAAATTAAAACATTATTGTAGACTAACCTAATTTCTCGGTCATGTATTGAAGAAGAGTATTGAACTTCCAACAGCACTCCGTGACTCCTGAGTGACTCTTCTATTTCTTGCAGGCCTCTACTTTGCTGCACTTGCTCAATGCCCTGTTAATAGCAAAAATACGATTATCTGCCGCAGTTATTATTACTATCTTAAATTATCCCTAAGCTATACAATCTATATCACAGGTGGATTAAGATGGAAATGTTCTATACTAGTTTCAATGTCTATTATCTCAAAAAAACAACCAATGTGAGGTAGTTTAAAGAGCAATTATTTTTATCAAAATCATCTTTTTTTCTAATGTGAACATAACTCCATCCTGTCTCCTTAAATGTAGTTTAGAATAGTTTTAATCATCCAGGTGGAGCTGACTGCTTTTGAAATCAATCGTAGAAATCATAATTATTTAGAAGCATTCTTATTTTAAGTCAAAACCAAGATAGAGATGCCCACTACCATATCATATCATGCTACCATCCCCCAGATATAATAATTGGTAAAGAAACAAAATTGTTCATAGTGCAGACAGTGTGATTGCCTCCTAGAATATCCAAGAGACTAAACTAACAAACTATTTGAATAAGTGCATTTAGCAAAGTGGCCAAATACAAAATCAGCATCCTAAAATCAATAACTTTTTTTATGACATGTTATGCATACTGTTAGATAATAAGTTAATTCCCAAGGAAACAAATCTAGCTGAAGCACTGCATCTGTGTTCTCCTTGACTGGACTACATCTTGTAACTGAATAAAGTTAATAAGAAAGAGTAAGTGCTTTCAGGTACCTACTTCATCCAGAGAGGTGAGAAGGTGAATAGTTTTTACTTTACATGGTCTCTTAATAAGCATCTCACAAAATCGAAGAAAGTTATACAGCTAAAAGACATTAGAATGGATTATTACTAATTTAGTACATTGAATATGATATTTCATTATATTTTAGTATGTTCACATACCTGATGAGTATGTCTAATATAAGGATCTTCTATCCAAACTTCTGTAACTGTCTCATTAAGGTATTCGCGAAAAAGTGACTCATAACTGAAACCTGTTGCATTCTCTTCTATTTTAATTTGCTTGTGATATTTTCCATCTATAAAACACAGGCTTCAACAGTAAAACCAGTGACCATTTTTTTTTTACACATTTTATATTTTATATAGAGTGATTAATCAGCATCAGATACATATTAATTTTTTTAACTTATTCAGCAAATACTTATTGAATGCCTACTAAATATCATATACATTGCAGGATGTTACACGTACAAAGGTATTTAAGGCAAACCACTCCATTAGTGATTTCTGCCTTCACAGAGGCTAGGCAAGGGGGAAAATCTAGAGGTTTCCTGGAACAGGTCCTTGAGCAAGATCCTATAGACCAGGCAGTTTGTTGAAGGGAGTAGTGTATATATAAAGGTATCCAATAACTCCCTGTCGCCATGGGTAGCACCACATACTGAAACTCAGTGGCTATCTGGTCCTCCTCTTCAGACTTGTCTTTTTATGTCTTGCAATCTAATAACTAAAGTGAGTATTAAACATGAATGCAGGGCAGAGCGCGGTAGCTCACGCCTGTAATCCCAGCATTTTGGGAGGCCAAGGTAGGTAGATCATTTGAGGTCAGGAGTTCGAGACCAGCCTGGCCAACATGGTGAAACCCCAGCTCTACTAAAAATATAAAAAGTAGCCAGGCATGATGTCAGGTGCCTGTAGTCCCAACTACCTGGGGGGCTGAGGCAGGAGAATCACTTGAACCCAGGTGGATGTTGCAGTGAGCTGAGATCATGCCACCGCACTCCAGCCTGGGCAACAGAGCAAGACTCTGCCTTAAAAAAAAAAAAAAAAATTAATGCAGTATAATATGAAGCTTCAAAGTCTTTCTTGGCACGTGTACAGTTTTAAACAGAAATTTATAGTACTTCTTAATAAGCTAAAGACTGGGATGTCACAGGATCAAGAGGATAGATCTATTGCTTTTGTTCATTCAAAATGAATATTGAAAAAGTTATCAGAAACCTTTAAGGTTTTAAAAAAATATGACCCCTGGCTGGGCATGGTGGCTCACACTTGTAATCCCAGCACTTTGGGAGGCTGAGGCGGGAGGATCACCTGAGGTCAGGAGTTAGAGACCAGCCTGACCAATATGGCAAAACCTCAACTCTACTAAAAATACAAAAATGAGCCAGGCTTGGCGGCGGGTGCCTGTAGTCCCAGCTACTCGGGAGGCTGGGACAGAAGAATTGCTTGAACCCAGCAGGCAGAGGTTGCAGTAAGCAGAGATCGCGCCACTGCACTCCAGCCTGGGCGACACAGCGAGACTCCGTCTAAAAAAAAAAAAAAAAACCCTAATGGTAGCCCCTAAATTATACTTTACACTTTGTTTAAAAATCAGTAGTTTGGATTCTGTTCCAAATATTTCCACATAGATAACATTGGCAACTATGCCTTATTTTTTAAGCCAAGATAGCCGTATAGAGGTTAATTTAATTCCATGTACTCAAAACCACAATGCTGGAGGTACTATATTTCATCAATGTTTTGGAGTAAAATTTCATTCTAAATTTCAAATCGGGGCTAAGGAAACATAACTTTATTCCCACTGAACAAAGGAGCTCAGTGGGGGGTCCCCAGGGTATGTACTGATACAGGATAGTAGGAAGAGATGGGGAAAGGGGTGTAGAAAGTATAGAGAGGAAGAAAAGCTGGGGCCTGGGGGCACTGGCTTTTGAGGGCAGCAGTACCTTTGGCTATAGAAAGCAGCAAGTATGCACTCAGGTAAGGGTGGAAATGGCCATTTACAGACATTTGTAAACTGGATGCTTAGGAGTAGGGAACTAATAATAGGGAACAATACCTACCTGACCTCTAATCATTAGGAATGCTTAACTCCTGAGGTGTTTTGATTCACAACAAAATCTGAGAGAAATCCCAGGAGTTTCTTTAGCTTCTTTCATGATTTTGGTCATTTCATAAAGGGAAATATAAATAAAATACACAATTTACATTCAGTATTCCCTGTAGTATTTCTTAACATAGGGTCCACACATAAGCTTCATAGGGATTTGTGAACCCCTTAAAAATGGCATGGAACATTCTCCAGTAAGTATAGCTTTCATGAGATGTTCAAAGGGGTGTCTGATATTCCCACCCCCAACTAAAAACAAAAGCCAAAACAAACAAACAAACAAAAAATTAAGAACAACTCCTGTATGGGAGTGGAAATACAGATTAAATCCTGTAAGCTCCCAGGGACAACTGGTCCAGACCACACAGAGCTCCAAAGGGCAGGAGCCAGAAACATTGGGTGAATGGACAGTCACAGTTGTTTATGGATGCATTTTCTAAAACAACCTCTTTACCTTCTTTTTCTTGGTCCAAGTACTTCTTTATGTTTTCCGCTCTGTCCATGTATTTGGAAATTTTTTCTCTGAGATTACATCTCTTAGTATTATCTTTGGTACCTACAAATTTAAAAATATATATTATCAAGTATCAAAATAGTTTTTCTATTTAATTTGGGCATTATTTTCAGTTTCTCAAGTTTTCTACAAATTTCCTATCCTCTAGTATGGCTTGCCTCAGTCCTCAAACACACACAATAAACTCAAATTTGGCTTGAACATACAAGACCTTCATATTTACACGAAGCGTGATGCAGCTTGGTTTAGGAGTGGGAGCTCTTGACACTATGTCTCATCTCTGGGACATCAAATCTGGTGGGATGAAAGGTGGCTCATTACATGTCAAACTCATGTCTGAGCACTATTTTATCCTAACTACCCACAAGTTTGAAATTTTTGCATAATTAAAAGTAGCAAAAAATATTTATCTTCCACAAAACCAGCTACTCTTCCAGACCTCCCCATTATAGTTAATGCACATTTTTCCAGCTACCACAAAAATGTTATTTTTGAATATACATGATCATAAAGTTTTACCCAACCACCCCTCCTCCCAAATCAGTCAACAAATCACTTCTTGTTCCTTCCCTTTTTTCCTTTCAACATCGCTTATATTTTCCATAAATAATCTCATTTTTTGTTTGTTTGTTTTGAGACGGAATCTCGCTCTGTCGCCCAGGCTGGAGTGCAGTGGCATGATCTCGGCTCTCTGCAACCTCCACCTCCCGGGTTCAAGCAATTCTCCTGTCTTAGACTCCTGAGTAGCTGGGACTACAGGCGCCCACCACTATGCCTGGCTAGTTTTTGTATTTTTAGTAGAGACTGGGTTTCACCATGTTGGTCAGGCTGGTCTCGAACTCCTGACCTCAAGTGATCCTCCTGCCTCGGCCTCCCAAAGTGCTGGGATTACAGGCGTGAGCCACCGTGCCCGGCCCATTTTTGTATTTTTAGTAGAGACGGCGTTTCACCATATTGGTTAGGCTGGTCTCCGACTCCTGATCTCAGGTGATCCGCCCACCTCGGCCTCCCAAAGTGCTGGGATTACAGGCGTGAGCCACACTGCCCAGCCAATAATTTCATTTTAATCTCTCATTTTAAAAAACATTTTGAGTTAATTTTTTATATTTACAGAAAAGTTGCAAAAATGGTACAGATAACCTCCTTCACCTAGATTCTCTTAATGTTAACATATCACAAACCATACTACAAGTATCAGAGCTAGGAAATTAACACTGAAACAATACTATGAACTTATCTACAAACCTTATTTGAATTTCACCAATTTTCCCACTAATGAAAGTTTGCTTTCTGGTCCAGGATCCCATATTGCATTTAGTTATGTGTCCTTAGTCTCCTCCAATCTGTGTTAGTTCCTTAATCTTTCTCTGCCTTCTATGTCCTTGACATTTAGGAATAATATTGGTCAGTTATTTTTGCAGAATGTCTCTCATTTTGGACAGTCTGATGTTTTCTCATCATTAGACTTGGTTTATGCATTTTTGGCAAGAAAATCACAGAAGTGATGTGCCTTGCTCAGTGGGTACATGATGTTGATGTGTCTTACTGCTGATGATATTAACTGACCATTTGGTAAAGGTGTAGTTCAGATTTCTCCACTGTAAAATCACTATTTTCTCTTTTGTAATTTGTAAGTACCTTATGGAAAGATATCCTGCTTCCCATCACTCTTTCTCCCACTAATTTTAGCATCTGTTGATGGTCCTTGCCTGCAACAACTATGACTGTGATGTTTGCAAAATGGTGGTTTTCTATTTCCGTCATTCCTTCTCAATCTATTTATTCAATTAAATAGTATGGGCTCAGGGATATTTATTTTACTCTATGAGTTATAATCCAATACTATCATTTTCCTGCTCAAATTTTATCAGCTTTGGCTTTGACATCTCCTTCATGTTAGTTCCTGTGTCCTTTTGTCAAGCCCGCATCGCTATTATGTCCTTACATTTTGATTCAGGATTTTTTTGTTTCATTTTGTTTCGCTGAGACACAGTCTGGCTCTGTCGCCCAGGCTGGAGTGCAGTGACATGATCTCGGCTCACTGCAACCTCTGCCTCCCAGGCACAAGGAATCCTCCCACCTCAGCCTCCCAAGTAGCTGAGACTACAGGCACACATTACTATGCCTGGCTAGTTTTTGTATTTCTTTTCTATTTTCTGTAGAGATGGGGTATCACCATGTTGCCCAGGCTAGTCTCGAACTCCTGGGCTCAGGCAATCCGCCTGCCTTGGCCTTCCGAAGTGCTGGGATTACAGGCATGAGCCACCATGCACAGCCACAAGATGTTTTAAACCAAATTTGTCCAACTCTTGCATGTGGCCCAGGACAGCTCTGAATGAGGCCCAACACAAATTCATAAACTTTTTTTTTTTTTTTGAGACGGAGTCTCGCTGTGTTGCCCAGGCTGGAGGCGCAATCTCGGCTTACTGCAACCTCCGCCTCCCAGGTTCAAGCGATTCTCCTGCCTCAGCCTCCGGAGTAGCTGGGATTATAGGCGCCCGCCACCACACCCGGCTAATTTTTTGTATTTTTAGTAGAGACAGGGTTTCGCCATGTTGGTCAGGCTGGTCTTGAACTCCTGACCTCAAGCAATCCACCCGCCTGGGGCTCCCAAAGTGCTGGGATTACAGGCGTGAGCCACCACACCTGGCCATTCGTAAACTTTCTTAAAACATTATGAGGGGTGTGTGTATGTGTGCGTGTGTGTGTGCGCGTGTGTGTGTGTTTTAGCTCATCAGCTGTCGTTAGTGTTAGTGTATTTTACATGTAACCCAAGACAATTATTTTTCCAATGTGGCCCAGGGAAGCCAAAAGATTTGTTAAAACTCATCTTGTTTATTTTTTGCCCCAGCCCTGAAATACCCTTTTCCAAGGAGCCTCGGTCACTTTTATTGAAGAATGGCATTGAGAAACCAAATTCTGGGTGCCAGCTGTGTTCATTGCTGCTGGGGGAGTCCCACCACTACTTCTAGACCCTCTCAGTCAATACAGCTAGGAGGTATATGTAGGCTTACTAACACATACATCTATATATACATACATCTATATGTATTTGTTTCTGTCCATCTATATAAATATTAAAAACCATGAGTTCATGCTGATAACTTTGATTCCACAGAGCTCATTCTAGCTTTCCCCCATCCCTCTCCTGCCCAAATAAAAGCAAAACACAACCTTTCCTCAACCTTGCTAGACTTTAAATTATGTAGTAGTTCAGTCTTAGTCATTGTCCTTGATCAGCTGGCAGTGTCTCACACATAGACCCATCCTTCAATCATTACGCTACAGTTTCTCAGGCTTGGACCCTTACAGCCATCTTTGATTCCCATTAACCTTACTCCCATATCTAATCATGTGCCAGTGCCCCCTCCTTATCTTAATACTGGTATCATCTCCCTGGTTCATTCAGGCCCTTATCATGCCTCATCTTTTTAAAAAGGTTTTATTAATTTTAATTGGCACATAATAATTATACATATTAATGGGGTACAATGTGATGTTTTGATACATGTATACATTGTGTAATGATCAAATCAGGGTAATTAGGATATCTGTCATCTTAAATATTTATTGTTTCTTTGTGGTAAGAACATTGAAAATCCTTCATTCTAGCTATGTTGAAACATACAACACATTATTAACTCTAGTCACCCTATTGTGTAATAAGACACCAGAATTTATTCCTCTTATTTAACTGTAAATTTTTTTTTTTAAGAGAGGGTTTCACCATGTTGGCCAGGCTGGTCTCGAACTCCTGACCTCAAGTGATCCACCCACCTCAGTCTCCCAAAGTACTGGGATTGCAGGCGTGAGCCACTGCACCTGGCATCTAACTGTAATTTTGTACCCTTTGACCAACCTCTCCCCATTCCTCCTACCCACTGCCCTTCCCAGCTTCTGGTAACCACTATTCTACTCTCTACTTCTATGATATTAACTTTTTTAGATTCCACATATGAGTTAGATCATGTGGTATTTGTCTTTCTGTGTCTGGCTTATTTCACTTAACAATTTCCTACAAGTTTGTCCATGTCACAAATGACAGGATTTCATTTTTTATGGCTGAACAGTACTCTACTGTATATATGTGCCATATTTTCTTTATTCATCTGCTGATAGACACTTGGGTTGATTCCCTATCTTAGCTATTATGAATAGTGCTGCAGTAAGCTTGGGAGTACAAATATCTCTTCAACATAATGATTTCATTTCCTTTGGATATATACCCAGTAGTGGGATCAATGGATCATATGGTAGTTCTCTTTTTAATTTTTTGAGGAATCTCCATACTGTTTTCTATAATGGCTATACACACCTCTTATTTTGATTCCAGCAGGAGCTCCTTAATTGGTCTGCTTAACTTCAGTCTCTACAGGTTAATGTCTACTTTACATCCTTGCCATATTCAGTCCTTTATTCAAGAAATATTTATTGAGAACTAACAACATGCCCAGCACTGTTCTAAGTGCTGTGGATACAGCAGTTCGTAAAACAGACAAAATTCTCTTCTATTGTTCAAGTAGGAAGAGAACAATAAAAATAAATTGGCAAAACATGTATATTAGATTGAGGTAAGTGCTATTAAATAAAATAATGAAGGAGGACAGGGAGTGCTGGGATGGGGTTATAATTTTACACTGGAGGTCTGGGAAAGCCTCACAAAGAAGGTGGTATTTGTGTAAAGGCCTGAAATAGGAGAGAGAGTGTGCCATGCAAATAAATATCTGTGAGAAAAGAGCACATTCCTGAAAGAGACAAGCCCTGAAATGCAACTCCAATTATGTTACTCCTTTGTAAAAACCTTAAATGGTTTCTCCTTGCCTGTGGAATAAGTTAAAATCTCCTGGTAGTCAAGGCCATCCTCAATGTGATCCAAGCCCCTATCTACCTTTAAACTTTACTTCTCACTCTTCCTCTTCAGATACATGCTCAACCAAACTACTTATTTCGTAAGACAGCACAGGAATTTGAAGACTCTTAGATGAATTTCTGACTTCTGAAATTATTTTTCCTCCAAAGCCCCAATCAAACTCCACCTCTACCTTTCCACCCTCACATGACCTTTAACTGTTTAAATCCTCATTGCGTTTATCTATAGATATCTCTCTCCTGGCACTTATTCCCTGTATTAGCGCTATTTGCATTTTGGTCTTAACCCATCTATGTGACATCATTGTCTCTGTAACCTCTACGGGATCAGTGAAGCACCCTAGAGCAGAACTGTGATTCTCCTGCTTCAGATTCCTAGTGCAGCCAAAACTTGAGCAGTGTTCCACCTGACCAACACAGTACACCATCTCTCTTTTGGGATTCAGTATACCAGAGTCGTTGGGGCCTTGGGCTCCGACTGTGACTCTACCACCTCCTAGTGGCAGAACTTGAAAGCGAACAATACTTTTTATGCTGTAAAACGAGAATACCATCAACTCCTACTTGATAGGGCAATTGGTACGGATGAAACGAGATCATGCTTTTAATGTTTTCTGCAATGCCTGGCACTCAGCACTGAAACGTGATATCTATGCTTATTGCTGTTGTCACTGTCATCATTATCATCAAATAATGCCCCAGGCAAGGTAGAGTTTACAGTTATTTTTTCTTTTTTTTGAGACGGAGTCTTGTTCTATTGGCAGACTGGAGTGCAGTGGCGCGATCTCGGCTCACTGCAACCTCCGCCTCCCGGATTCAAGCAATTCTCCTGCCTCAGCCTCCCAAGTGGCTGGGACTACAGGTGCGTGCCACCATGCCCGGCTAATTTTTGTATTTTCAGTAGAGACGGGGTTTCACCATGTTGGCCAGGATGGTCTCGATCTCTTGACCTCATGATCCACCTGCCTCGGCCTCCCAAAAAAGTGCTGGGATTACAGGAGTGAGCCACCGCGCCCGGCCGGTAGAGTTTGTAGTTCTGACCAAAGCACCAAACCATAAAGGGCTCCCCTCTGCTGCCCCAAAGCTTCTGTAACACTTTAATTATAAGAAGCTTAAACTAGAAAGAACAGAGGGAGCTTAGTCCAGACCGGGAGTGTCGGGGGTTGGGGAGCAGGAGCTGATCTTATCAATTTAATACATAAATATTGAGTGTCTACTGTGAGCCAGGGTTGTGCTGGGTGTTAAGGAATATTTGGGTATTTCTCAACATTGAATAATACGAAAAGTCTCACTTGTCTCCTCCACAACCCTGCGCATTTCTCACACCGAACCTCATCCGTTTAAGAAAAACTTTTCTTCTTCTACCGCTACATAATTTTACTTTGGCTTGCTTTAAATGCAAATGTTTAAACAGAAAATTAAAAATAATCGTATAATAAACACCCTTATTACCCATCACCGAAATTTTTAAAATTAGCATTTTTGCTCAAATAGAGCTTCGATTTTTAAGAAATTTTTGCTTAAGGAAAATTAACTAAAGACATCATAGCATCTCTTTCTAAAACACTTTGGTCTGCATCTCTAAAAATTAAGGAAAGTTTTGGAAAAAAAATCATATTGCCTAAGAAAATAATTTTAATGCCCCCCAATCTATATTCAAACTTTTCTAATAGATCCAAAAATGTCTTTTAAAGTTCGTACAAACCCAGGTCCTATCAAAGCTTATATATTACATTGCGTTATATCTTATATCTCTTAAGTCTTTTAAAATCTAGACTAGTAGCCTCCCCACCTTTTCTAGGTAACATCAATCTATTAAAGATCTAAAAGAAAGCGGCCCAGTTGTCCTATAGAATATCCCACCTTCTGTATTTAACTGCTTCTTCGTGGTGTGGAAAAATCATTTTTAACTCTTTCACTTCACCCCAGACACAGCAGGAACCAGCTCCTTTTCCTCAGGTCCTCCCCGCCTTGGCTCATTGCTCACCTTTCAGAACCTGCAGGAGCAGATCAATCCCCTCTTGGTAACACACCAGAGCCTGCGGATACCGCGACTCCGAATCTAGTTCTACTGCCCGCTTTAGCACAGTGGCTGCAGCTGTGCTCTGCGGGTCCTGCCTCAGCCCGGACTTCGCCATAATTCTGGAAGTTCTCCTCCGCCTCAACCCAGGATGAAGTTGAGCGGGTCTGCTGCGCTTCCGGGAAGTGGTCATGTGATACCCAGGCGCCTGCGCTCTCTTTCTAGGGACTTTCCTGAGTGGGAGGGATTTCGCCGGAACAAAAATGCCTCAGTTTGGAGGTCGCGCTCACTGCGACGGCAGGCTTTGAGTGTAGCACTTGGTAGTTCTTCCTCTGCTCTGCTTCCCTTCGGAGGAAAATTTCAGGCTGAAGGTTTAGCGGGTGCCGGTGAGTGGGGAATGAGTGGCGGAGAGTGCGGCATTCTTCGCAAGGTGTATCCGGGAACCCTCTGCAGATCCTAATTGATTTTCCCTATTGCGTACTGAATTGGCCGGTTACGGCAACCTAAATGGGTCTGCCCCTGATCCCGTCACATTGGCTCCCGTAAGGCCATTGGCCTGCAGGATCCCCCCGTTTCCCAATTTGCAGGATCCAGGGCCACGCGGCTTTTTGTGCCCAGACTCTTGGAGCTCAAGAACGGAGCCGCCGAGGCTGGACAGCTTGGGAAAGGGAACCCAAGCAGCATTTTCTGTGCTGCTGCTTTATTCATAACTTAGGGTTGCCACTGGGTATTAAGGTTGCTTTTTTTTTTTTTTAATGAAGACAGAAAATTGCCTTTATCTTTGTATTGCTTCATTTTATAATGCAAACATCCAAGAGTTGGCAGTTAGAATATTTGCCATTTTATTAAAACTGTGATTTGTTACCATTTTGATCGAGACCTACCAAAAGCTGTTTGTTCTGCCCTTTTTGCCAAGAGGCAGTAATGAGGGCTGCCTACTGCTTGTTAGGCACTAGGAGTTCAGAGAAGAGACACGCTTCCAGCTTTCAGAGATCTCTGGTATCTCTGCAAGAGTGATTCCATGTTTTGCATTTCAGAAGTGTTTTTCCCCCTTTAATAATTGTATACATTGTCGGTTTAGAAAAAGAAATCGATTTTTAACATTCCTGTTGCATGCATGCTCATTGTAAAAAGACAAAAGAACTATCGGTCGCTGGGGGGGAGAAGGGGGAGGAAAAACGCCTTTTTTCATACCCCCAGGGGTATGTTAACGTTTTTCTGACAACCTTCCAGAGTTTTTCTGTGATTACACACGTTCACAGACATTTAAAAAAATAGAAATGGGATCATACTTCTCCTGTGATGCCTGATATTTTCCTGTTTTACAGAAGACAGCGTAATTGTTTCAGGGTCCAGGAGTTACGTGCCTAATTATTAACAGTAACTTTTACTTTATTAAAACGTATTCCTTGCCGGGCGTGGTGGCTCACGCCTGTAATCTCAGCACTTTCGGAGGCCGAGGCGGGAGGATCACGAGGTCAGGAGATCGAGACCATCCTGGCTAACACGGTGAAACCCCGTCTCTACTAAAAATACAAAAAATTAGCCGGGCGTCCGGGCGGGCGCCTGTAGTCCCAGCTACTGGGGAGGCCGAGGCAGGAGAATGGCGTGAACCCGGGAGGCGGAGCTTGCAGTGAACCCAGATCGTGCCACTGCACTCCAGCCTGGGCGACAGAGCGAGACTCCGTCTCAAAAAAATAAATAAGATAAAATAAACGTATTCTTTGAGTCAAACGTGGTGACACACACCTAGCTCCAATTACTGGGAAAATTGAGGATTGCTTGAGGCTGAGTTCAATACCAGAAACATAGCGAGACTCTGTCTCTAAAAACTTGTAACTTTTGACTATCACACCTTCAGAAGTCTGTAAATATTTAAACTTCAGTTATTCTGCAAAAATATATTATATGTCTGCTATAGGGCAGATACCGCTTTACACAGATGTTTGGGATACTTCTATGAATATAACAGACCCAAAACAACAAAATCTAAAAACCCTTTTCCTATGGAATTAGCGTGCTATTGAATGTACATGCACTAAACAACAAAACCTAACAGATAATTAAGTTACGTTAGAAGATAAGCACGATAGAAAGCAGTGAAGAGGAATTGGGAGTGTTGACAGTTGGGGTATGGGTGAAAATGTTAAATGATGTGATCTGGGTTGACCTCATTGAAAAGGTGAGATTTGACCCAAAAATTGAAAAAGATAAGGAAATTAGCCATGTAAATATCAGGATCATTCCAGGAGAGGGAATGGTCAGTCAAAGGGAGCATGCCTGCTTGACTAGTTCTAGATCAAACAAGGGGGGCAGCATGTCTGGTGATTGAGCAAGAGAGTAATTGGAGATGGAGTCCTGGAGGTGGGGAAGGTTGGTAGTGCTGTACTACAAAGACATGAGAGGGTGAGGGTTAAGAATTAGAGTTGGGGGTGGTGGCCCATGCTTGTAACCCCAGCACTTTGGGAGCCCAGGCGGGCGGATCACCTGAGGTCAGGAGTTCAAGAGCAGCCTAGCCAACATGGTGAAACCCCGTCTCCACTAAAAATACAAAAATTAGCTGGACGTGGTGGCAGGTGCCTCTGATCCCAGCTACTCAGCAGGCTGAGGCAGGATAATCGGTTGAACCCAGGAGGCGGAGGTTGCAGTGAGCCAAGATTGGGCCACTGCACTCCAGCCTGGGTGACAAAGCGAGACTCTGTCTCAAAAAAAAAAAAAAAATTGATTTTCACTGTGATCAAAATGGACAAGCATTGGAGGTTTTAATTTTTTCATAAATAAACTTTATTTTTGAATAGTTTTAGATTTTCAAAGAAGTTGTGAAGATGGTATGGAGTTTCTGTATATGCTACACTGTTTCCCCCTTTCATGTTTGGTATACCTGTGTACAGTTGATGAACCAATATTGATACGTTATTAAAGTCCATACTTTATTTAGATTTACTTAGTTTTTGCCAAATGTCCTTTTGCTATTCCAGGATCCCATCCAGGATACCACATTACATTTAATGGTCATGACTTCTTCCTTAGGCTCCTCTTAACTGTGACAGTTTCTCAGACTTTCCTTGTTTTTGATATCATTGACAGTTTTGAGGCAGTTAGGTGTTTGGGAAGATACTGGAAGAGAGTACCTACATAAATTATTTGGAATTCTTCTGAATGGGATATTTGTTCTTTCTCATTAACTTATTCACCTATTTATATTAGTATGAATTTAGGGTTATTTATTTATTTATTTTGGTTTGGATTATAAGCCAGTAATACTTTGTTACTTATTTTGTTGCTGAAATTGTTCCAGCTTTGGGTACAGTTGACTGCAGTGTCACTTTGACATACCCCATCGTTATGTTTTTTCCAGTAGTTCCTTTCTAGCATTACAAAGTGCTCCAGACATAATCAGCCATTTCTCAAAGGAGCACTGGTTCCTTTTATTAAAGAATGCAGCCAAGATCTGGGCACTGGGTGTGCTCCTTGCCACTGAGTGCTAGTGCTTTAAGTCCTCTCAGCTAACAGAGCTAGCCCATGTATATATGCATATCTGTAATTACTTCTATATCCCTCAATAGCTATATTAAGCTAAACATGAGTTCCATTTCCAATCTAGTATATAAGGATCATTGTAGCCTTCCCCTCTTGCTTATATGTAACCTCCCACTTCAACAGTGAGAATCCTGGCTCTCTGGAAGATTTTTGAGCAGAGTGACATGATCTAAGATTTAATGAGATGATTTATTGCTGATATACAAAAAAGATATTAGGGGAATTGGAATGGAAGCAGAAGTCCAGTTAGGATTTTGTTGAGATCTAAGTGATCAGAAAGATTTTTTAAAGTGTGAAGCTAAGTATGTTGGATTAAGTACCTAACCTTGATACGAGGAAGTCTGGTAAAATAATTTAGCATTAGATAGGTTCAGTTGCTGAGGAATGTTTCTGAGGTCTGGCTGTCTTCAGGAGATGTCTTGCGTTGATTCTCACAGTTCCGTTGCTTTATCCACATCACAGGAAAGACTTGCAGAACTTGAATGAGCTAGAATCTGCGGGACACTGAATTACAACACTTAGCCTATTTTAGTGTGTTAGAGCAGAGGTCTCCAAACCCCAGGCCTTAGACCCAGACCATTTGCTGGCCCATTAGGAACCAGATGGCACAGCAGGAGGTGAGCTGTGGTTGAGTGAGCATTACCACCTGAGCTCCACCACCTGTCAGAGCAGTCCAACATTAGATTCTCATAGGAGCGTGAACGCTACTGTGAACTGTGCATGCAAGGGATCTAGATTGCATGCTCCTTATAAGAATCTAATGCCTGATGATCTGAGGTGAACAGTTTCATCCGGAAACCTTCCCTTCCACCCCTCCCTATCTGTGGAAAAATTGTCTTCCATGAAACTGGTCCAGTGTCAGAAAGGTTGGGGACTGCAGTTTTAAGAGTATTCTTATTAGCTTTGTAGTAATTTAATAATAATAAAAGCTACTATTTATTGAGGGCTTCCCACATGCCAGGTACTGTTTTAGGTGCTTTGTAGAATAACTCATTTGCAAGACAGGTATTTTCTTTCTTTTCTGGGGGAAAAATTGTAACGCACGAATTAAGTAACCTGTCCGAGATATACATGTAGTTCATGAACTTAATCTTTCTGCTATCAGTATAAGTCAGTATAGTAGGCTACAGTTGTTTTGTGTGTAATTAAATAAATATGACCTTTTTAGGTTATAGAAGCAATGCGTGTGCATTGAGAATAGTTTAAAAAGTACAAACAAGCAAAAAAAATTCTACTTTTTAACAGAAAGGTGTTATGATTTAGTGAAAATGCACTTGCCTAGGAATTAGGAGAATGGGGTTCCAGACCACAAACTTTATTGATAGCTGGATGCACTTGGATAAGTTATTGAACTTTCTGGAATTCATGATCCTCATTCATAAAGTAAGGATGTGGGCAGTCAGTTCTAATTATAGGAGTTGGAATTTCTTCAGTCCCTTCTAGCTCTTTAATTTTCTGTGATTCTATGGCAAAGCATTCTTTATCTGCCTTCATTGTTGAAGAAGACACTTTAAATGATAGTAATTTTGTGGAATCAATCTAGGACTGACTCATTTGATGAAAGTGGGATGTGGCTAATGTGTATAATTACTACCTGTGGTTGAATAAAACATTTATAAATTAATTCGTGCCCTTATTATATTAAAATAACCAATAATTTTACTGTTAAGTTTACAATTAATTTGCTGCTTAGTTTTTTAATACTAGAGAAGGGGAAACCTGTTCATTTCCAAGACATAGTTGACTGATGGGTCTACTTCCTACTTCCCACAGCCTCTAAAGAGAGCAATCACTACACTTATGGCTGGGATTTTGCGCTTAGTAGTTCAATGGCCCCCAGGCAGACTACAGGTAAGTGTTTCTTTTCAAGAATTTGTCTTTTCTACCCCTTATGAATTTTTTTTTTAATCATTACAAGGCAAGCTAAGTTCTTTTTTTTATTTTTTTGAGACGAAGTCTCTCTCTGTCACCCAGGCTGGAGTGCAGTGGCACAATCTGGGCTCACTGTAGTCTCTGCCTCCCTGATTCAAGCAATTCTCCTGCCTCAGCCTCCTGAGTAGCTGGGACTACAGGTGTCTGCCACTATGCCTGGCTAATTTTTGTATTTTTCATATAGTCGGGGGTTTCACCATATTGGCCAGGCTGGTCTCCAACTCCTGACCTTGTGATCCACCTGCCCCGGCCACCCAAAATTAAGTTATTTCACCAGTTCCTTTTCGAAATGGTTTAGATATTGAGAGTTAATCTTGTTTATGTATGGTTTTTCTGCTGTTTTATCCCTAAAGATCTAGAATCAAAAAAGATCTTTTTCTGGAAAACATGCCAATAAAAAATGGCTGTCATTGATTCCCCTTGGTCTGTCTTAATCTTAAAGTTTTAGGTTGTTTTTCCCCTTAGATTATGGAAGGAGTGCATTTTCAATAATAAAATATTAGAAAAATATAGAAAATCAGAAGGAAGAGAAATAATCTGTAAGAGACCCTCAGTGTTAGTATTTTCATGTGTCTCCTTCTAGGCTTGCTTTTAGAAAGTGCAGTGGTGCTGCCTAATCTGCTCATAAGGGCCAGAGCCTAGATGAGCCTATTGACCTGCTCCTGGCTGCAGAGGACAACAATGTAAGGGGCTTTGTATATATTACCTTAACCTCAGATTAATCCTGTGAGGTCAATATGAGTTCCTTTTTAGAGCTGAGGAAACTGACCCTCTGAGAGAGTAAGTGTCTCATGTCTCACAGCTGGTAGGCAGCAGAACTCAGCCCAGTGCCTGTCTTCTAGTGGTTTATGCCATCTCTGCAATGCAGGAAATGCTGGGAGGGAATGATGGGAATGACTGTTGCCCATTCCCACAGCAGTATCCTGGTATGAAAGGTTGGCAGTGAATCCTTTTTCTTCAGCAGCCTGAGAGAAATGGGATTGGAGGAATGTAGAGCAGGAACAAGAGGTAGGAACTAGGAGTGATGACATTGTTAGAACTAGGAGGGAAACTAGAAACTCATTTTGGATTTCTTTTGTATTGTCTTGTTAAATGTGAGTTATTGCACATTGTCTAGAGCAAGAGTTGATAAACTATGGCCTTTAGGCCAAATTCAGCCTCCCACCTATTTTTGTAAATAACAGTTTTATTGAAAAATATCCACACCCGGCTGGGCGCGGTGGCTCACGCTTGTAATCCCAGCACGTTGGGAGGCCAAGGTGGACGGATCACGAGGTCAGGAGATCGAGACCATCCTGGCTAACACGGTGAAACCCTATCTCTACTAAAAATACAAAAAAAAATTAGCTGGACGTGGTGGTGGGCGCCTGTAGTCCCAGCTATTCAGAAGGCTGAGGCAAGAGAATGGCGTGAACCCAGGAGGCAGAGGTTGCAGTGAGCCGAGATTGCGCCAGTGCAGTCCAGCCTGGGTGACAGAGCGAGACTCCGTCTCAAAAAAAAAAAAAGAAAAGTTTGCATATTGTCTGACTGCTTTTACCCTGTGATGGCCAAGCTGAGTTTTGGCAATGGAGACTACATAGCTCTAGAGCTGGAAATGTTTACTATCTGGTCCTTTACAGAAAACGGTTACCAATCCGTGGTCTAAAAGTATATTTATATGCTTTTAGCTTTATATTATGTTAGTGCTTAGATGGGATGCGTTCACTCAGCTAGGGAGCTAAGATATACCTTTAATAATTATAGGGTAGGTTGGAACAGACTTCTGTTACCTAAAGATTGGTGGGTATGGATTTCTCTACTGACAGAATTCTAAAAAACAAATGATTTATATCATATTTTAGACTGTGACAAAAGGTGTGGAGTCTCTTATTTGTACAGATTGGATTCGTCACAAATTCACCAGATCAAGAATTCCAGAAAAAGTAAGAACAAAGTTTGATTTTTTTAA
Organism: Homo sapiens; assembly: GCF_000001405.40. Lineage (NCBI taxonomy): Eukaryota > Metazoa > Chordata > Mammalia > Primates > Hominidae > Homo > Homo sapiens. The sequence goes on from NC_000002.12 coordinate 99,188,284, forward strand.
TGTTAGTGTTGTTTTAAAAAATGTTTTAAGTGGTACCCGTTTTTGTAATATTGGAAGATTTTATGTTAAATTATATGTGGATGTAGGTGATGGTACAGAGTTTAAAGCATAGTGGGATTTATGTGAATGGTGATCATAAAAATAAAACTGTTCTGTCACTTGTGTCACTGGCCTTCACAGTAATGGGTTTTTATTATTTCAGTCTACTTATTCCTGCTTGTGGTTTGTACATGTGTGTTGGTATCACCATTGTCCTGAGAAAGCAGTGGGTCTTCCTACTCAGGCTCTCACTGTGTCACTCTTCATTTTCACTTTCCGTATCGATCATTGTTACTTTGGATCTTTCAGCTTTTTCTATTTCATTTCTGTGTACCTATCATTCTTTTAGATAATATTGACTAAGCCCGCCATTGATTTTTGTTTAAAATTTTTTTTTAAAGAGAGTTTTGCTTTGTTGCCCAGGCTGGAGTGCAGTGGTGCAATCTCATCTCACTGCAACCTCCGTCTCCCGGGTTCAAACAGTTTTTGTGCCTCAGCCTCCAGAGTATCTGGGACCACAGGCCCGTGCCACCACACCCGGCTAATTTTTGTATTTTTAGTAGAGATGGGGTTTCATCATGTTGCCCAGGCTGGTCTTGCACTACTGATCTCAAGTGATCCACCCGCCTTGGCCTCCCAAAGTGCTGGGATTACAGGCGCCTGGCCTGTTTTTATTTGTTTTTTAATTAATAGTCTTTATTTCTTAAAGCAGTTTTAGGTTTGCAGAAACATTGATTGGGAAGTATGGAGAGTTCCTATGTGCTCCCTCCGCCCAGCATATACAGTGTCCCCCACAACTGATGAACCAACGGGACACAGTATTATTAACTAAATACCATAGTTTACACTAGTGTTCAGTCTTCATGTTGTGAAGTTCTATGGGTTTTGACAAATGCATAATGTCATGTATCCACTATTACAGTATTATACAGAATAGTTTCACTGCCCTAAGTATCACCTGTGGTTCACCTATTTATCCTTCCCAACTCCTAACCCCTGGCAAGCACTGATCTTTTTATTATCTCCATAGTTTTGCCTTTTCTAGAATGTAATATAGCTGAAATCATATGGTATGTAGCCCTTTCAAACTGGCTTCTTTCTCTTAGCAATATACCTGTAAGGTTCCTCCATGTCTTTTTGTGGCTTGCTTGCTTATTTTTTATTGCTGAATAATATCCCATTGCATAGACATACACAGTTTATGTGTGCATTCATCTATGGAAAAACATCTTGGTTGCTTCTAGTTTTGGACAGTAATGAACAAAGCTGCTATAAACATTCATGTATAGATTTTTGTGTGGACATAAATTTCCAACTCATGAGTTAAATACCTGGAGCATAATTGCTGGATTGTATGGTAAAGACTACATTTAGCTTTGTAAAGCCTGGGTTTTTTGTTTATTTGTTTTGGGTGGGGGGTTCCTAATATTTTTTATTGTGGTAAAATACACATATAACATTTACCATCTTAACCACTTTTAAGTGTGCTATTCAATGGCATTAAGTACATTGACACTGTTGTGCAACTATTACAACCATCCATCTCCAGAACTCTTTTCATCTTGCAAAACTGAAACTCTATATCCACTAAATAATAACTGCCAACCTAGGCAACATAAGGAGACCCAGTCTCTACCAAAAAAAAAAAAAAAATTAGATGGGTGTTGTGGTACACACCTGTAGTCCTAGCTACTCAGGAGGCTGAGCGGGGAGGATTGCTCAATCTCAAGAGGTTAAGGCTGCAGTGACCTATAATTGTGCCACTGCACTCCAGCCTGGACAACAGAGCAAGATCCTGTCTCAAAAATTAATAATAATAGTAACTCCCCATTTTCCCCTCTCCCTAGCTTCTGGTGACTACCATTCTCCATTGATTTTCTTAAAAGATAAAACAGTATTACCATTGACTACTTTGATACCTTTAATGTGCTTGGTGTTCTTTTATCAGAAATCTCATCCAGGTACAATGGTTCACACCTGTATTCCTAGCATTTTGGGAGGCTGAGGCAGGAGGATCTTTTGAGTCCAGGAATTCAAGACCAGCCTGGGCAACATAGTGAGACTCTGTATCTACAAAAAATTTAAAAATTAGCTAGGTGTGGTGGTGCATGCCTGCAGGCCCAACTGCTCAGGAGGCTGAGATGAGAGGATCACTTTAGCAAGAGGTCAAGGGTGTAGTGAGCCATGATCGGATCAGTGCACTCCAGCCTGGGCAACAGAGTGAGACCTTGTCTCAAAACAAAATAAAGAAATCTTTTTTATTTTTCAAGTCATTGTCTTTCCACTGCTATTCTTTCCACAACTATATTGTCTTATATCTTTCCATGTTTCTTACTCTGTATTTCTGGAAGGATAGATACAAATGTTGGCATTCATTTAAAATATGCAAGGCTAGGCACAGGCAGGAGAATAACACACACTGGGGCCTGTAGGGGGCGAGTGGAGGGAGACCACCAGGAAAAATAGCTAATGCATACTGGGCTTCATACCTAGGTGATGGGTTGATAAGTGTAGCAAATAGTGCAGCAGATTGCCATGGCACATGTTTACCTATGTAACAAACCTGCACATCCTATATTTGTGCCCTGGAACTTTAAATAAAATAAATGTGCAAGGCAGTGGTTTTGATCATCAACTGTGATAAATATGAAAACCTTTAAACCTCATGAAAATAGCCCCTGACTATCTTTTTTTTTTTTTTTGGAGACGGAGTCTCGCTCTGTCTCCAGGCTGGAGTGTGGTGGCGTGGTCTCGGCTCACTGCAACCTCCATCTCCCGGGTTCAAGCAATTCTCCTGCCTCAGCCTCCCAAGTAGCTGGGATTACAGGCATGTGCCACCACACCCAGCTAATTTTTGTATTTTTAGTAGAGACAGGGTTTCACCATGCTGGCCAGGATGGTCTTGATCTCCTGACCTCGTGATCCACCCCCCTTGGCCTCCCAAAGTGCTGGAATTACAGGCGTGAGCAACCACGCCTGGCCCCTGCCTATCGTCTGAACTTATTCCTGTATTCTCCTGTATTCTCAACTGGTTTCTAGACATTGCTACTTGGATAACTTATAGGTATTTCAAGTTCATATCCAAAATTCAACTCATCTTACTTTCCCTCCAAACAACCAAATAAAAAAGAGGGTGCGTCTCTTGTATTAGTTATGTCAGTTAATGCTACCATCCTCTATCTAATTTCCCAGACTAAAGACATCTGAATCAAGCTCAGCCTCCCTCTTCTTCACCCAACACAAATCCATCTATATTACTGCCCAGAGTTCCCATATCAGTCCTTTTTCTGTTACAGCTACTGTAGTTCAGGCTCTTAAACCATGGTCATAAGTGCCTCCTAACTGGGTTTCCTTGTATCAGTCTCTATCCCCAGTTGGTTTTATTCTTAGGTAAGAGTTTTCTTTGCAAATCTCATAGAAACATGGTCCTATTGGTTCTAACCTTCATTAACTCTGTATCCCCAGCGGTAATTTCTAAAGGCTCAACATAGTCGCGCATAGTTTAACTTCATCCTCTGCATTACTTTTCGTGCTTTTTTCTATATTAGCCACCCTGAACCACTTGCCTTTCCAAAATATTTTGTGCTCCTTCATACTGTTCCTTTAAATATTCTCACCTTTCTTTAGTGCACCTACCCCTTCCTCTGATCTCCACCATCCTTCTCATCCTAATCTCTTCAAAATCTCTAGAAAAATATAAACAAGCAAAACTCACCAAAAAATACTCTTAATCTTACCCACCCCGAGATAACTGCTGCCAACTCCTTCCACATCCTTCTTTGTTGTATGTTTTATTTTTTTCTTTTAGACTAGTCAAGTGCAGTAATGAGGAGGAAAGAGTAGAATACGGAGTTCAATCTGTGTTGTGTGTTTTAAGATGTGATTCATCTCATATGAATCAATGCTTCTCTAGCTGCTCTCTCTGTTTAGTAATATAATATGAACCTCTCACTGTATACATTTTTTTTTAAGTTCCGGTATACACGTGCAGATTTGTCACATAGGTATATATGTGCCATGGTGGTTTGCTGCACCTATCAACCCGTCATCTAGGTTTTAAGCCCTACATGCATTAGGTGTTTGTCCTAATGGTCTCCCTTTGCCCCCGACTCCCCGTGTGTTCTCATTGCTCAACTCCCACTTATGAGTGAGAACATGCGGTATTTGGTTTTCTGTTCCTGTATTAGTTTGCTGAGGATGATGGCATCCAGCTTCATCCATGTCCCTGCAAAGGACATGACATCATTCCTTTTTATGGCTGCATAGTATTCCATGGTGTATATGTACCACATTTTCTTTATCCAGTCTATCATTGATGGGCATTTGGGTTGGTTCCATGTCTTTGCTATTGTAAGTACTGCTTCAATAAACATACATGTGCATGTGTCTTTATAGTAGAATGATTTATATTCCTTTGGGTATATACCCAGTAATGGGATTGCTGAGTCCAATGGTATTTCTGGTTCTAGATCCTTGAGGAATCACCACACTGTCTTCCACAATGGTTGAACTAATTTACATTCCCACCAATAGTGCAAAACCATAAAAACCTCAGAAGAAAACCTAGGCAATACCATTCAGGACATAGGCATGGGCAAAGCCTTCATGACTAAAACACCAAAAGCAATTGCAACAAAAGCCAAAATTGACAAATGGGATCTAATTAAACTAAAGAGCTTCTGCACAGCAAAAGAAACTCGCATCAGAGTGAGCAGGCAACCTACAGAATGGGAGAAAAATTTTGCAATCTACCCATCTGACAAAGGTCTAATATCCAGAATCTACAAGGAACTTAAATTTACAAGAAAAAAACAAACAATCCCATCAAAAAGTGGGCAAAGGAAATGAACAGACACTTCTCAAAAGAAGATATTTATGTGGCCAAGAAACATATGAAAAAAAGCTCATCATCACTGATCATTAGAGAAATGCAAATCAAAACCACAATGAGATACTACCTCATGCCAGTCAGAGTGACGATTATTAAAAAGTCAAGAAACAATAGATGCTGGCAAGGCTGTGGAGAAATAAGAACGCTTTTACACTGTTTACATTTCTACAAAACTGTTTTTAATCATGAATGATATTCTTTTTTATTAAAATACCATCTTTTTGGGGGTCAATTTTTTTTCTAAATCTGCTTCCCCAGAGCTATGACTCTTGATCTAATGTCTTTGAGACCTTTATATATATTTTATATGAGTCTTAGAAACAGTATTTATAGAATATATCACATATGCACACTCATGTATTTGGTACAGATGATGCACATAACAGCTTACAACACATAATTGTGTGGACATTTCTTTTTGGTTTTTGGCTCAAGAATATATTATGGCCATCATTCAATGTGAAGACCTGCAAAGATAGTAAACCTCATTCATTTTAATGGTAGTATTGTATCCTATAGGATACATCAGAATTTGTGTATTTGCGCCAGGCGTGGTGGTTCACACCTGTAATCCTAGCACTTTGGGAGGCCAAGGCGGGCGGATCACAAGGTCAGGAGTTCGAGACCAGCCTGGCCAACATGGTGAGACCCCCATCTCTACCAAAAATAGAAAAATTAGCTGGGCACGGTGGTGTGCGCCTGTAATCCCAGCTACTCGTGAGGCTGAAGCAAGAGAATCGCTTGAACCTTGGGGGCAGAGGTTGCAGTGAGCCAAGATCGTGCCATTGCACTCCAGCCTGGGCGATAGAGCAAGACTCCATCTCAAAAAAAAAAAAAAAGAATTTGTGTATTTGTATCATTTTACTTAGTTTTATTATTAATCATTTTATTTAGAATGGATGCATCATAATGTAGTTATCATGGTGAGGAACACGGGTTGCCTTTAAACTTTTCAGTGTTACACATAGTGTTAGAATACACATCCTTATTCGGTATATTTTGTATACTTAGAGGAGTGTTTCTGTGGGATAGTTTCTTAGAACCTTTTGATTCTTAGATAATTAATTCAAGTATTAGCTCTGTGGAGCTGTTTCTGATCGCTCATAGGCAGAGTTCATTAGTCATTTGCCTGTATTCTCATAATACTTTGTAGATTCTTTTTATAATACTTATGTTTTATTTTCATTTTTAATTTACATGTTTGTTTTCCCACTTGATAGTCAGCTCTTCACCTGAGAATAGGGAGGGAAGAGGATGCAGCCCAGTGCCCAGCTCATAGCAGTGCTTACAGATTCTCCTGACATTTAAATTATTTAGTGTTGTCTGGTTGCTCCTGCTTTGTTCTACAGGTTAAACTCCATCTATCTGCATAATCAGATTGATAGAAATGTTCAATCTGAGGTTGAGGATTACATGATGATTAAGGATGAGGTAATTATGTAGTTGTGTATGTGTGTGTGTCTTTTAAGAAAAAATGGGAGGTACACAGAAACTGTGTAAGTTGGAAATTTACCATTTATAATTCTTTCCTTTCTAGGTGTTTCAGGCCTCACCTGAAGATCATGAAAAATACGGTGGGGATCCACAGAACCCTCATAAACTGCATATTGTTACCAGAATAAAAAGTACAAGAAGACGTCCATATTGGGAAAAAGATATAATAAAGATGCTTGGATTAGAAAAAGTATGCAATTATTTTAATCATCTTTAGTGTTGTTTACATTGCTTTAAATTTTATACTTTTAAAACTTTGCGGTATACATTTATTATTTATTTTGTATTACTTAGGGTAATTTATTTATAAATTTGGCTTAGAATGAACCTTCAATTTAACATTTTACTGAAACATGGAACTATCTGCTTTTCAGATTGATAACGTTGCTTTGTTGTTGTTGTTCACAGGCACATACCCCTCAAGTTCACAAGAATATCCCTTCAGTGAATGCAAAATTGAAAGTAGTTAAGCATTTGATAAGGTTTGTTGTTTCTTCTCAGCTCTTTTTAAAATGTATTGCCTAGTGTAATTCTAAATGCATTTTTCTTTTTTCGTTAATGTTCTGAAAAAAACTTTTTAAAAAACTAAAATTTTATTTTGTTTTTTTTTAATTGACACATAATAATTGTACATATTTATGGGGTACATAGTGACGTTTCAATATATATAAAGTATAGTGATCCGATCAGGGTAATTGGCATATCCATCATCTCAGACATTTACCATTTCTTCATGTTGGGAACATTCAACATCCTCCTCCTAGCTATTTGAAACTATGTGTTATTGTTAACTGTAGTTATCCTGCGGGGATATAGAACGCTAGAACGTATTCCTCCTATCTAAACGCATTTTCTTGTGTCACAGAATCAAGCCCTTGAAGTTGCCACAAGGACTTCCAGCAGAGGAGAACATGTCTAACACGTGCCTCAAAAGCACTGGGGAGTTAGTAGTGCAGTGGCATCTGAAACCTGTGGAGCAGAAAGCACATGAGTCCTAATGCCCCAGCAGCTTCCGATTGGAAAATGCAAATTGTTTTTATTTAAAGATGGTGAGAAAGTGTTTTCATTAAAATATGTTTTCAAAACCATTTTCAGGCCGGGCACGGTGGCTCACCTGTAATCCCAGCACTTTGGGAGGCCAAGGCGGGCAGATCACCTGAGGTCAAGAGTTCGAGACCAGCCTGACCAACATGGAGAAACCCCCATCTCTACTGAAAATACAGAATTAGCCAGGCATGGTGGCACATGCCTGTAACCCAGCTACTCGGGAGGCTGAAGCAGGAGAATCACTTGAACCCGGGAGGCAGAGGTTGCAGTGAGCTGAGATGGTGCCACTGTACTCCAGCCTGGGTGATAGGATGAGACTCCATCTCAGGGGAAAAAAAAAAATTTTTTTTTCACTGACTAAACCTGCTGCAGCTCTCTTTTACTACAGACTTGGAGATTTTAGTTTAATTTGGTTTAATTCTCTGTCCTTTCCCTTTCACTGTTTCACTCCAAAACATGTAAGAATGGCAATGTTTGAACATCTGCGTTTGGGTCTACTGCCACCTTAGCAAGCCTCATTAACCATTTTATAAAAATTGCGTTAGTATTGTTGTTGTTGTTTTTGAGACAGGGTCTTGCTCTGTCACCCAAGCTGGAATACAGTGGCATGATTTCAGTTCACTGCAGCCTCGACCTCCCAGGCTCAAGTGATCCTCCCACCTCAGCCTCCAGAGTAGCTAGGACTACAGGCAGTGTGCCACCACATCCAGCTAATTTTTTAAAGTTTTTTCATAGAGACAGGGACTCACTATGTTGTCCAAGCTGGTCTCAAACTCCTGGGTTCAAGCCATCCTCCCACCTCAGCCTCCCAAAATGCTGGGATTACAGGCATGAGCCACTGTACCCAGCCAAAATTGTTTTCTTTTTTAAGTGAATTCAACAATTTCTGTGAGTGGCTCTTTGCATGAACACTGTGCAAGGTGTTGGAGAAATCCAAAGCTGACCAAAACATGGTCCCCACCTTTTGGAGCTTACAGTCTGTTCTGGGGAACAGAGATTCAGCCAAAGTCAAGAAACACTGGATGCCAGCTAGATTATCTGTTCTGTGCTTTGGTGTCTATAAGTACATATGTGGATATGGGTTCATTTTATCCCTAAACTTAGTACCAAACCAGCATTTAATATCTAATTATAAATCTAATTTGGCCTAAACTTTATTATTGCACACTGCCTGAACAAAACCTATTTGTCTCTATGTAAATTTTTTCCTCATGGAACAAGGGTGTGAAATGAAAATATTTTAGGATTTATTCAAAAACAGACTATTCTGTTTTCAGCTTCAGAATTGTTCTTTGAATCCTAAGGAACCTCTGTCAACAGTTGAGGTTGCTGTTGAAAAGAAAGAAGAAGGAGGCGGAAATCTCTCAGGGAGAATTATTTCCTTTCTTTTCTATTTTAGATACCTGGAGGGGTGGGGAGAAGTAAGAATTGTAAGGGAGGTTCAGTAGTGGGGAATTCTGTGACAGCTGATTGAAGATGATGATGAAGAACCTCTGCATTCTAGTTACCCTTTGCTTCCCTTCACCTCTTGTAAAATTTGGCTTGGCAACAATGACATTGTCATGCTTATTGTCCCAATATCCATCCTGTCGTAGATCTTAATGTTTTTGATCGTTGCGTTAAAGTGGAAGTGCCACCCACAGTGAAACCAGATCCCATTAATAAATAAGCTTAAAGGCAACTGCAGTTTTAATTCCATAGTTATTGAATATCCAGTGTGTGTAAGGCCTGGAGGGGAGCCAAAGGACACTAACTTCTAAGAGCTCCGTCTAGTTGGAGAGAAACCTGTGTGCCACAACATACAGTGTCCTTGCTTATGTGGGGTCGAAGACATCTGTGAAAATAAAAGCAGCCTCTGCTAATTTAGCGCCATCTCTTTTACTGTGCTAATTTTTTTTTCTTTAGAGACAGGGTCTCACTCTGTCGCCCAGCCTGGAGGGCAGTGGTGTGATCGTAGCTCACTATTACCTCCAACTCTTGGGCTCAAGTGATCCTCCCACCTCAGCCTCCTGAGCAGCTAGGACTACAGATACATGCCACCGCTCCCGGCTAGTATTTTTTAAAATTTTTTGTAGAGCCAAGTGTTGCTATGTTGTCCACACTGATCTGGAGCTTCTAATCTCAAATGATTCTCCTGCCTCAGCCTCCCAAAGTGCTGGGAATACAGGTGTGAGCCACCATACCTGGCCTTACTGTACTAATATTAATATTGTGTAAATAGGGGAAAATACCATGGTTAATTTTTACTCAAACAGTAAGAAAGTTTGAGTAACTAATTTTAATCTCAACAGCCCATAGCTAGAAGAGGGGATCTAAATGTTAAGTTGAATATTTAGAAATAAAAGTGTCTACAAGAAGAAAAGTCTTTAGTGAAAATATGGGCATAGGCCAGCAGCATTAGCTTTCTATTGCTGCAGAACAAATTACCACAAACTTAGCTGCTTAAAACAACACACACTTATTGTCTCACAATGTTTGTGGGTCGGAAGTCTAGGCGTGGCTTAGCTGGGTAGTCTGTTTAGGATCTCAGTGCTGGAAAAACGTGTCTGGCCAGGTGCTCATTGTAGCTTTGACAGGGAAGGGATCTGCTCCCAAGCACTCTCAGGTTGTTGGCAGAATTTGTTTCCTTATGGCTGTAGGATTCATGGCAAGTTGCTTCTTCCAAAACCAGCATTGGAGACAGACTAGCAAGATGGGCACTACACTCTTAGATAATCAAATAAATGCAATCATGTGCCTCGTGTCACCTTTTTTGCATTCCATTCATTAAGAACAAGTTGCAGTTCCTACCTACACTCAAGGAAGGGAGGAATTACACAGAAGTGTGACCACAGGAGGCAGGGCTCATGGAGGCCTCCTTAAAGTCCCCCAGCCAAACCTGAAAAGTCAATCCTGGACCTTATCATAGTGGCTGTATAGTTTAGAAGGTTTCTTCAGATTGGCATTCCTTTGCCTCATATCATCACTTCAAAACCCTATAAGGGTTTGTTCCTCGGTCTTGACTTTGTGTCTTTGAGGATTGCTTTGTTTAGTGTCACCTGCCTTCTTTCAGGAGGTTTTGCCTGACATCTGGTGGTGACCGTGGCCACCAAGTCAACCCAAACACTACCTTTAAGGACGACTGCAGTTCTCTTAGGGTCTCCTCAATCTAAAATTGTACCTCTTTCAGGCCAAACACCTATTTTCTTCATTTTTTTTTTCTCATAAGAATGCTAGCTAGTATGCCTATTATCTAACTGGCACAGTTTCACCAAGGACAGTTTGGAACTACACAGGCCATTTTAGGGAGATTTTGACATGAACAAGATTGCTTCTTTGGGAGGTACCTTAAAATGAAAAGCAAAGAAACTTCCATGCGGAGATTGTCTTGTTTTTCTCAAAATGGGATAATTTTGCTTAACATAAGTAGTATCCCTTCCTTCCTTTCCATACTTTGAGAATTAATAAGGACTAGCTTTTTGATCACACAGCTTGATAAAATTTTCAAGGGTCCAAATTACTGTCTAAACCATTTGCCACTCTTTGTGTATATTTGTCAAAATCTGCTTTTCTATATCAAAACTTTTCTCTCAAGACCTGAGGGAATTAATTAATAAGGAATCCTTGGAACACTGGAAATTCTAAAATAAGAGTCAGATACAAAACACTGGTCACTAAAATTCTTACCTTTATGTATTAGAATGGCAATCAATGAACAAACTGAAAATGTCTTTGGATATTATTTCTGTTTATTTTTTGCCTCAAAATTATTAAATGACATGAAATAAGTGCTCAAGAAGAAAAATAAACAATTCTTCATTTCCTGTTCTCTAGTTTTCCGTATTACCTGGAAAAAAGAAAATTTGTTGGTCACTTTAAAGATAATATAAACAGCTGAACATGGTGCACACCCCGACTCCCCACCCCACTCCCATGCCTGTAATCCTAGCGCTTTGGGATGGCAAGATGGATCACTTGAGTCTAGGAGTTTGAGGCTGTGATGAACTATGATTGCACCACTGCACTCCAGCCTAGGCAACAGGGCGAGATCCTGTCTCAAAAAAGAAAAAAGAAAAACAGAGCGGTACAATTACTGTCTCCCAAAAGATTATTTCCATTATTCTAGATTCACCAGTCCTCCATACCTCTTTTCTTTTTATTATAAAGCTGAACAGGCACTAGGGTACTGATTGAACTAAGTGGAAATCACCAGGGGTCCATTGCTTATTTCGTAAGATCCAGTAGCCAAGACATACTCACCCCATCTGAGAACTATAGCAGTAGCAATAAAAGTGAAAACTTCAGTTGATTTAGTTCCAGGGTTTCCACTAAACTTGACAGCTTCCCATGCTGTGCTGTACAGGGTCTTCTACTGACAGTAAACTCGCAGGATTTTTCAGCTACTTACCTAGTCTCCCATGAATTTTGTTGCTTTGCTTTTACACATCACTGGCCTATATTACAACACTCTAAACTCAGCCACTTCCTTCACCCAAAAAAGCAACCGCCCATAATTGCTTACCCCTCTTAGGGAACGATCCATACCCTGCACAGACTTAGAGATTCCCTTGGAGAACTGATTTAATTGTGGTTTTAGATTATTCACACTTAAAAAGTGAAACTAAAAATTGCCAAGTACAGTCAGGCGTGGTGGCTCATGCCTGTAATCCCAGCAACTTGGGAGGCTGAGGTGGGGGGATGGCTTGAGGCCAGGAGTTTGAGACCAGCCTGGGCAACATAGTGAGACCCCATGTCTAAAACAACAAAACAAAAAATTTTAACTTAGCTGGGTGTGGTAGCACATGCCTGTAGTCCCAGCTGCTGAGGAGACTGAGGTGGGAGGATTGCTTCAGCCTGGGATTTCAAGGCTGCAGTGAGCTATGATTGTGCCACTGCACTACAGCCTGGGCGACAGACTCCCCTGGGGTGGGGCGGGGGGGAATGCTATGTAGACTATCATCATAGTCAAAGCTTTTCTCAGAAATCGTATTCATTTAGTTTGGCTAAATTAATTGCCCCCTCCCAGATCTGCCAAGTTACAAAAGTAAATATTTATATTGATACAATAGGAGGTATTTGATGTGGGGGTAGTGTATGACTTTGCAATGCTTTAGAAACAACAACAAAAATCACCTGACCACTACAGGAACCCCTGTAGAATTGACAATGAATTAAAGAGCCTTGACATGCTTTGCTGTTATGGAAGGAGATGGCCATAAGAAAAATGGAAATTAGCAAAACTATTTTGTGATATTACCCACAATAGCAGAGAAGAATTGGCAAAAGTATTGAACCAAGATTGATAGGGTAATTTAAGCATATTGCTGAGGATGTTTTGAATGTGTGTCCCACCTGCCAGTGACATAATCCTGACAAGATCGTTATAACAGGACCTAGGAATCTTGAGGCCCATTGAACACCTTGATTTTCTATCAGCTAGCCAAGGAGGACTTGATACTATCACAAACATTTCTTGCTGTACTTACACACTACAGGGCAAGCAAAACAGAAAATATTAAGATAAACAAAAAAGCCACCTGACTCCCTAAAAGACCCATCTGGATTCTGGGACATGTTTCTTCACCTGGGTTTTATAATCTGGTATCCCAGCATTAAGACCCGTTATAAGACTCATCATCCTTTTGTTTCTGGTAATGGCCTGTTACAGTTGGTTGATGTACACTGTCCAAAATCTGGAATGCTGCTCTGTACCCACTGTCAAGTCAAAGGTCTCAACAGCTCATCCTGCAACAGGAGAAGGGATTAGCTCTAGCCCAACTACAGACCATGCTTCCGGGACATCCTCCTGGTCTTGACAGTGGTGAAAATCTGGATGTCATGAATTCTGTGGCCTGACTTCACCTGCCCTTGACTAAAGAGGGGGATTGAGGAAAAGAAAAAGCAACTTCTGACAGCCAGGAACTGGCCTGGAACTCTCAGGCCTTGGTGTTTCCAGGAGCTGGCCTGGCCTCACAGGTGGTGTTCTTCTGTTGAACATAAGGAATTTCACAGAACATCAACATCAGATAAAGCTGCACTGAATGTAATGGATCATGGCAAAAACAAGACCACTCTAGAGTCATGTCTGAGCACAGACCAAAACATGAATGTGATTCAAGTCACAAAAATAACCAAGCATCCACCTATTCTGGCTAATGTGGGTCACTGCAGCTTTGCCAATCACAGCTTGAGCTTCATTTCATTTCTCCCTCCTTCTAGGTAACATTGATTAAGATACCAATCACAGAATCATCTTTCTCCTGACAGCATCCAATCCAGAGCAAAACCTACTTTTTGAAACACTCACCAAAATAACCTGATAAAAGCCCAGATCCTTTCCAAACCCCTCTTCCTGGACTGCTCCACATGGGGACATGGGGTGGTTCTCCTCACTGCAGTGAGCACAGGCCTTCACTTCTCAGTGGACCCGACCAGGCCTGTTTGTCACATCCCTGCTGGAGTGCCTCATGCAGGTCTGTTTGCCCACTCTGTCCCCTGTCTAGGCTCCCAGCAATTATCCCTCATGGTCTCCTCCTGATTAATGGGCCCTGCCCCACCACACTTTTTCCACCCCATCCCTGGCTTTCCTTCTGCCAGCACAGCCTTCTCTACTGTTGCCCCAGCTGTTCTCAGACATTTTCTCACTCCCACCGTGGTGGTAAGACTTACCACCTCTGCTCCAGAGTCTCAGGCCACTGTGTCCTCTTCACCATCCATCCGACCCCTACCATGTGCTTCCTCATCTTGGCCACCAGGGTCTTCTTGGTCATCAGACCCTACTTCTTTTTTTATTATTATTTTTAATTATTATGGATACATAATAGCTGTATAAATGTATGGGATACATGTGATGTTTTGATACAGGCACATAGTGTGTAATAATTGTATCCAGGTAATTGGTGTATTCACCACCTCGAGCATTTATTATTTCTGTTAGAAACATTCCAATTCAATTTTCAGTTATTTTTAATTATACAAGAAAAATTTGGGAGGCTGAGGTGGCAGGATCACTTGAGGCCAGGTGTTCAAAACCAGCCTGGGCAACATAGCAAGACCCCGTCTTTACAAAAAAAATTTTAAAAATGAGCTGGGTGAGGTGGTGCACACCTGTAGTCCTAGCTACTCAGGAGACTGAGGCAGGAAGATCACCTGAGCTCAGAATTTGAGGCTGCAGTGAGCTATGATTGTGCCACTGCACTCTGGCATGAGCAACAGAGTAAGACACTATCTCTAAAAAATAAAAAATATGTATATAATAAATTATTGTTGACTATGGTCACCCTGTTATGCTAATACTAGATCTTATTCACTCTATATTTTTGCACTCATTAACCATCTATACTTTTTCCCCCATCCCCACTACCCTTCCCAGTCTCTGGTAACCATTATTCTACTATCTCTATGATCTCAATTGTTTTAATTTTTGCATATGAGTGAGAACAAGCAAAATTTGTCTTTTTGTGCCTGGGTTATTTCACTTAACCTAATATCCTACAGTTCCATCTATATTGTTGCAAAAGTTGGGATTCCATTTTTATGGCTCAATAATATTCCATTGTACATATGTACCACATTTTCTTTATCCATTCATCCACTGATAGACACTTAAGTTGATTCCAAATCTTGGCTATTGTGCAGTGTAAATGTAAATCTGCACTCCATGCAATAAACATGGAGTGCAGATATCTCTTCAATATACTGGTCTTTCTTTTGGATATATACTTAACAATGGCATTACTGGATCATATGGTAGCTCTATTTTTAGTTTTTTGAGGAACCTCCATAATGTTCTGCATAGTGGCTGTACTAATTTACATTCCCACCAACAGTGTACAAGGGTTTCCCTTTCTCCACATCTTTGGCAGCATTCGTTATTGTCTGTCTTTTGGATAAAAGCCATTTTAACTGGAGTTAGATATTATCTCATTGTAGTTTTAATTTGCATTTCTCTGATGATTAATGATGTTGAACATTTTCTCACCTACCTGTTAGCCATTCGTATGTCTTCTTTTTTTTTTTTTTTTTTGAGAAATGTCTAATCAGATATTTTGCCCATTTTAAAATTGGATTATTTGATTTTTTCCTATTGAGTTGTTTAACCTCCTTATATATTCTGGTTATTAATCTCTTGTCAGATGGGTAGTTTGAAAATATTTTCTCCCATTCTGTCGGTTGTCTCTTCACTTTGTCGATTATTTCTTTTGCTGTGCAGAAGCTTTTTAGCTTGAAGTGATCCCTGTTACCCATATTTGCTTTTGTTGCTTGTGCTTTTGAGGTATTACTCAAGGAGTCTTTGCCCAGATCAATGTCTTGGAGCATTTCCTTAATGTCCTTCTCTTCTCTTCTCTTCTCCTCTTTTCTCTTCCTTTTTCCTTTATTTATTTATTTCTCTTTTCTTCTCTTTCTTTCAACAAGGTCTCACTCTGTCTCCCAGGCTGGAGTACAGTGGTGCATTCATAGCTCACTGCAACCTTGGACTCCTGGGCTCAAGTGATTCCCCAATCTCAGCCACCTGAGTAGCTGGGACTATAGGTGTTAGCCACCACACCTGGCTATTTTTATTTTATTTCTGTAGAGACAAGGTCTTACTATGTTGCCAAGGCTGGTCTTGAATTCCCAATGTTCTCTTTTAGTAGTTTCATAGTTTCAGGTGTCAGATTTAAGTCTTTAAGCCACTTTGATTTGATTTTTTTATATGGTGAGAGATAGGGGTCTAGTTCATTATTCTGCATATAGACATCTAGTTTTCCCAGCACCATTTATTGAAAAGACTGTTCTTTCCCCAATGTATGTTCTTGGCAGCTTTGTCAAAAATGAGTTCATTGCAGATGTGTGGATTCATTTCTGAATTCTCTACTGTTACATTGGTCTATGTGTCTGTTTTTATACCAGTACCATGCTGTTTCGGGTCTCTAGTTCTACAATAAACTTCAAAGTCAGGCAATGTATTTTTCTGGTTTTGTTCTTTTTGTTCAGGATGGATTTGGCTATTCTGGATCTTTTGTGGTTCCATATAAATTTTAGGATAATTTTTTCTATTTCTGTGAAGAATGTTATTGGTATTTTGATAGGGATTGCACTGAATCTGTAGATTGGGTAATATGAACATTTTAACAACATTGATGTTTTTCAATCAATGAACATGGAATATCTTTCTTTTTTTTTTTTTTTTTTTTTTTTTTTTTTTTGAGACAAAGTTTCACTCTTGTTTCCCAGGCTGGAGTGTAATGGCACAATTTTGGTTCACCGCAACCTCCGCCTCCTGGGTTCAAATGATTCTCCTGCCTCAGCCTTCGGAGTAGCTGGGATTACAGGCATGCGCCACCATGCCTGGCTAATATTTTGTATTTTTACTAGAGATGGGGTTTCACCATGTTAGTCAGGCTGGTCTCGAACTCCTGACCTCAGGTGATCTGTTGCAGGAAGTCAGAGACCCTGAACGGAGGGATCTGCCGAAGCCATGACAGAAGAACATAAATTGTGAAGATTTCATGGACATTTATCACTTCCCCAATCAATACTCTTGTAATTTCCTATGCCTGTCTTTACTTTAATCTCTTAATCCTATCATCTTCATAAGCTGAGGATGTATATCGCCTCAGGACCCTGTGATGATTGCATTAACTGCACAAATTGTTCATAAAGCATGTGTGTTTGAACAATGTGAAATCTGGGCACCTTAAGAACAGGATAACAGTGATTCTCAGGGAACAAGGGAGATAACCTTAAAGTCTGGCTGCCTGTGGGCTGGGCTGGACAGAGCCATATTTCTCTTATTACCCAAAATGGGCAAGAGAAATATCGCTGAATTCTTTCCCCAGTGAGGAATATTAATAATTAACAGCCCTGGGAAAAGAATGCATTCCCAGGGAGAGCCTCTAAAATGGCTGCTCTGGGGGTGTCTGTCTTGTGCAGTTGCAGATAAGGGATGAAACACTCCCTGGCCTCCTGCAGCACCCCCAGGCTTGCTAGGATTAGGAAATTCCAGGCTGGCGAATTCTAGTCAGACCGGTTCTCTGCCATTGAACCTGTTAAGATGTTTACAATGACAATGCGTGCACAGCGGGACATGGAACTTCATTAGTAACTCTAGTTTTGCCCTGACCTTGTGATCTCACCCTCACCTTCTGCCTTGTGATCTTTTGTCACCCTTGAAGCATGTGATCTCTGTGACCCACACCCTGTTCGTACACTCCCTCCCCTTTGAAAATTGCTAATAAAAATTTGCTGGTTTTACGGCTCAGGGGGCATCACGGAACCTGCCAACATGTGATGTCTGCCCCGGACACCCAGCTTTAAAATTTCTCTCTTTTGTACTCTTTCCCTTTATTTCTCAGACCGGCCGACTCTTAGGGAAAATAGAAAAGAACCTATGATGAAATATTAGGGGTGGTTCCCCCAATAGTGGTCCACCCACCTCAGCCTTCTAAAGTGCTGGGATTACAGGCGTGAGCCACCACGCCTGGCCTATCTTTCCATTTTTTGTGTGTCCTCTTCCATTCTTTCATATGTGTTTTATAATTTTTATTGTAGAAATATTTCACATGGTGAGCCACCCTGGCATCCCAGGGATGAATTTCACTTGGTTATGATGAATGACCACTTTCATGTGTTGTTGAATTCAGTTTGCTTGTATTTTATTGAGATTTTTTGCATCTATGTTCATCAGAGGTATTGCCCTGTAGTTTTCTTTTTTAGTATGTCTTTGTCTGTTTTTGGTATCAGAGTAATACTGGCCTTATAGAATTCATTTGGAAGTATTCCCTCCTCCTTGATTTTTTTGTAATAGTTTGAGTAGGATTCATTTTAGTTCTTCTTTAAATGTTTGGTAGATTTCAGCAGTAAAGGAATCAGATCCAGGGCTTTTCTTTGCTGGAAAACTTTTTTTTTTTTTTTTCAGACGGAGTCTTGCTCTGTCACCCAGGATGGAGTGTAATGCCACGGTTTCAGCTTACTGCAATCTCTCTGCCTCCTGGCTTCAAGCATTTCTCCTGCCTCAGCCTCCCGAGTAGCTGGGACCACAGGTGCGTGCCACCATGGCTGGCTAATTTTTGTACTTTTAGTAGAGACGGGGTTTCACCATGTTGACCAGGCTGGTCTTGAACTTCTGACCTCAAATGATCCACCTGCTTCGGCCTCCCAAAGTGCTGGGATTACAGGCGTGAGCCACTGTGCCCAGCCTGGAAAACTTTTTACTATCTCTTTGATCTTGTTACTTGTTATTGGTCTATTCCGGTTTTGGATTACTTCATGTTTCAATCTTGTATGTATCTAGGAATTTATCCATTTCTTCTAGGTTTTCCAATTCATTGGCATATAGTTGCTCATAGTGCTTTCTAGTGATCCTTTGAATTTCTGTGGTATCAGTTGTAACATCTCTTTTTAAAATCTCTGATTTCATTTATTTTAGTTTTCTCCCTTTTTTCTTAGCAGGATAAAAGTTTCTCAGTTTGTTTATCTTTTCAAAAAAAATCAGTTTTTCATTTCATTTATTTGTTCATTTATTCTTTTTTTTTTTTTTTTTTTTGAGACAGAGACTTGCTCTGTCTCTGTCACCCAGGCTGGAGTGCAATGGCACAATCTCAGCTCACTCTAACCTCTGCCTTCGGGGTTCAAGTGATTCTCATGCCTCTGCCTCTTAAATAACTGGGATTACAGGTGCACATCACCATGCCCAGCTAATTTTTGTGTTTTTAGTAGAGATTGTGTTTCACCATATTGGCCAGGCTGGTCTTGAACTCCTGAGCTGAAGTGGTCAGCCCTCATTGGCCTCCCAAAGTGCTAGGATTACAGGCATAAGCCACCATGCCCAGCCTGTGTTTTTTTTTTTTTTTTTTAGTTTCACTTTTGTTTATTTATGCTCTGATCTTTATTTTTTTTTCCACTAATTTTGGATTTGGTTTGCTCTTGCTTTTCTAATTATTTAAGATGTATTGTTAATGTATTAGTTTGTTCTCACACTGCTATAAATATACTACCTAAGACTGAGTAATTTATAAGCAAAAGAGGTTTAATTGACTCACAGTTCCACATGGCTGTGGAAGCCTCAAGAAACTTACAATCAGGGTGGAAGGTGAAGGGAAAGCAAGGCACATCTTACATAGAAGTAGGTGAGAGAGAGAGAGTGTGTGTGCAGGGGAAGAGCCACACACTTATCAAACAACCAGTTATCATGAGAATTCTATCACAAGAACAGCAAGCGGTAAGACCACCTCCATGATTCAGTCACCTCCAACCAGGCCACTCCTCTAACATGTGGGGATTACAATTCAAGACAAGATTTGGGTGAGGACACAGAGCCAAACCATATCATTTAGGTTGTTTGATGTGAAGTTTTCCTACCTTTTTTGATGTAGGTGCTTATTGCTATAAACTTTCCTCTTAGTGCTGCTTTTCTTGTATCCTGTATGGGTATGTTGTGTTTCCATTTTCATTTGTTTCAAGAGACTTTTAAATTTCCTTCTTGATTTCTTCATTGACCTGCCGGTCATTCTGGAGCATATTGTTTAATTTCCATGTATTTGTATAGTTTCCAGAGTTCTTTCTATTGATTTCTAGTTTTATTCCATTATGATCTAAGAAGATACTTGATATTATTTCAATTAAAAAAATTTTAAGACTTTGTTTTGTGGCCTAACATATGTTCTATTCTTTAGAATGATCCATGTGCTGAGAAGAATGTGTATTCTGTAGCCATTGGATGAAATGTAAATATCTGTTGTGTCCATTTGGTGTATAGTGCAGATTAATCTGATGTTTCTTTGTTGAGTTTCTGTTTGGATGGTCTGTCCAATGCTGAAAGTGGGTGTTGAGGTCTCTAGCTAATATTGTATTGAAATCTATCTCTCTCTTTAGCTCTGATAATATTTGCTTTATAAATCTGGGTGCTCCAGTGTTGGGTACATATATATTTACAGTTGTTATATCCTCTTGCTCCCTTTATCACTATATAATGACCTTTTTTGTCTTTTTTTATAATTTTTGTCTTGTCTTGAAATATATTTTTTCTGATGTAAGTGTAGCTATTCTTGCTCTTTTTTTGGTTTCCATTTGCATGTAATATCTTTTTTCAACCCTTTGTTTTCAGTCTGTGTGTATCTTTATAGGTAAAGTGAGTTTCTTGTAGCCAGCATATAGTTGGGTCTTTTTTCTTAATTCCTTTAGCCACTCTATGTCTTTTAATTAGAAAGTTCAGACCATTTACATTCTATGTTATTGATAGGTAAGGACTTACAAACTGTTGCCATTTTGTTATTTGTTTCTGGTTGTTTTGTCAGCCTCTCTTCCCTCCTTCCTTTGGTCTTTCTTTGTGTAAAAGTGATTTTCCCTGATAGTATGTTTTAATTTCTTGATTTTTATTTTTCATGTATCTCTGTAGGTTTTTTGATTTGAGGTTACTGTGCAGCTTGCAAATAACATCTTATAACCTATTATTTTATTTTATTTTATTTTATTATTTATTTATTTATTTATTTATTTTTTTAGATGGAGTCTTGCTCTGTTGTCCAGGCTGGAGTGCAGTGGCACGATCTCAGCTCACTGCAAGCTCCGCCTCCTGGGTTCACACCATTCTCCTGCCTCAGCCTCCCAAGTAGCTGGGACTACAGGCGCCCGCCACCACGCCCAGCTAATAACCTATTATTTTAAACTGATAACAACTTAATTCTGATCACAAAAAAACAACAAACAAGCAAAGAGAAAATAAAAACTATCCTTTATCCCCATTTTAAAACTTTTTGTTGTTTCTATTTATATATTTTTATACTATCTCTTGAAAGTCATCATAGTTATTATTTTTGATAGGTTTGTCTTTTAGTCTTCCTATTCAATATATGAGTATGTAACCAATATATGTGTCTTATACATCACAATTACAGTGTTGGGGGTGTTGGGGTATTCTATATGTGTCTGTGTACCCTCTGTTATCAGTGAATTTTAGATGATTGCTTATTGCTTTTTAAAATTCTTTTCTTTCCGGTTGAAGAACTCCCTTTGACATTTCCTGTAGGACAGGTCTGATATTGACAAGCTCTTCCCTCACCTTTTATTTGTGTGGAAGAGTCTTAATCTCTCCTTCATATTTGAAGGGTATTTTTGCTGGATACAATATTCTGAAATAAAAGTTTTATTCTTTCAGCACTTTGCATATGTCATACCACTCTCTCCTGACCTTTAAGGTTTCCACTAAGAAGTCAGCTGCCGGTTGTATTAGAACTCCTTTATATGTTGTTTGTTTCTTTTCTCTTGCTACTTTTAGGACCCTTTCTTTATCCTTGGACTTTGGGAATTTGATGATTAAATGCCTTAAGGTCTTATTTGAGTTAAATCTGCTTGGTGTTCTATAACCTTCTTGTACTTGGATATTTTCTCTAGGTTTGAAAAATTCCATTTCTATTTCTTTGAATAAACTTTCTACCTTCACCTCGCTCTCTACCTCCTATTTTAAGGCCAATAATGCTTAGATTTGCCTATTGAGGCTATTTTCTAGATCTTGTAGGGTTACTTCATTCTTTTTTATTCTCTTTTTATTTTTTCTCTTCTGACTGTATTTTCATATAGCTTGTCTTCAAGCTCACTAATTCTTTCTTCTGCTTAATCAAGTCTGCTATTGAGAGACTGATGCATTTTTCAGTTTGTCAATTGAATTTTTCATCTCTAAAATTTCTGCTTGATCCTTTTAAATTATTCTAATCTCCTTGTTAAATTTCTCTGATAGGGTTTTGAATTTCTTCTCTGTGTTCTCCTGAAGTTCACTGAGCTTCCTCCAAGCAGCTATTTTGAATTCTGTGTCTGAAAGGTCACATATCTTTGTCACTCTGGGATTGGTTACTGATTCTTTGTTTAGTTCATTTGCTGAACTAATATTTTCCTGGATGCTCTTGATGCTTGTGAATGTTCATTAATATCTAGGCATTGATGATTGTGTTAGTCTGTTCTCACACTGCTGTAAATAAATACCTGAGACTTGGTAATTTATTAAGAAAAGGGGTTTAATTGGCTCACAGTTCTGCAAGCTGTACAGGGAGCATGTCTGGGAAGGCCTCAGGAAACTTACAATAATGGTGGAAGGGCAAAGGAGAAGCAAGCATGTCTTCACGGTGGCAGAAAGAGAGAGAGAGAGAGAGTGAAGGAGGATGTGCCACACACTTTTAAACCATCAGATCTCATGAGAACTCACTCACTATCATGAGAGCAGCAAGGGGGAAATCCACTCCCATGATCCAATCACCTCCCACCAGGTCCCTCCCCTAACAGTGGGAATCACAATCCAACATGAGATTTGGGTGGGGACACAGAGCCAAACCATATCAATGAGTTAGGTGTTTATTCTAATCTTTGCAGTCTGGGCTTGTTTGTACCTGTCCTTGTTAAGAAGGCTTTTCAGATTCAAAGGGAATTGAGTGCTGTGATCTAAGTCTTTGGTCACTGCAGTCTTATCTGTACTAGAAGGTATCCCAAGCCCTCTATCTGTACATGGAATGGGTGGATGGATGGATAGTATGAGTCTCTTGAAGACTCATAGAGGTACCGCCTTCATGGACTTGGGTGAGATCTGGAAGAATTCCCTGGATTACCAGGCAGAATCTCTCATTATCTTCCCTCATTTTCCCTAAAAGGAGTCTCTTTCTCTGTGCTGGGCTGTCTAGAGTTGGAGAATGGGTGATGTAAGCACTACTATGGCCACCATAGGTAGGACTGCACTGGGTCACACCCAAATTCAGCACAGTACTGGGTCTCATCCAAGGCCCTTGGCAACTACTGCCTGGCTACTGCTGATGCTTATTCAAGACCCAAAGGCTCTTTCCTCAGCAGGTGGTGAATTTTGCCAAGACTAGGTCCTTCTCTTTAGGGCAGCATGTTTTCTTCTAGCCTAGGGTGAGTCTAGAAATGCCATCCAGAAGCTAGGGCCTAAATTCAGGGGCTTCAGGAATCTGCTAAGTGCCTTATTTTACTGTGGCTGTGCTAGTACCCAAGTTGCAGGACAAAGTCCTCTTTACCCTTCCCTCTCTTTTTTGCAAGTGGATGGACTCTCTCCCAGAGCTGCACTGCCTGGAATTTGGGGAGGGGTGATGCAAGCACTCCCTTGGCCAGTACAACTGGTGTCTCACTGGGTCACATGTACCCCAAGTTCACAGGCTCTGAGCCCATTGCAGTACCAGGACTTGCCCAGGGACTGCAGTCCTTGTGGCTAAGACTGCCTTTCAAATATATTTAGGACCCCAGTCCACTTAAGTCAGCAGGCAGCAAAGCTGGCCAGAACTCAGTTTCCTATTGCTAGGGCAGACAATTCCTCTCTGGCCAAAACTGATCTAAATGCTCCCTCCATGGGCATTAGCCGAATTCATCTCTGTGTTGCTTTTGGCTGTGACAGGGCAGCAGGGAGTTCCAGTGCAGAATCCCATGATCACTTCATTCTCCCTCCCCTGAGCACACAAATTCTCTTTTGGCACATGACACTGCCAGGGGATGGGGAAGGGATGGTTAGGCCAGTGGTCCCCCGCCTTTTTGGCACCAGGAACCAGTTTCATGGAACACAATTTTTCCACGGACCAATATGGAGGGGATGGGGATGGTTTCATGGTGATTCAAGTGTATTATATTTATTGCGTAGTTTATTTATGTTATTATTACATTGTAATATATAATGAAATAATTATACAATTCACCATAATGTAGAATCAGAGGGAGCCCTGGGCTTGTCCTCCTGCAACTAGACAGTCCTATCTGAGGGTGATGGGAGACAGTGATAGATAATCAGGCATTAGATTCTCATAAGGAGCATACAATGTAGATACCTTGCATGCACGGCTCACAATAGGGTTCACATTCCTATGAAAACCAAATGCCGCTGCTGATCTGACAGGATGCACAGATCACGTGGTAATGCTCACTAGTCCACCGCTATGTGGCCCAGTTCCTAACAGGTCATGGCCCAGTACTATCTTTTTTTTTTTTTTTTTTTTTTTTTTTTTTTTGTGGAGTTGTGGGGGGTAATTATTTTATTTTACTTTTTAAATTTAAATTGTTTAATATTAAATGAACATGGCCACATTATAAACATTGAAAACTAAAGGAAACAAAGGTACTAAATGCTAACATAACTATTTCTACTTTAATATATCTCTTTTTACATAATGTATATTCAAATATATACTGTATATGCAGTGTTATAACTCAACAATGTATTATAAGCATTTATGTGTTATCACAAAGCCCTCATAACCACTGTTTCAATAGCTGCATCATATTCTGTTGGTTAAATATAGCAAAACTTATTTAAATAGTCTCCTATGGAATATATAGGTATGTGGTCTAAGGGTTGGGGACCCCTGGTTTGGGCAATGCAAGACTGTCTTTCCTGCCCTCTTCAGTACCTTTTTCCTTGATATGATATTAAACCCAGTACTGTGATTGCTCACCTGATTTTGAGTTCTTATGAAGGGACTTTCTTGAATAGATAGTTGTTGAATTTGGTGTTCCTCCAGAGGGATGATCACTGGAGTGTTTTATGCAGCCATCTTGCCCTGCCTCCTCCCAGCTTCAAAAAATCCCTACCTCTTCTCAACTTCTCCCTTGGTCACCATCAATTCTAGGCTTCTTTCTGTTACCTGAGCCCTATTTGCCCCTAGATCCTACAGTCTTAATGGACCACCTCCCAACCCCCACCCCCACCAGAGCACACTCAGATAATGAATCTGGTTTCTCAACTAGACCCCCACCTCGTCTCTAGACTGATCCTCCTCACCAGATCCCACCCTCACCCAGGAAATCAACCTTTCACCCAACTTGATTCCCCCGTGAATTCTACTGAATCATTTGCCTGGCAACCCACCCCCACCAATCCTCTTGCTATGGTTTGGCTGTGTCCTCACCCAAATCTCATCTTGAATTCCCACATGTTGTGCGAGGGGCCCAGTGGGAGGTAATTGAATCACCAGGGCAGGTCTTTCCCATGCTGTTCTCATGATAGTGAATAAGTCTCATGAGATCTGATGGTATTATAAGGGGGAGTTCCCTGCACAAGTGCTCTGTTTGCCTGCCACCATCCACATAAAATGTGACTTGATCCTCCTTGCCTTCTACCATGATTGTGAGGCCTCCCCAGCCATGTGGAACTGTAAGTTCATTAAACCTCTTTCTTTTGTAAATTGCCCAGTCTCAGGTATGTCTTTATCAGCAGCGTGAAAACGGACTAATATACCTGTCTACTGCATGACTATCAGACACCTGCATAACTCTGACTCAATCTGACTTAATTCCTGTCCAACTCTATATTGTCCTAGAGAACTCATGTCCACATAACACCTGTTGGTTGGCCTCTTCTGTCCCCACAATCTCAGGCTTCAACCACTCAATTCTGCCCAGTTCATTCTTCTTCTGGTAACAGGCATCTGCCCAGGACTTGTTCCTCCCCACCTGATCACACTGATTTCTAGCAAGAGCTTCTTTTCTTCCATCCATAAGAGGCTTCTCTCTGAGGAAATCCTGAAATAGTTGTGTGGAGACCAGTAGCTTCTTTCTCCCCAGCCATGAAAGCCAGGAGCTCCTGGAGACACAAGTCACAAAGACAGAGTAGTTCACAACGTCCACTAATAGTAATAGCAACTGACTATCAGAATATGTCAAAGCTCAATGGACTTTTTTGACTCACCCATTACAAATGATGTGATCATTTACATAAGTAGTTTTTTCTGAGAGAGGGTCTCACTCTGTCACCCAGGCTGGAGTGCAGTGGTATGGTCACAGCTCGCTGCAGCCTTGACCTCCCCAGGCTCAGGTAATCCTCCTGCCTCAGCCTTCCAAGTAGCTGGGACTACAAGTGCATGCCACCACACCTGGCTAATTTTTTAAATATTTTGTAGAGACGGGGTGTATTAGTACATTTTCATGCTGCTGATAAAGACATACTGAGACTGGGTAACTTATAAAGAAAAAGAGGTTTAATGGACTCACAGTTCCATGTGATTGGGGAGGCCTCACAATCATGGTAGAAGGTGAAAGGCACGTCTTACATGGCAGCAAGCAAGAGAGAAAGATGAGAGCCAAGTGAAAAGGGAAACCCCTTATAAAACCATCAGATCTTGTGACACTTATTCACTACCAATAGAACAGTATGGAAGAATCCACCCCCATCATTCAATTATCTCCCACCAGCTCCCTCCAACAACATGTGGGAATTATGGGAGCTACAATTCAAGATGAGATTTGGGTGGGGACACAGCCAAACCATATCGTGGGGTTTCACCATGTTGCCCAGGCTGGTCTCCTGATCTCAAGCTATCTGCCCATCTTGGCCTTCCAAAGTGCTGGGATTACAGGCATGAGCCACTTGCAGCCAGCCCACGAAAACATTTTTTAAGTTAGAAGAGAAATTCTTGCACCCCGATAAAAGCGGGAGCATTTGAGGAAATGTGGTTGGGACTTCTGGGGCTCTCCATCCTCATAGCTGGGGACTGAATCCCAGGCTTGGATAGAAGACTCCTTCCCAAAGAGATGACTCTGGCAGCAGCAATGTTTTCTCCTCCCCTCTGCTGTCCAGCTCAGCCTGGGGCCTGAGGTTGAGCTTGTGAGACTAGCCTTTACCCACTGGCAAGGAGAAATACAGCCCTGTTGGGTAGGGGTCCCCCAGCTCCATCCAGCTCAGCCCACTCTCCACAGGCTTCAAAGCAGGTAAACTTCTATCCTGGAGCAGGTGAAATGGAAAGAAAACAGGAGCAAGAGATTATTATTATATATTACATTGCAGGACACCTTTTCTGAACTTAGGATTTCAGGCTGTCTGCTCACCACCTGTTCTGGCTAATGTGCTGTTTAAATAAATGGATGAATGGATGGATGAACAGATAGATGGATGGGTGGATGCAGAGATGGATGGGTGGATGGATAGATGGATGGATGGATAGATGAGTGGGTGGGTAGGTAGATAAATGGGTGGGTGGATGGGTGGATGGATGGATGGATGGATGGATGGATGGATGGATGGATGGATGGTGTGATATACTTTTTAAGTGCTGTCCGGAGCCAGCTTTGAGGCCAGGACTAGGGGCCAGTAAGTTCTTTTCTTGAGCAGGTGATTAAGTCCACACTCCCAACAACCGCCCTTGTTGGGGTCTCATACTTGGGGCCATTATCCACCTGTGCTAATCAGTCCATGGCCAGGTACCACACAACCAGGGATAGTCCTATACCCAGAGCCCACTGAACTTATTCAAATGAGCCAATCTTAAGCCTGCTTACCCTGCTTCTCCCACTCCTTTCTGCAGAAACCACAACAAAGGTGCTTGCCCATGGCTCCTCGCTTCCCTCTGCCTCATGACTGATGCCAATTATTCCCCTTGTGGCCCCCTGTGGTGTGACATGTACTCCCTCTCCGGGGATCCGTGAGTATAGAAAATTATCTTTTCATTGGCAGTCATCTCCTAATCTGTTGGCCTTACCCTACCTAAATAATAATAAAAGCTACTCAAACAAATGGATAGCTTGATGGATGGATGGATAGATAGATAGATAGATAGATAGATAGATAGATAGATAGATAACAGATGGATGGATGGATAGATAGATACATAGATAGATAGATAGATAGATAGATAGATAGATAGATAGATAGATAGATAGAAACATGAGAGAATAAACACTTAAGTAAGGAAACAAGCAGCTATAGTGACTGCTCCTGTAACACAGTATGGCCCTAACAGCAGCCACAGGGCACACCCCTCTTCCCAATGCACCTATATCCTTATCACCCCAGCACTTCACCCTCATGCTGGGGCTCTGGCCCAGACTCACTGGGATGTGGGAACAAAATGGTAGGTTCTTACAAAAGGAACTTTTTCCTCCTGAAATGAATGCCTCCCTAGGCTCAGTCAGAGCAGGACTTGCAGGAAGGGAGGTAAAGAGCAGCTGGGGCTTCTCACCTGACTCAGGGCCCTGCAGGAAGAGAGGAGCACAACACACCTCTCAGCTTTTGTTTTGTCCACTTCGGAAATTTCTAGCTGGTGTGTTTAACCTAATCAATCAGAATCTTGGTGCCTTGATAAATATGTTTCTCACGGTTCAATGTTCCCATGGGTTTGTGGCATCATATTCAACCTCAGAAATATAGATCTGGGCATGGTGGCTCACACCTGTACTCCCAGCACTTTGGGAGGCCAAGGCAGGCAGATCACTTGAGGTCAGGAGTTCAAGATCAGACTGGGCAACATGGTGAAACCCTGTCTCTACTAAAAATACAAAAATTAGCTGAATGTGATGACAGGTGCCTGTAGTCCCAGCTATTTGGGAGGCAGAGGCATGAGAATTGCTTGAACCTGGGAGGCAGAGGTTGCAGTGAGCCGAGATAGTGCCACTGTACTCCAGCCTAGGTGACAGAGCAAGACTCTGTCTAAAAAAAAAAGAAATTCAGACAAGAGGGTCAATAATTTCTCAGGGAGAATTCAACCCTTCTAAAAGAGTAGACCCTAAATTCCAGGTTCCTGTTGGGATGTTAAAGTATTTATTTTACACTGTACCTCATTAAGTTCTCCCTCTTTAGTCTGCAGTCATGCTCACTGAACTTTTTTTTTTTGAAAGTTAAATTCTGTTTGTCTTGCTCAGTCAGTCTCCTGCTTTGAAGAGTTCTTACTTTTGGTTACAGTTGTCCCCAAACTGTCAGTTTGTCACTTATACTCACATCTCATTTATTGCTTTCTCACACCCTCTGGTTCAGAAATTTGGGGGGCCACTGGCAGGGGGTGTTGCTTTTATTAAGTCATTTTCTATATTTACAATGTTAATTTGGTAAAATCTGTCTGAATGTAGAGCCTTGACTTAGCACAATTGCAAGAAACTGCCTTCTCAAGATGAGAGTATAGAATAGAACTTGGAAAGGGCCCTTGCCCAAAACATCTCCCTATCACTCTGCCAAGGGGTGACATTCCACAATCAGAAGTATAGTTATTTAAATAAGTTTTTTGAGATCTATTGTACAGCATGGTGGCAATAGCTAATAATAATGTAATATATATTTCAAAATTGCTAAGAGAGCAGATTTTAAATGTTCATAGTATGAAAGAGTGATAAGTATATAAGGTGATGGATATGTTAATTAGCCTGATTTAATCATTCCATAATATACATATGTCATCATTCCATAATATACAATATACATATGTCACATTGTACCACATAAGTAGATACATTTACTATTTGTCAATTAAAAATAAAATAAGTTAAGGCTTTGAGTCTTTAAAATCCCCTAGGAAGGGGCAACTCTTCAGAAAAGAGCGAGGTCTGAGCCACTAACTATCCGAGATGCTCAGGCCAACATTTCAGTCTGATGGGGTTGGGGAAGGAAGTGGGAGTGTGGGGTCCTTGCAAAGCAGCAGCCTAGAGGAGCACAGAGGAGATCCACCAGGGAGGAAGCCCCATTTGGGTGTATGAGGGCTAGAGGTGCAGGGCAGATGGGACCTAGAAGGGCACATTCTGCTGACTTAAGGCAGAGTATGAGTTAGGATCATTTTCGTGCTATAAGATAAGCAGTCCCTGAATCTCTTCTCATGGTTTATAGCCAGAATTCACTGGCTAACTGAGCCAGCCTTCACCACTCTGCTGTCACAGCCCGAATCCATTTCCTGTACCTCCCCAATCATTTCAGAGAATTGCAGTCAGCCACAAGATAATAGCTGCACACAGCAATGGCATTTATACCTACAATAAACTATAAGATAAGACTTCCTTTACAAGTCCATACTAGGCTTGTTCCTGACTTGATTTTAGGGAGAAACTATTGAGTAGTTCAACATAAGTAAGACGTTAGCTGACATTTTTGTTGGTGTCCTTTATCAGATAGAGAGGTTTTTTTCTCTTTCTGGATTGCTAAGAAGTTTTCTTTTTTTTTTTTTTTTTAAATCATGGATGCATATTAGATATCGCCAAATGCTTTTTCTGTATTCTGAATTTTAAGTCAACCTTAAATTACTGGAGTAAACTCCACTCGGTATTGAATAATTATCTTTCTTATATATTGCTAGATTTAGCTTGCTAAGATTTTGTTAAGAATTCTGATGGATATTGGTCTTTGACTTTCTTTTCTGTTTTTCTTTTCTTGCAATTTAGCCGCATCCCACTAATTTGGGTATATTATGTTTTCATTATTATACAATTTGTATAATAATTGTATAATAAATAATTTCATTTTTATACAATTTGAAATATTTTTGGCCAGGCATGGTGGCTCACGTCTGTAATCCCAGCACAGGAAACGGAGGTGGGCGCATCACATGAGGTCAGGAGTTCAAGACCAGCCTGGCCAACATGGTGAAGCCTCATCTCTACTAAAAAAACAAATTACAAAAATTAGCCAGGCATGATGGCGGGTGCCTGTAATCCCAGCTACTCGAGAGGCTGAGGTGGGAGAATCGCTTGAACCTGGTAGGCGGAGGTTGCAGTTAGCCAAGATCGCATCCCTGCACTCCTTTCTGGGCCACAGAGCAAGACTCCATCTCCAAAAAAAAAAAAAAAAAAAAAAAAGAAGAAGAAGAAGAAATATTTTCTACTTTGCTTTGTGATTCCTTCTCTGACTCATGGGTTGTTTCAAAGTATGTTGTTTTGTTTTCAGATATTTAGGGATTTTATAGATATTTTAACATTTTTACTCTCTTTTTTTTTTTTTTTTCGGGCAGTGTCTCACTCTGTTGCCCAGGCTGGAGTGCAGTGGCATAATCCTAGCTCGCTGCAACCTGAAATTCCTGGGCTCAAGCAATCCTCCTGCTTTAGCCTCCCAAGAATCTAAAACTACAGGCCTACCACCAGGCCGGCTACTGAAAAAAAATTTTTTGTAGAGATGGGGTCTCATTATGTTGCTCAAGCTGGTCTTAAATTCCCAGCCTCAAGCAATCCTCCCGCCTCAGCCTCCCAAAGTGCTGAGATTACAGACATGAGCCAATGAGCCTGGCCATTTGCTCTTAAATTTAATACTCTTGTGGTTACAGAACATCTCTGGTAAGATTTTAATCTTTGAAATTTATTGAGACTTGTTTGATGGCACAGATTTGGTCTATCTGAGGGAACTTTCCATGTATTCATGCACAGAATGCCTATTTTTTTGTTATTTACTTGAATGGCTATAAATGTCAATTAGGTCAACATGCTTGACAGTATCTTACAGGTCTTCTAGATCAGCACTGTCCAAAAGAAATGTAATGTCAGCCACATATGTAATTTTAAATTTTCTAGTAGCCACAATCAGTGACGAAAAAAGAAACAGGTGAAATTAATTGTAATAATACGTTTTATTTAAGCCCAAATATCCAAATAGCATTTTAACATGTAATCAACATAAAATTACTTATTTTATTTTATTTTTTTGGAAACAGAATCTCGTTCTGTCACCCAGGCTGGAGTGCAGTGGTGCGATCTTGGCTCACTGCAACCTCCGCCTCCTGGGTTCAAGCAATTCTCGTGCCTCAGCCTCCCGAGTAGCTGGAATTAAAGGTGCGCACCACCATGCCCAGCTAATTTTTTGTATTTTTAGTAGAGACAGGGTTTCACCATGTTGCCCAGGCTGGTCTCGAACTCCTGAGCTCAGGCAGTCCACCCTCCTTGGCCTCCCAAAGTGCTAGGATTACAGGTGTGAGCCACCATGCCCAGCCTGTAATCAACATAAAATTATGAATAAAATATTTTACATTATTGTTTTCATTTTAACTCTTTGAAAATCAGTGTGAACTTTTCATCTCCCAGCAAACCTCACTTTAGACTAATCATGTTTCAAGAGCACAATAGCCGCTTGTGGCTCTAGTGGCTATCATATCAACAGCAGAGTTCTAGATCCTCACCAATTTTTTTCCTTTTATTTTATTCCATCAAGTGCTTAAAGAGGGATGTTAAAATCTTCAACTATGATTGTGGATTTGCCTATTTATCCCTTTATTTTTGTCAGTTTTGCCTCATTTATTTGGTACATATGCGATCAAGTAGGCTTCATCCCTGGAATGCAACGTCAGTTCAACAGACACAAATCAATAAATGGGATTCATCATGTAACAGAACTAAAGACAAAAACCACATGATTATCTCAATAGATGCAGAAAATGCTTTCAATAAAATTACACATCCATTCATGATAAAACAAAACTCTCAATAAACTAGGTATTGGGGAACATACCTCAAAATAATAAGAGCCATCAATGGCAAACCCACAGCCAACATCATACTGACTGGGCAAAAGCCAGAAGCATTCCCCTTGAAAACTGACACAAGACAAGGATACCCTCTCTCACTACTCCTATTCAACATGGTATTGGAAGTTCTGGCCAGGGTAATTAGGCAAGAGAAAGAAATAAAGAGCATCTAAATAAAAAGAGAGGAAGTCAAACTATCCCTGTTTGTAGATGACATGATCCTATTTTACAAAGCCCCGTAATCTCAGCCCAAAAGCTTCTTAAGCCGATTAACAACTTCACCAAAGTCTCAGGATACAAAATCAATGTGCAAAAATCACTGCTTGATCGTGGTGAATAGGCTTTTTGATGTGCTGCTGGATTTGGTTTGCCAGAATTTTGCTGAGGATTTTTGCATCAATGTTCTTCAAGGATATTGGCCTGAAGTTTTCTTATTTTGTTGTATCTCTGCCAGGTTTTGTATCAAAATGATGTTAGCCTCATAGAATTAGTTAGGGAGGAGTCCCTCCTCCTCAGTTACATTCACATATGGCACAGGAGAACCAAGATATGCTCTAGTGGATCTTCTGAGCCCCAGGCATAGTTATCCATGCCTCCATTAGTAAAAAGAACTCTTGTCTTCTTGAATCTTCTCTAAAGGGTTACTAGAATAAGACCTCGTCTTTGCCTGCTATTCCAACAGCACAAGAGCCCCCAAATAATCAGATGGCAGCCATAGTTTAGGTTCAGTGAGTTACTGGGTCCCTTGGTAGATATGTTCTCTACTATCATCCTCCATGCCTCTGCCCCTAGAAGCCAGATCCTTCAGACCAACCCAACTTAGTGTTACAGAGACTGGAAACAAAAATATCTCTAGTGGCTCACTGGGAGTGATGCTGAGAGATGTCCCAACTATTTCCAATACTTCATTTCTAGAACCATATATACTCTACCTATTGAGGACCTACCATAAAATGGCCGTTGGTTCCAAGTTGTGGAAACAAACAACGACCCCTTGTTCGAGAAGCAGGAAAAAGGTGCCTTTAAAAGTATGAAAGGTGTGGTGGCTCATACCTGTAATCCCAGCACTTTGGGAGGCCAAGGCGGGTGGGTCACTTGAGGTCAGGAGTTCAAGACCAGCCTGGCCAACATGGTGAAACCCCATCTCTACTAAAAATACAACAATTACCTGGGCATGGTGGCAAGTGTCTGTAATTCCAGCTACTCGGGAGGCTAAGGCAGGAGAATTGCTGGAACCCAGGAGGCAGAGGTTGCAGTGAGCCGAGATCACATCACTGTACTCCAGCCTGAACGACACAGCTAGACTCTATCTCAAAATAAATAAATGAATAAATAAATAGATAAATTTTTAAAAATATAATAAATAAATAAATCTTATTGGAATTTGTTGGCTTGAGGTCCCTGGAAGCATTTTGGGTCTCTGGCCAGAAACCAACCAATTCAGCAATTGTGGTATGTCTGGTGCCCCAGTGTCAGGAGAACAGAGAGAGTAAAAGAACAATGGGGTTTGGTTCCATTCTCTTAGAGCTGCAGCTGCACAAAATTAAAAGGGAATTCCCCTACTCCAGTGGTTTGGCTTTTGCTGCTGCCATCACCCCTGCCAAAGGGTTTTTTATGGACCAGAGCATGAGAGAATGGAGAAAAAGTAGAACAAAAATATGTGGGATTTTTATCTGTGGCATTTTTCTATTTGGCCCCTTAATTCAGAACTAGAAAGTTTTCCTCAATGTTTTTCTGTCTCTACTCAGTTCTCACTTCTGGGTTTGAGATGCTTAGAGTTCATGCAGGGGAATACTAGAGGGAAAAATAAGGGTAAATTCATCGCCAGTTTGGTGGTATTCTCATATCAAATTCTGATGTTTTTCCCTGATAATCCTGCTGATATTTATTTGTTGGAGTTTTTAAACAGCTGCCCATGCATTTGTCCAGATTTTATAGTTGTATTTAGTGTAAGAGAAAAGTAGTCATGTGTTTGCTCCATGTTATCCAGAACTAGAACCCTTCCCTTAATATCATAACTTCAAAATATAGAAAGCAAAGCTTACCAGAACTAAAAGGGAGAATGGAAACTTTTAAAATTATAGTTGGAAACCTTAATACCCTCCTCTCAACAAGTGTTAGACAAACATTTAGTAAAAATAAAAGATGGAGATGATATAATTAGTTGACCATCCTATTTTTACTTACACAGGGCACTACATCCAGCAACCACAGAATGCACATTCATTTCAAGTGCACACACAAGATAAAAAGCAAATTCCAGGCTGAGAAAAGATAGTTACGAAGTATGTATCAGATAAGGAATTCATATCCAGAATATATAAAGTAATCCTAAAAAGCAATTGGGA
This sequence comes from Homo sapiens, assembly GCF_000001405.40. Lineage (NCBI taxonomy): Eukaryota > Metazoa > Chordata > Mammalia > Primates > Hominidae > Homo > Homo sapiens. The sequence goes on from NC_000002.12 coordinate 99,223,245, forward strand.
GGCTGAGGTGGGCGGATCACCTGAGGTCAGGAGTTCGAGACCAGCCAGACCAACATGGAGAAACCCCACCTCTACTAAAAATACAAAAATAGCCAAGCATAGTCACACATGCCTCTAATCCCAGCTACTCGGGAGGCTGAGGCAGGAGAATCGCTTGAACCTGGGAGGCGGAGGTTGCGGTGAGCTGAGATCGCGCCATTGCACTCCAGCCTGGGCAACAAAAGCAAAAACTCCATCTCAAAAAAAAAAAAAAAAAGAAAAAGAAAAAGAAACCACTAAAAATTGGTAAGAGATTTTAAAGGCACAAAGCAAAAGAAGATATCCAAATGGCCAATAACTAAAACTAAGACTAATAACTAAATAAATAAAACTAATAACTAAAACTAAGACTGACAATAGCAACTGTTGGAGAAGTATGAAGTAACTGGAACTCTTCATACTTTGTTAGTAAGAGTGTAAACTGGTAAGACCACATGGGAAAACTTTTTGGTAGTTTATTTGTTAAAAATTTTTATTCATTTATTTTTAATTAGGTTTTTTTTTTTTTTTGAGACAGAGTTGCACTCTTGTTGCCCAGGCTGGAGTACAATGGCATGATCTCGGCTCACTGCAACCTCCACCTCCCAGGTTCAAGCGATTCTCCTGCCTCAGCCTCCCAAGTCACTGGGATTACAGGCATGTGCTACCACGCTCGGCTAATTTTTGTATTATTAGTAGAGACGGGGTTTCACCATGTTGGCCAGGCTGGTCTCGAACTCCTGACCTCGTGATCCGCCTGCCTCAGCCTCCCAAATTGCTGAGATTACAGGCATGAGCCACCACCACGCTGGCCTTTTAAAAATTTTTTTGAGATGGACCTTGTCCTGTCGCCCAGGCTGGAGTGCAGCGGCATGATCTCAGCTCACTGCAACCTCCACCTCCCAGGTTCAAGCAATTCTCCTGCCTCAGCCTCCCGAGTAGCTGGGATTACAGGCGTGCACCACCATGTATGGGTAATTTTTGTATTTGTATTTTTAGTAGAGACGGGATTTCACCATGTTGGCCAGGCTGGTCTCGAACTCCTGACCTCAGGTGATCTCCCCACCTTGGCCTTCAACTAAAGTGCTGGGAATACAGGCATGAGCCACTGTTCCCGGCCTGGTAGTTTCTTATGAAATTAAACAGACATCTACCCTATGACCCAACAACTCTATTCATGAGAATTTACTCAAGAGAAATAAAAGCATGTATCTACAAAAAGACTTGTAACAAAAACGTTCATAGTGGCTTTATTTTTAAAAACCAAAAAATGTCTGTCAACCTAAGGGATAAACAAATTGTAGTGTGTTCATACGATGGAATACTACTCAATCATAAAATGAACCAACCACTGATCCATGCAACAGCATGCATCTCACAGGCATTATGTTAAACAAAAAAAGCCAGGCCAAAACAGTATAAACTGTATGACTGTATTTATATAACAGGCAAAACTAATCTATGGTAATACATGTTGGAATATTGGTTACCTTTGAGTGGAGGGCCACATTGCCTGGGAAGCGGCATGAGGCAACCTTCTGTAGTTATGGAAATGTTTTTTATTTCGTTACAGATATTGTATTTTTTAGTTCTGGAATTGCCACTTGATTGCCATCTCTATTTCTATGTTGAGATTTTACTACCTTTTCATTCATTAGAAGTTTAATTTCCTTTATTTCTTGAGCATACTAACATACTTATAATATTTAAAGTCCTTGCCTGCCATTTCTAACATCTGGGTCATCTTGGGGTTGGTCCCTCCTTGTTGATTTCTCTCTTGATCATGGGTCACATTTTCCTGCTTCTTATATGTCATATGTAAGTAATTTGGGATTGTAGCTTGGACATTGTGAAGGTTATATTATAAATACTTTGGATTATGTTAAATTTATCTGAAAGTTATTGATTTGTTTGTTGTAGCAAAAATTGATCTGGGAAGGAAGGAAGGAAGGAAGGAAGGGAGAGAAAGAGAGAGTGAGAAAGAAAGAAAGAAAGAGCCAAACTGAACTTCTAGAATTTAAAAATTCACTGCAGGAATATCAAAATACAGTTGGAAGCCTTAAGAACAGACTAAACCAAGCTGAGGAAAGAATTTTAGAGGTCAAAGACTGGTCCTTTGAATTAATCCAGTCATATAAAAATAAAGAAAAAAGAATTTTTTAAAAATGAACCAGACCTCCAAGAGATAAGGGATTAAAAAAGACCAAACCTACACTTCATTGGCATTCCCGAGAGACAGTAAGCAGCTTAGAAAATGTATTTGAGGATATAGCCTGTGAAAATTTCCCCAGTCTTGCTAGAGAGGTCAACATGCAAATTCAAGAAATTTGGAGAACTCCTGTGAGATACTACACAAGATGACCATTCCCAAGACACAAAATCATTAGACTTTCCAAGTTCAATGTGAAAGAAAAATCTTAAAGACAGCTAGAGATAAGGGTGAGATCTCTTACAAAGGGAACCCCATTGGGTTATCAGCAGACTTTTCAGCAGAAATCTTACAAGCCAGAAGAGATCTGGGGCCTGTTTTCAGTATCCCTAAAGAAAATAAATTCCAATAAAGAATTTAGATATACAATCATGTCATCTGCAAACAGGGACAATTTGACTTCCTCTTTTCCTAATTGAATACCCTTTATTTCCTTCTCCTGCCTGATGGCCCTGGCCAGAACTTCCAACACTATGTTGAATAGGAGTGGTGAGAGAGGGCATCCCTGTCTTGTGCCCGTTTTCAAAGGGAATACTTCCAGTTTTTGCCCATTCAGTATGATATTGGCTGTGGGATTGTCATAGATAGCTCTTATTATTTTGAGATATGTCCCATGAATACCTAATTTATTGAGAGTTTTTAGTATGAAGGGTTCTTGAATTTTGTCAGAGGCCTTTTCTGCATCTATTGAGATAATCATGTGGTTTTTGTCTTTGGTTCTGTTTATATGCTGGATTACATTTATTGATTTGCGTATGTTGAACCAGCCTTGCATCCCAGGGATGAAGCCCACTTGATCATGGTGGATAAGCTTTTCGATGTGCTGCTGGATTCGGTTTGCCAGTATTTTATTGAGGATTTTTGCATCGATGTTCATCAAGGATATTGGTCTAAAATTCTCTTTTTTTGTTGTGTCTCTGCCAGGCTTTGGTATCAGGATGATGCTGGCCTCATAAAATGAGTTAGGCAGGATTCCCTCTTTTTCTATTGATTGGAATAGTTTCAGAAGGAATGGTACCAGCTCCTCTTTGTACCTCTGGTAGAATTCGGCTGTGAATCTATCTGGTCCTGCACTTTTTTTGGTTGGTAAGCTATTGATTATTGCCTCAATTTCAGAGCCTGTTATTGGTCTATTCAGAGATTCAACTTCTTCCTGGTTTAGTCTTGGGAGGATGTATGTGTCGAGGAATTTATCCATTTCTTCTAGATTTTCTAGTTTATTTGTGTAGAGGTGTTTATAGTATTCTCTGATGGTAGTTTGTATTTCTGTGGGATCAGTGGTGATATCCCCTTTATCATTTTGTATTGCGTCTATTTGATTCTTCTCTCTTTTCTTCGTTATTAGTCTTGCTAGTGGTCTATCAATTTCGTTTATCTTTTCAAAAAACCAGCTCCTGGATTCATTAATTTTTTGAAGGGTTTTTTGTGTCTCTATTTCCTTCAGTTCTGCTCTGATCTTAGTTATTTCTTGCCTTCTGCTAGCTTTTGAATGTGTTTGCTCTTGCTTTTCTAGTTCTTTTAATTGTGATGTTAGGGTGTCAATTTTAGATCTTTCCTGCTTTCTGTTGTGGGCATTTAGTGCTATAAATTTCCCTCTATACACTGCTTTGAATGTGTCCCAGAGATTCTGGTATGTTGTGTCTTTGTTCTCGTTGGTTTCAAAGAACATCTTTATTTCTGCCTTCATTTCATTATTTACCCTGTAGTCACTCAGGAGCAGGTTGTTCAGTTTCCATGTAGTTGAGCGGTTTTGAGTGAGTTTCTTAATCCTGAGTTCTAGTTTGATTGCACTGTGGTCTGAGAGACAGTTTGTTATAATTTCTGTTCTTTTACATTTGCTGAGGAGAGCTTTACTTCCAACTATGTGGTCAATTTTGGAGTAGGTGTGGTGCTGAAAAGAATGTATATTCTGTTGATTTGGGGTGGAGAGTTCTGTAGATGTCTATTAGGTACGCTTGGTGCAGAGCTGAGTTCAATTCCTGGGTATCCTTGTTAACTTTCTGTCTCGTTGATCTGTCTAATGTTGACAGTGGGGTGTTAAAGTCTCCCATTATTATTGTGTGGGAGTCTAAGTCTCTTTGTAGGTCACTCAGGACTTGCTTTATGAATCTGGGTGCTCCTGTATTGGGTGCATATATATTTAGGATAGTTAGCTCTTCTTGTTGAATTGATCCCTTCACCAAACCCCATCGTCTCAGCCCAAAATCTCCTCAAGCTGATAAGCAGCTTCAGCAAAGTCTCAGGATACAAAATCAGTGTACAAAAATCACAAGCATTCTTATACACCAATAACAGACAAACAGAGAGTCAAATCATGAGTGAACTCCCATTCACAATTGCTTCAAAGAGAATAAAATACCTAGGAATCCAACTTACAAGGGACGTGAAGGACCTCTTCAAGGAGAACTACAAACCACTGCTCAATGAAATAAAAGAGGATACAAACAAATGGAAGAACATTCCATGCTCATGGGTAGGAAGAATCAATATCGTGAAAATGGCCATACTGCCCAAGGTAATTTATAGATTCAATGCCATCCCCATCAAGCTACCAATGACTTTCTTCACAGAATTGGAAAAAACTACTTTAAAGTTCATATGGAACCAAAAAAGTGCCTGCATTGCCAAGTCAATCCTAAGCCAAAAGAACAAAGCTGGAGGCATCACGCTACCTGACTTCAAACTATACTACAAGGCTACAGTAACCAAAACAGCATGGTACTGGTACCAAAACAGAGATATAGATCAATGGAACAGAACAGAGCCCTCAGAAATAATGCCACATATCTACAACCATCTGATCTTTGACAAACCTGACAAAACAAGAAATGGGGAAACAATTCCCTATTTAATAAATGGTGCTGGGAAAACTGGCTAGCCGTATGTAGAAAGCTGAAACTGGATCCCTTCCTTACATCTTACACAAAAATTAATTCAAGATGGATTAAAGACTTAAATGTTTGACCTAAAACCATAAAAACCCTAGAAGAAAACCTAGGCAATACCATTCAGGACATAGGCATGGGCAAGGACTTCATGTCTAAAACACCAAAAGCAATGGCAACAAAAGCCAAAATTGACAAATGGGATCTAATTAAACTAAAGAGCTTCTGCACAGCAAAAGAAACTACCATCAGAGTGAACAGGCAATCTACGGAATGGGAGAAAATTTTTGCAATCTACCCATCTGATAAAGGGCTAATATCCAGGATCTACAATGAACTCAAACAAATTTGCAAGAAAAAAAAAAAAACCCCATCAAAAAGTGGGTGAAGGATATGAACAGACACTTCTCCAAAGAAGACATTTATGCAGCCAAAAGACACACAAAAAAATGCTCATCATCACTGGCCATCAGAGAAATGCAAATCAAAACCACAATGAGATACCATCTCACACCAGTAAGAATGGCGATCATTAAAAAGTCAGGCAACAACAGGTGCTGGAGAGGATGTGGAGAAATAGGAACACTTTTACACTGTTGGTGGGACTGTAAACTAGTTCAACCATTGTGGAAGTCAGTGTGGCGATTCCTCAGGGATCTAGAACTAGAAATGCCATTTGACCCAGCCATCCCATTACGGGGTATATACCCAAAGGATTATAAATCATGCTGCTATAAAGACACATGCACACATATGTTTATAGCGGCACTATTCACAATAGCAAAGACTTGGAACCAACCTAAATGTCCAGCAACGATAGACTGGATTAAGAAAATGGCACATATACACCATGGAATACTATGCAGCCATAAAAAATGATGAGTTCATGTCCTTTGTAGGGACATGGATGAAGCTGGAAACCATCATTCTCAGCAAACTATCGCAAGGACAAAAAACCAAACACTGCATGTTCTCGCTCATAGGTGGGAATTGAACAATGAGAACACCTGGACACAGGAAGGGGAACATCACACACCGGGGACTGTTGTGGGGTGGGGGGAGTGGGGGGGGAGGGATAGCATTAGGAGATATACCTAATGCTAAATGACGAGTTAATGGGTGCAGCACACCAACATGGCACATGTATACATATGTAACTAACCTGCACATTGTGCACATGTACCCTAAAACTTAAAGTATAGTAATAATAAAATAAAAAAATGAAAATAAAAATAAAATTTAAAAAAAGAAGTAAAAACCTCACAGCAGCTTATGTTAATTTTTCAAACAAAAAATCATTTATTCACAAGTTACACAAAATATTTTTTTTACTGTTTACCTGACATCTAAAGTAAAAGCAGAATAAAATAAACTTCTCACCAATAGTTAAAAAAAAAAAGAATATTCTGCCGAACTAAACTTCATATATGAAGGAGAAATGAAATCTTTTTCAGATAAGCAAATGCTAAAGAAATTTGTTACTTCTAGACCAGCCTTACACGAGGTCCTTAAGGGAGTTCTAAACATGGAAACAAAGGAATGATACCTGCCAGCACAAAAACACAGTTAAGCCCAGAAACATACGTAGCCTAGAGATCCTCTAAAGCAACTACATAATTGAGGCTACAAAGCAATCAGCTAAGAGCATCATGACAAGATCAAACCTCACATATCAATATTAACCTTTTGTTAATTGTCTAAAATGCCCCACTTAAAAGGCACAGAGTGGCAAGTTGGATAAGTAAACAAAACCCAACAGTCTACTGTCTTCAAGAGACTCATCTCACATGTAACAACACCCATAGGCTCAAAATAAAGGAATGGAAAAAGGTCTATCACACAAATGGAAAACTAAAAAGAGCAGGAGTCTTTATATATTCTGTTATATCAGATAGAACAGACTTTAAACCAACAACAGTAAGAAAGGACAAAGAAGGAAATTACATAATGATAAAGGATTCAATTCCACAAGAAGACCTAACTATTCTAAATATATTTGCACTCAACATTGGAGCACCTAGATTCATTAAAAAGTACTTCTAGACCTACAAAAAGACTTAGAGAGCCAGACAATAATAGTAGGGTACTTCAACACCCCCGCTGATAGCATTAAACAAATCACCAAGGCAGAAAACTAGCAAAGAAATTCTGGACTTAAAACTACACTTGACCAATTGGACCTAACATCAATCTAGAGAATACTCTGTCCAAAATCACAGAATACACATTTTTCTTGTTTGCACGCAGAACATACTCTTAAGACCAACCACATCAGCCATAAAGCAAGCCTCATAAAATTAAAAAAGAATCAAAATCTGTCCAGGTGCGGTGGCTTACACCTGTAATCCCAGCACTTTGGGAGGCTGAGGTGGGTGGATCACATGAGGCCAGGAGTTTGAGAACAGTCTGGCCAACATGGCAAAACCCCATCTCTACTAAAAATACAAATATTAGCCAGGTGTGGTGGCACATGCCTGGAGCCCCCGCTACTTGGGAGGCTGAGGCACAAGAATCACTTGAACCCAGGAGGTGGAGGTTGCAGTGAGCCAAGATTGCACCACTGCACTCCATCCGGGGTTATAGAGTCTTCAAAAAAAAAAAAGAATCAAAATCATATGAAGCATACTCTCAGACCACAGTGGAATAAAAATGAAATCAATACCAAGAAGATCTCAAAAGCACACCATTACATGGAAATTAAATAACTGCTCCTGAATGACTTTTGGGCAGATAATGAAATTAAGGCAGAAATAAAACAAATTCTTTGAAATTAATGAAAACAGAGATACAACATACCAAAATCTCTAGGATGCAGCAAAAGCAGTTTAAGAGGAAAAATTGTAGTGCTAAGTGCCTACATTAAGAAGTTAGAAAGATCTCAAATTAATAATCTAACATCACACCTAGAGGAACTAGAGATACAAGAACAAACAAACCCCAAAGCTAGCAGAAGAAATCACTAAAGCCAGAGCAGAATGGAATGAAATTGAGACCAAAAATCCATAAAAAAGATCAACAAAAGCTTGAAAGCTTGAAACCTTGAAAGGAAACGTTGGTTCCTTGAAAGGATAAACATGACTGATGAACTTCAAAAGTAACCTTGGTTCCTTCAAAGGATAAACATGATTGATGAACCACTAGCTAGATTAACAAAGAGAAAAAAAAGATCCAAATAAGCACAATTAGAAATGACAAAGGTGACATTACAACTGATCCCACAGAAATACAAAAGATACTCAGAGACCATTATGAACAAATCTATGCACATCAATTAGAACATCTAGAGGAAATAGATAAATTCCTGGAAACACACAACCTCCCAAGATTGAATTGGAAATAAAATGAAACCCTGAACAGACCGATAATGAGTTCTGAAATTGAATTAGTAATAAAAGAAAAAAAAACATAACAACCAAAAAATTCCCTGGCCCAGATGGATTCACAATCAAATTCTACCAGACATACAAATCCTCAACAAACTAGGCATTGAAGGAACATACCTCAAAATACTAAGAGCCATCACTGATGAACTCACAGCCAACATCATACTGAATAGGCAAAAGTGGGAAGCATTCCCCTTGAGAACTGGATCAAGACAAGTGTGCCCACTCTCACCACTCCTACTCAACATAGTACCAGAAGTCCTAGCCAGAGCAATCAGGCAAGATAAATAAATAAAAGGCACTCAAATAGGAAAAGAAGAGGCCAAACTATCTCTCTTCATGGATGATATAATTCTGTATCTAGGAAACCCTAAACTGGAAGACAGCTAGAACTCATAAACAACTTCATTAAAGTTTCAAGATACAAAATCAATGTACAAAAGTCAGTAGCATTTCTATACACCAATAACGTTCAAACTGAGAGCCAAATCAGGAATACAATCCCAACTATAATAGCCACAAAAATATTTTAAAATCTAGGAATACACTTAGTAAAGGAGGTGAAAGATCTCTACAAGGAGAAACACAAAACACTGCTGAAAGAAATCATAGATGATACAAACAAATGGAAAAACATCCATGCTTTTGGATTGGAAGAATCAATATTGTTAAAGCAGTCTACAGATTTAACACTATTCCTATCAAACTACCAACATCATTTTTCACATAATTAGGGAAAAAAAAACTATTGTAACCCAAATGGAGGCTGAATAGCCAAAGTAATCCTAAGCCAAAAGAACAAAGCCAGAGGCATCACTTTACCTGATTTCAAACTATATTACAAGGCTACAGTAATCAAAACAACATGGTACTGGTATTAAAACAGATACATAGACCAATAGAACAGAACAGAGAACCTAGAAATAAAGCCACACATCTGCAATCATCTGATCTTTGACAGGTGACAAAAATAAGCAATGGGGAAAGGACTCCCTATTCAATAATTGGTGCTGGGATAAATGGCTAGCCTATGCAGAAGAATGAAACTGGACCCCTACATTTCACCATATACAAAAATGAACTCAAGATGAACTAAGAACTTAAATGTAAGACCTCAAACTATAGAACTCCTATAAGAAAACCTGGGAAATACCCTTCTTGATGATGGCTTTGGGAAAGAATTTATGGTTAAGTCCTCAAAAGCAATTACAACAAAAACAAAACTCGGCAAATGGGACCTAATTAAACTAAAGAGCTTCTGCACAGCGAAAGAAACTATTAACAGAGTAAACAGACAACAGAATGGGAGAAAGTATTCACAAACTGTGCATCTGGCAAAGGTCTAATATCCAGGATCTATAAGGAAGTTAAGCAAACCAACAAATAAAACACAAATAACCCCATTAAAAAGTGGGCAAAGGACATGAACAGACACTTCTCAAAAGAAGATTTACAAGCAACTAACAAACATATGAAAAAATGCTCATCATCACTAATCATCAGAGAAATGCAAATCAAAACCACAGTAAGATACCATCTCACACTATGGCTATTTAAAACTTTTAAAAATAAATGCTGGCAAGGCTGTGGAGAAAAGGGAATGCTTATACACTGTTGGTGGGAATGTAAATTAGCTCAGTCACTAGGGAAAGCAGTTTGGAGATTTCACAAAGAACCAAAAATAGAACTACCATTCAACCCAGCAGTCCCATTACTGGATATACACCCAAAGGAAAATAAATCATTCTGCCAAAAAGACACATGCACCCATATGTTCATCACAGCACTTTTCACAATAGCAAAAACATGGAATCAATCTAGGTGCCCATTAATGGTGGACTGGATAAGTAAAATGTGGTGCATCATCAAAAAGCTTATCCACCACGATCAAGTCGGCTTCATACCTGGGATGCAAGGCTGGTTCAACATACGCAAATCAATAAACATAATCCATCATATAAACAGAACCAACAACAAAAGCCACATGATTATCTCAATAGATGCAGGAAAGACCTTCGACAAAATTCAACAGCCTTTCATGCTAAAAACTCTCAATAAACTAGGTATTGATGGAACGTATCTCAATATAATAAGAGCTATTTTTGACAAACCCACAGACAATATCATACTGAATGGCCAAAAACTGGAAGCATTCCCTTTGAAAACCGGCACAAGACAAGGATGCCCTGTCTCACTACTCCTATTCAACGTCGTATTGGAAGTTCTGGCCAGGGCAATCAGGCAAGAGAAAGAAATAAAGGTATTCATATAGGAAGAGAGGAAGTCAAATTGTCTCTGTTTGCAGATGACATGATTGTATATTTAGAAAACCCCATCATCTCAGCCCAAAATCTCCTTAAGCTGATAAGCAATTTCAGCAGTCTCGGGATACAAAATCAATGTGCAAAAATCACAAGCATTCCTATACACCCATAACAGACAAACAGAGAGCCAAATCATGAGTGAACTCCCATTCACAGTTGCTACTAAGAGAATCAAATACCTAGGAATCCAACTTACAAGGGATGTGAAGGACCTCTTCAAGGAGAACTACAAACGACTGCTCAAGGAAATAAGAGAGGACATAAACAAATGGAAAAACATTCCATACTCATGGATAGGAAGAATCAATATTGTGAAAATGGCCTTAGTGCCCAAAATATTTTATAGATTCAATGCTATCCCCATCAAGCTACCAATGACTTTCTTCACAGAATTAGAAAAAAACTTCTTTACATTTCATATGGAACCAAAAAAGAGCCCGCATAGCCAAGACAATCCTGGGCAAGAAGAACAAAGCTGGAGGCATCATGTTACCTGACTTCAAACTTTACTACAAGTCTACAGTAACCAAAACAGCATGGTACTGGTACCAAAACAGAGATATAGACCAATGGAACAGAACGGAGGCCTCAGAAATAACACCACACATCTACCACAATCTGATCTCTGACAAACCTGACAAAAACAAGAAATAGGGAAAGGATTCCCTGTTTAATAAATGGTGTTGGGAAAACTGGCTAGCTATATGCAGAAAACTGAAACTGGACCCCTTCCTTACACCTTATACAAAAATCAACTCAAGATGGATCAAAGACTTAAATGTAAGACCTAGGACCATAAAAAATCCTAGAAGAAAACCTAGGCAATACCATTCAGGACATAGGCATGGGCAAAGCCTTCATGACTAAAACACCAAAAGCAATGGCAACAAAAGCCAAAATTGACAAATAGGATCTAATTAAACTAAAGAGCTTCTGAACAGCAAAAGAAACTATCATCAGAGTGGACAGGCAACCTACAGAATGGGAGAAAACTTTTGCAATCTATCCATCTGACAAAGGGCTAATATCCAGAATCTACAAAGAGCTTAAACAAATTTACAAGAAAAAAGCAAACAACCCCATCAAAAAATGTGCAAAGGAAATGAACAGACACTTCTCAAAAGAAGACATTTATGCAGTCAACAGACATATGAAAAAATGCTCATCATCACTGGTCATTAGAGAAATGCAAATCAAAACCACAGTGAGATACCATCTCATGCCAATTAGAATGGCAGTCATTAAAAAGTCAGGAAACAACAGATGCTGGAGAGGTTGTGGAAAAATAGGAATGCTTTTACACTGTTGGTGGGAGTATAAATTAGTTCAACCATTGTGGAAGACAGTGTGGCGATTCCTCAGGGATCTAGAACTAGAAATACCATTTGACCCAGCAATCCTATTACTAGGCATATATACCCAAAGGATTATAAATCATTCTACGATAAAGACACATGCACACGTATGTTTATTGCGGCACTATTCACAATAGCAAAGACTTGGAACCAACCCAAATGTCCATCAATGATAGACTAGATTAAGAAAATGTGGCATATAGCTGGGCACGGTGGCTCACACCTGTAATCCCAGCATATTGGGAGGCTGAGGTGGGCAGATCACGAGGTCAGGAGATCAAGACCATCCTGGCTAACATGGTGAAACCCTGTCTCTACTCAAAATACAAAAAATTAGCCGGGCGTGGTGGTGGGTGCCTGTAGTCCCAGCTATGTTGGGAGGCTGAGGCAGGAGAATGGCATGAACCCGGGAGGCGGAGCTTGCGGTGAGCTGAGATCGAGCCACTGTACTCCAGCCTGGGTGACAGAATGAGACTCCGTCTCAAAAAAAAAAAAAGAAAGAAAATGTGGCATATATACACCATGGAATACTATGCAGCCATAAAAAAGAATGAGTTCATGTCCTTTGTGGGAACACGCATGAAGCTGAAAACCATCATTCTCAGCAAACTATCACAAGATCAGAAAACCAAACACCACATGTTTTCACTTATTAAGTGGGAGTTGAACAATGAGAACACATGGACACAGGGAGGGGAACATCACACACCGGGGCCTGTAGGGGGTGGGGGGCTAGGGGAGGGATAACATTAGGAGGAATACCTAATGTAGGTGATGGGTTGATGGGTGCAGCAAACCACCGTGGCACGTGTATACCTATGTAACAAAACTGCACATTCTGCACATGTAACCCATAACTTAAAGTATAATATAAAGAAAAGAAAGAAAATATGGTGCATATACACCATGGAATACTATGCAGCTATAAAAAAAGAACAAAATCATGTCCTTTGCTGCAACATGGATGCAGCTGGAGGCCATAATTCTAAGAGAACTGATGCAGAAAGAGAAAACCAAATACTGCATGTTCTCACTTATAAGTAAGAGCTAAATATTGGGTACACATGGACATAAAGATGGGAACAAGAGACAGATTATAAGTGGGGTGAAGTAGGGAGGAGCGCAAGGGTTGAAAAACTACCTATTGGGTACTATGCTCACTACCTAGATGATGGGTTCAATTGTACTCCAAACCTCAGCATCATGCAATGTACCCTTGTACAAGTCTGCACAAGTACCCACTGAATCTAAAATAAAAGTTGAAAAAAAAAAAAACATTAGGTTAATTAAGAAGAGAATGGAGAAAGGCAGAGGGCAGGTCTTAGCATGGTAGAAAATTTTAAACAGCAATTAAGAAATAAGGTGCTTGGCCAGGTGCAGTGGCTCACGCCTGTAATCCCAGCACTTTGGGAGGCCGAGGTGAGCAGATCACCTGAGGTCAGGCGTTCGAGACCAGCCTGGCCAACATGGTGAAACCCCATCTCTACTAAAAATACAAAAAAAAAAAAAAAAGAAAGAAAAAGAAAACATCTGGGCGTGGTGGTGGCACATGCCTATAGTCCTGGCTACCTGGGAGGCTGAGGCAGGAGAATCACTTGAACCTGGGAGATGGAGGTTGAAGTGAACCGAGATCACGCCATTGGACTCCAGCCTGGGCAACAAGAGTGAAATTCTGTCTCAAAAAAAAAAAAAAAAACAAAAAAGAAGAAGAAGAAGAAAGAAAGAAGGTATGTAAAGCAAATATTGACAGAAGCAAAAAAAGAAGAAAAAGAAAGAGGAGTCATGGGACTTGTCCCAGCAGGGTGGAAAGCTTTAGATGGTTATTAAGAAGTGGGATGAATAAAATGGATATTGATGGATTAAAACAAAGGATTTAACACAGCACTACCAAAGGTTGAGCAGGCCCAAGGGAACCCCTGCTGGTCCCTCAACATTAAAGGGTTCCAAATAAGCCTGCTCTATTTACTCCAGTTTGGAGAAATTTAAAAAGCCAAAGGCAAAGTTTATCATGAGAAACCTGACCAGCAATCACTGTGACAGTTGTTAGCAGGTTCATCAAGATGAAGATTGACAAAAGGGTCACAGTCCCTTGGCTCTACCCCTTCTCAGTGGAGACCCAAAGCCTTATGCACATCAGTAGGTAAAATGGTCAGCGGTGGGGGCAGTGTGGAGAAAAGATTACTGGGACTCAATACAGGAGCCCCCAGCACTGTGGTACCAAAACCCATTGATGAAGCCCTGAGGCAGGCTGCAGTTAGAATGAGGGAACCGTAAAAGGTAAGGGTTTATAGGATCATGAAAGGTGGAATGTTTAAACAGACTTTAGGTAAAGCTGTGTGTCCTTTACCTGAATGTTTTATGGGAATGGATATTACATCCGGCTGGGGAACACTTTTTTGAGATGGAGTCTCGCCTTGTTGCCCAGGCTGGAGTGCAGTTGCACGATCTCGGCTCATTGCAACGTCTGCTTCCCGGGTTCAAATGATTCTCCTGCCTCAGCCTCCCCAGTAGCTGGGATTACAGGTGTGCACCACCACGCCCAGCTAATTTTTGTATTTTTAGTAGAGACGGGGTTTCACCATATTGGCCAGGCTAATCTCAAACTATTGACCTCAGGTGATCCACCCACCGCAACCTCCCAAAGTGCTGGGATTACAGGCGTGAGCCACGAAGTCCGGCCTAACACTTCTTAATACCTAGTATTGTAACACCAAAACCTGTTAATTAAGTCCTAATGGAGGCCGCAGTTAGGGATGTAGTGGTTGATGGAATTAAAGTCTGTAGGCGAATTGGTGTTTTTCAGCAGGCTTCGTGAGAAGTGCTTGCGTGCGTCTCTTACCTGATTGTATTATGGGAATGGACATTGTGTCTGCGTGGGGAATGTTTCCCCTACCTAGCATTGTAAAACAGAAGCGCGCAGCACTTCAATCATCAGTGTGGAGAGCGTTCTTAGAGGTCACCGGTGTGGAAGCTGAGGCTTCCTCACCTTGCTTCCCCTGCACCACACTGCAGAGGCCAACACCTATTTCTTATTAGGTCACAGTTCTCTCAGCAGGTGAGGCATTAATGGCCAAGAAAAAGAAAGGATGAGAATACAATCATGAATAAGTCTAGCAAGGGAAATATTTTTAGGTGTTTTTATTATTTTTTATTTTTTATTTTTTATTTTTTTGCTCTGGAAACTGTTAGTCCAAACTGCACCATTTTGTAACCCCCCAGCCATTTCGCAGACCTCGGTCAAAGTGAAACATTCCACAGGGGTTCGGGCTGTGACAAACAGCCTGCCCAACCGCTTGACTCTCTTATTATATTCTGCTGGAAGAAAGTGTAAGGAACCTCACACTGCACTGGAACAGGCACCAAACTGCCTAATCATGGGAACATGTTATCAACATTTTCCCAGGCAGCAGGCCATGCCCCCTGTTCCAGACCCCTCCCACCTAGCCTATAATTGCCCCAGCCTGTAAGTGGCGATGGCCATTGGCATTAAGCTGCAGGTCTTATGCTGGACATAAAGCCGGCATTTGCTGTAAAGCCACCACTCTCTCTCTTTGTGTCTTTCTTTAACCCTAGCCTTCCCTTCAAAACCCAACAAAAACTATTTATAAGACAATTTTTCTTCATCCTCCAGTAAGAACCTAATTTTTTGTTTGTTTGTTTTGGTTTGGTTTTGGAGTTTTTTGTTTGTTTGAGACAAGGTTTTACTTTGTTGTCCAGGCTGAAGTGAAGTGGTGCAATCATGACTCACTGCAGCCTCGATCTCCCCGGGCTCAGGTGATTCTCCCCCTTCAACCTCCTAAGTAGCTGGGATTGCAGGCGTGTGCTACCATGCTTGGGTAATTTTTGTATTTTTTGTAGAGATAGGGTTTTGCCATGTTGCCCAGACTGATCTTGAACTCCTGGGCTCAAGCAATCCTCCTGTGTTGGCCTCCCAAAGTGCTGTGATTACAGGCGTGAGCCACCATGCCTGGCCTAAGAACCTAGTTTTTGGACAACTATGAAAGTGCTGTTTTACATAATAGGATGTAGACATGTAATAATTCATAACACCTGAAGGGGGCACAGGCAAAAAATATAAAGAAAATTGAGAATGACTGGATATCATATCTAATGGTGCCACATTTGTGTCTAACATCTTTGACATTGTTCTCAGCAAATCCCTGGGAATCAGCTGTTGAGCTAGATGGAGATGGGAAGAGGATAAAGACTGAGATAGATGGCTGGGCACAGTGGCTCACGCCTGTAATCCCAGCACTTTGGGAGGCCAAGGAGGATGGATCACCTGAGGTCAGGAGATCGAGAACAGCCTGACCAACATGGAGAAACCCTGTCTCTACTAAAAATACAAAAAAAAAAAAATTAGCCGGGCGTGGTGGTGCATGCCTGTAATCCCAGCTACTTGGGATGCTGAGGCAGGAGAATCGCTTGAACCCGGGAGGCAGAGGTTGTGGTGAGCCAAGTTTGCGCCATTGCACTCCAGCCTAGGCAACAAGAGCGAAATTCCATCAAAAAAAAAAAAAGACTTGGATAGTTGTATTATATCTATTAATTCTAACAGGTTGTGGAGAAGCTTGGCATGAAAATCATGAGGCATAATGAAGTTTGTGTGTTATTTCCAGATTGTTCTTACCATGTTGTTAAGTCATAGATGAAAACAAGCAATGTTTGAAGGATAGTCCCAACCTCCAGGTGTACCTAATCCTGATGAAGCCGATGCTGTTAGCACCCTCCCATATCCCTGGGCCTTTTAGAATTTTCAGTTGATTTCCAACTGTCAGTATTTGTACCTCTGTACCTGCAGCCCCTTTTCCTTGGAAATATGTGTTGCTTATTTGCAAGGCAAACCGGAGTAGCAAAGAATTAACACCCCCCAAAGCCCTACAGGCAGATCCCTCAACCAACGGCTCTCAGGAGTTGATGTATAAATGCCCCAGCTCCTTGTACCTTGGGCAGAATAATTCTGTGGTGTGGGTTTTGCACCATTCCTAGAAGTTTTCTTGCAAGGTTGAGCTCAGGTGCCCACTGTGGTAGCTGGCTCGGTGACACGTTTTATTGGCTGTCCTACTGTCCCTGTATCATCCAGCCACCTCATACGAGCGTTCCAAAATAAACTACCCACACTGGAAACCTTGCCTCAAGTTCTGCTTCTGGGGAACCAAACTAAGACAACTTGAATGTGAGGTCTCCCATGGGACATCTCTTGCATCCTAGTCATAAAGAGAACACTGGGGGAATACATTCAGGGAACACGTGAGCGTACTATTTCTTGTTTTTCAAATTACCTGAAAGTGATCTCATCTAGATGTACTTTATTGTTGAAGTAGTGACATTGAAGGGGCTAGTGATTAGATGAAATTCATGCATGTGAGGGAAAGCCCAAAATAAATCATTCCTGAGCAAAGTGAACATCTGAAGAGCATCCTGGATGGCCCACATGCAGGGAGGATAATAAAAATATTTAACACCTGGTACAGCATGGGCCTCAACCAGTCATAGAAGCTGCTGGCCTACCTGCTAAGGGCCTGCCACACAAACTGACCATTGGCCCTGCCCAGTGAAACAAGGATTCCTGGTGCTGCCTGGGTCAAATATTCAGGCTGGGTTGAGAGGTCAGTGGGCAAAGAAGGATTTACTTGGCTTTCTCCAAGAGGGCTCAGAGGCAGGTGTGTATGATTTTGATTCCTTCTCAGAAACAGAAGTGATGGACTGAAACATTCATTGAACATCTCCAAAGGGAGTTAAAGGCCCAGCAGGGCCACAGTGTCACACGTCCACTTTACACTCCAACGTGTTATCACTTGTGTCCTCTCCTGACTATGGAAGTAAAGGCCACAAACAGCACACAGTTTCCTTCCAGAGAGTTGTCTCTTCTCCATTGTAGGTAGTGTGAGCAAGACCAAGGTAGCAAAATAGCCAAAGGGTAGGTTTGTATGTGACCCAAGATAAATAGCTCCGAACCTCTCCTGGCACTATGAAAGTGACGCAGAATGAAGACATAATCAGAAACAGGTGTTTGGAGTACATATATGAGGATACTGGTGAGGGTGCTAATTCATTTGCTTACTATGGATGCTGTAAAGTATGGTTAACCCATTCCTGCTACCCAGACCCCAGAGTTGCCTGGTGTCTCTTCATCTCCTTGACCTTCTTAGTTTGTTCTGTTAGCCTTCCAGTAATTTCTTTTTAATGCTTAAAATTTCTATAAGTGGTTACTTTTGCTTGCAACCAAAGAACCATAATTGATTTGGGTCCTACATGCTTATCTTCAGCCATGTTTTGTGAGGGATGGACCCCGTGAAAGAAAGCGTGTGGCAGCAACTGCTGAAAATAAGAAAAGCCAGTCCCTGGATCTTCACAGACAAAAGAAAACACAGGAGGTTGCTGTGGGTTTGAAGGACTTGGTGTATCTAACTTGAATGACAGCTTCACCTCAGTTGGCTCTCAGTTTCCCATGAAGCTAGAATTCCATCCCTATTTCTTCCATTGTCCCATGGATTGGCTGGCTTACGAGTCAGGAACTTCTCATAAGCAAAGCCTGAGGGCTCTGGGCAGATACTGGAAAAAAGACAAAGGCTCGGGTAAGGCTTACTTAACTTGTTAGCAATTCTGGTAGACAGGGAGTAGGTGGGCATTGGAATCACAGGCTAAAATGAAGCCTGGCTGGAATACCTAGGGACCATTTGCCATGATATTCACATTTACTGCAAAGTAATTATATATATGTCTATGTCCGTTTCCTAGGAACCATATTGTGAACTGGATGGATTTCTTTTATTTTTCTTTCCTTTTTTCAATGCTTATTTTCATTCAGAAAATTGGGAAATGAATTTTCTTTCATGATTTTAATCATTTCTTTGCCAGTGTTGTATACAACACATTCACGTAAAACTCTCAAAGGCGGCCATCTGAGCACTCTGCCAACCTGGCCCACCCACAGAGCTTTGCCTAGAAGCTTTGTCTTTTATAGAACTTAGCTCGAGCAATGATATCATTGACGAAGTCATTGTCTATGTCCGATGGGGTGGCAATCGCTTCAATTCCTGACTTAAAAGCTGAGAGACCACCTGAAATGAAACACAGAGAATTAGGCTCAAATATTAACTTTCAACAGAAATAAGCAATGAGCATTGCCAAGATGTTAGCTTTCCAGGCAAATCTTCCAAAGCAGGCAGTCCCAAATCCTCCTCCCTCTCCCTCCCTTTCTGAAAGGACGTGCTATCCCAAGAATCACTGGGAAAATTCCAGATTGCTTTCTTTCTCTTTTTCCAAAGTCTTTGGTTTTTCTTGTTGCAAAAATCAGATTTGCTTTTTTATGTAATCCAGGCCTGGCAGAACTAGACTCCCAGTACATCCTCTGCTGAAAATGCTTGTAACATTCTCTCATTTATTCAATAATTCACTCATCTATTCACTCACTCATTTATTCATTCAGGAAATGTTTTCAAGCACCTACTATGTGCCAGGAGAGGTGCCACACTGACTGCAAGGTACCCAAGACACACTTATTTCTTTGGGTATGTGTACATATGCATGTGTGTGCTATTTTACCCTAGAATTTTATCTCTAGTAGTTATGTATGTGTTTAACATAATTGTGCTCTGCTCTGATATCCAGAGAGGAAGATGCCTGGTCCTGATCCCTGCCTTCAAGGACCTTGAAGTAGAGACTAGAAACTGTTCTGATTAAGGCCGTTAGAGTGTGGAGGACATAACATTGGCCAATAGGAGGCAAACCTAATAGGAATTGATGTGGTTGGGTGTGAAGAGAGAAGGAACCAGAGAGCCTAAGAAAGCAATCTGGTTTTCAGGCTGGGATGACTGGCTATATTATGGTGCCTCCAAGACATGTAAAATGCAGAAGAAAGAGCAAATTTATAGTGGGAAGTTAGTGAGTTAATTCCATCTGGGAGATGCTGAACTTGAGGGGGCCTGTGGTCAGCCAAGCAGAGATTTCCACTTGGATATATAGCACCTGAAGTCCCGAAAATACTCACAGAGTAACATTGTTCAGACAATTTGGAAAGTTGTTGACAGTTTCTTATAACAGGAAAAAACCTATGAGAGGTAGGCAAACAGATAGATAGATAGATAGATAGATAGATAGATAGATAGATAGATAGATAAATTTTTTTTTGAGAGATGGGGTCTCACTCTGTCTCCCAGGCTGGAGTGCAGTGATGTAATCAATGCTCACTGCAGCCTTAACCTCCCAGGCACAAGCAATCCTCCTGGCTTAGCCTCCTGAGTAGCTGGGACTGTGTGTCACCATGCCCAGCTTTTTTTTTTTTTTTTTTTTTTTTTGTAGAGACAGGGTCTCACTATGTTTCAAGGTATCACTCAATAGCTCAGTAAGCAATGAATAAGAACCCCAACATTCTGCAGAAGAGGAAATGGAGGTTGAGGATGGAGGACCTCTCAAAGTAACTCAGTGGTTCAGGGAATGCAAATGCAGCCTCTAGACAGCTCCTCCCAGGGCCACTGCTGACCCCGTGGAAATGCTCCCAGGGAGTCTCGGGTCACACTGGCCTTCAGTGGTCTCATTCATTGCTCATTTAAACAAAGTACTCAGAATACAGCCTACCTTTGAGGTGCTGAGCAACACTCCACGTGGGGAATTTTTTCTGGATTGCCTTAATTCTCTCTGTTAGAATCCCAGTAGCCTGTGAAAGGTGCTCTTTGCTATCCCAGGCACCGACAGGGTGGTACGTTTGTTTATCAAGCTAGAAAATTCAGATAATAAAGTCAGCATCTGGATGAGGTAACACATTTTTTCTGCCATTCCTAATTTCCTCTCCTGGTATTCAAGTCATAGATACCGGCCTTTATCCCCAAAGAGTCAATTCTATTGTTCTTTCTTTCATATAGATGAGAGTCAGAGAAACAAAGTAAGGTTTGGGAGAAATGGACATGGTATAGTTTTAGCTAAACATTCTAATATACAAAAAAAAAATTTAAGTTGTTTTGAAACAAATAACACCCAAAGTCTACACATTTATAGTAATAAATAATTATCCAGCTAATTCAGATAAAAATTTGTTTCTAACTGGGAAGGCCAGAAGTCTGTATTTCTACAGACAATTTAAAATCGAGCCTGGAAGCAAATATCCAGATAATTTGGATCCCCTTCCTCCAGTTTACCCAAAGGAACAAGTTGTTTCAAGTAGGGCACAGTTATACCATGTTTTGATCCACATGGATGAAATTTACTACTTCATGAACCCCAAGAGGACACCTGTAACAATAATGCTATTTATAAGATTTTCTCAGTTTTAGTGTATTACATATTATTTATTGCAGAATGGTAGTTATGAAACTCCTAAAATACTTTTTAAAATATATCTAATAATGAATAAGCCTTGAATAAAATAAAAAGATGTGTTACAGAAATCCCAGATCAAATTATGCTGGAGTGGCCGGGCACAGTGGCTCAAGCTTGTAATCCCAGCACTTTGGGAGACTGAGGTGGGTGGATCACCTGAGGTCAGGAGTTCAAGACCAGCCTGGCCAACAAGGTGAAATCCCGTCTCTACTAAAAATACAAAAAATTAGCTGGGCATGGTGGCGTGTGCCTGTAATCCCAGCTACTCAGGAGGCTGAGGGAGGAGAATCACTTGAACCCGGGAGTGGAGGTTGCAGTGAGCCGAGATCACGCCATTGCACTCCAGCCTGGGTAACAAGAATGAAACTCCATCTCAAAAAAAAAAAAAAAATTATGCTGGAGTACCTGTAGCCAGATGCCAGGGTATTTTGGGGCTTGGAAGCACTGCAAATGGATTTCTAGTTCAGGTTGAGCTTCTGTGAGGAGGGATGCAGTGGGGCTGATAGAAAGTTTCTAGCTAAATACCTGCATCAAGCCAAATTTAAGTCCCCTGTGGTCCCAGCCGTCTTGCAGGACAGATCCGCCATGGCTTTCCCTGGAGATGATGGCTGCGATGACAGCAGGGTCCACGCAATGTCTCTGCCCGACTTCTTTGATCAGAGTCTGGTAAGGTTTTATGGCCCTCAAATCCATCTCAGCAAACATTTCAGAACCACGGATCCCTACGTCAATAGAAAAGAAACTGTTTTTCCGGGCATGGTAGTGTGTGCCTGAAGTCAGTTCCTGCTACACAGGAGGCTGAAACAGGAGGATTGCTTGAACCCAGGAGGAGTTCGAAACCAGCCTGGGCATCATAGTGAGAGCCCATCTCTAATTAAAAAAAAAAAAAAAAAGAATTTAAAGTTAAAAAAAGAAAAGAAACTGTTTCTTCTACTTCAGAAGAAAACCATTTTTAAAAATTTGCTAAGTTAGCCACAGCCTCTGATCACTGCTAATGACTTGGGACAACCATTCTAAGACATCCTTTTGATCTCTGACTGCAGAAACAAACAGATCCACAACCCCCAACAGGTGTCGCTTCTGCTCTGTTTCTCCTTCAAATTGCTCATGCCTGTAATCCCAGCACTTTGGGAGGCCGAGGTGGACAGATCACTTGAGGTCAGGAGCTCAAGACTAGCCTGGCCAACATGGTGAAACCCCATCTCTACTAAAAATACAAAAATTAGCTGGACTTGGTGGCAGGCACCTGTAACCCCAGCTACTCAGGAGACTGAGGCAGGAGAATCGCTTGAACCTGGGAGGTGGAGATTGTAGTGAGCCGAGATCATGCCATCGCACTCCAGCCTGGGTGACAAAGCAAGACTCTGTCATACACACAAAAAAAATTCTGCCACACTAGTGCACTGGGAAGCCTGTTGTACTAGGAGTTAGCCAATGCATGTTTTAGCCTGGCTCCGCCACTAGTTGGTTCTGTTCTATTGGGAAGTATTCCCCTCCTTGCTGAGTCTTTGGGCTCTGATTTGTAAATTTGAGGGGTTGGGGTCTGATGTGACCTTGTGGTTGCTGCCAGCTCCGACACTCTAAAACCAGGATAACGTGATGAAGACGACTTTGGAACAGTATTGCTTCAAATGGTCATGTGTAACATGAAGCAAACACAGCAGCACCACCCAAAAAACAAAGCCAGAGTCTAATATTTATTCAAGCAGTAGTTTCAATACATGGAAATAAACACAGCTGGACAAAGTTTGGAAAGAATGGGGGTGGAAAATGAAAAGAAGCTGGTTGTTAGATTGGTCAGGATTGTGGTTTTTGCTCATTTTTAATTTTGATACTATTGTCATAATGATGATTATACCTTTTCAAAATTAAGTGACTTCCTAAGAAAGAATCTGAAAACGATGAAAGGGGGAAGCCAGTCATTTGCTCTGCTTTTCACTTACCGCAGTTCATCACACTGTTTGCATCACAAGTGGCCCCAGAGGTCTTCATGGTCATGATGTCCCCATAGCAGCCGTGGTACAGGCGTGGATGTAGGTGAGGCTTCATTGAGTGACTGAAGGGGTATGAGCCCCTGGAAGTGCCTAGGAGGCAGAAGTGTAACTCACATGAATCCTCTGAGAAGATATTACTTGGGTTGCTGCAATAAACATCACTAAACCAAAGGCAGAAGGCCACAGACAGAACTCCCCAACTCTCTTGTTGCCATTATTTGTTCCTCAGACAGAAGTTCCCCATGCCCACTCTGCTCCGATCTTTTGTTTTGTTTTGTATTAACACAGGACGTAATCTGAAAACTCTATGCAAAATATTATGAAATTCATCTCTTATAGATCCTAAATACATGTGCAGTCTTTTTTTTTCCTTTTTTTAAGAGACAAGGTCTTGCTCTGTTGTCCAGGCTGGAGTGCAGTGGCATGATCATAGCTCGCTGCAGGCACCAACACCTGGGCTCAAACTATCCTCCCACCCCAGCCTCCTGAGTAGCTGGAACCACAGGTGCATATCACCAGGACTGGCTTATTTTCTCTTTTTGTAGAGATGGGGTTTTGCTATGTTGCCCAAGCTAGTCTCAAACTCCTGTGCTCAAGCGATCCTCTCTCCTTGGCCTCCCAAAGTGCTGGGATTACAGGCACTGTAGTCATACCATGCTCTATGTCAGAATTAAAACTGACAGGTTTTTAAGCAGGAAACTTGAGAGTTTTTTTTTTTTTTTTAAGATTCAGGGGGTACATGTGCAGGTTTGTTACGTGGGCATATTGTGTGATGCTGAGGATTGGCCTTCTATTGATCCTTCACCCAAATAGTGAACACAGTACCTGATGTGTAGTTTTCAACCCTTGCCTCCCTACCTTCCTCCCTCCCTCCTTCCTTTTACAGTCCCCAGTGTCTATTGTTTTGAGAGGAATTTTAAAACATTTCTGACACAAATGCCTCTGGAGATGTGAACATCTAGATTAACAATTTGCCTTTCTTAAGCCAAAATTGACAAATGGGGTCTAATTAAACTAAAGAGCTTCTGCACAGCAAAAGAAACTACCATCAGAGTGAACAGGCAACCTACAAAATGGGAGAAAATTTTCGCAACCTACTCATCTGACAAAGGGCTAATATCCAGAATCTACAATGAACTCAAACAAATTTACAAGAAAAAAACAAACAACCCCATCAAAAAGTGGGCGAAGTACATGAACAGACACTTCTCAAAAGAAGACATTTATGCAGCCAAAAAACACATGAAAAAATGCTCACCATCACTGGCTATCAGAAAAATGCAAATCAAAACCACAATGAGATACCATCTCACACCAGTTAGAATGGCAA
The DNA here is from genome assembly GCF_000001405.40 of Homo sapiens. Lineage (NCBI taxonomy): Eukaryota > Metazoa > Chordata > Mammalia > Primates > Hominidae > Homo > Homo sapiens. The sequence goes on from NC_000002.12 coordinate 99,248,061, forward strand.
TCATTAAAAAGTCAGGCAACAACAGGTGCTGGAGAGGATGTGGAGAAATAGGAACACTTTTACACTGTTGGTGGGACTGTAAACTAGTTCAACCATTGTGGAAGTCAGTGTGGCGATTCCTCAGGGATCTAGAACTAGAAATACCATTTGACCCTGCCATCCCATTACTGGGTATATACCCAAAGGACTATAAATCATGCTGCTATAAAGACACATGCACACGTATGTTTATTGCGGCACTATTCACAATAGCAAAAACTTGGAACCAACCCAAATGTCCAACAATGATAGACTGGATTAAGAAAATGTGGCACATATACACCATGGAATACTATGCAGCCATAAAAAATGATGACTTCATGTCCTTTGTAGGGACATGGATGAAATTGGAAATCATCATTCTCAGTAAACTATCACCAAGGACAAAAAACCAAACACCACATGTTCTCACTCATAGGTGGGAATTGAACAATGAGAACACATGGACACAGGAAGGGGAACATCACACTCTGGGGACTGTTGTGGGGTGGAGGGAGGGGGGAGGGATAGCATTAGGAGATATACCTAATGCTAAATGACGAGTTAATGGGTGCAGCACACCAGCATGGCACATGTATACATATGTAACTAACCTGCACATTGTGCACATGTACCCTAAAACTTAAAGTATAATAATAATAAAATAAAATAAAATAAAATAAAAATAAATAAATAAAATTCAAAAAAAACCAATTTGCCTTTGTTTAGAAAGATAAGAAAGAAGGGCACCATAACAATTTAAATATATTCTTATTATATATCATTTACTGTGAAGTTGAGTTCCTATGTATATTTAATAAAATTAGAAGTAAAAATTGAATTTGCCAAAATAATTTAAGTCAAATCTATTCTTGTCTTTTTGTTCTGTCATTAAAAAGTGAATTTCTGTCCAAGTCTACCTGTTACAGGAGAGGCAGAGCTTTTGCTAAAGGAGATACAAAGTTATTTTCTGTAATGTTGAAAAGTTTGTTCTAACGGTTTCAAGGACTGTTAACTTGTACCTTAAGAGTCCAAATATTTGTTATAAGACAGTACTTAGGGCTGGATGTTGTGGCTTATGCCTAGAATCCCAGCACTTTGAGAGGCTGAGGCAGGACGATTGCTTGAGCGTAGGAGTTTGAGACCAGCCTATGCAACATGGCAAAACTCATTTCTACAAAAAATACAAAAATTAGCCTGGTGTAGTGGCACATGCCTGTAGTCCCAGTTGCATGGGAGACTGAGACAGGAAGATTGATTGAACCCGGGAGGTCGAGGCTGCAGTGAGCTTTGATGGTGCCACTGCACTCCAGCCTGGGCAACAGAACAAGACCCTGTCTCAAATCTCAAAAAAAAAAAAAAGGATTTTGTTAAAATGTTTGATGTAAAAAAAATAGAATCTGGTTGGGCGTGGTGGCTCACACCTGTAATCCCAGCACTTTGGGAGGCCAAGGCAGGCGGATCACCTGAGGTCGGGAGTTCAAGACCAGTCTGACCAACACGGAGAAACCCATCTCTACTAAAAATACAAAATTAGCCAGGCATGGTGGTGCATGCCTGTAATCCCAGCTACTCGGGAGGCTGAGGCAGAAGAATCGCTTGAACCCAGGAGGAGGAGGATGCAGTGAGCCGAGATCGCGCCATTGCACTCCAGCCTGGGCAAAAAGAGCGAAACTCTGTCTCAAAAAAAAAAAAAAAAAAAAAAAAGAATCTAACCACTTCTCCCACCTCTGCTTCTGCCATAGTCCCAGCCAGCATCATTGCTCATCTGGACTCTCCTAACAGCCTTCTAACTGACCTCCCTGATTCACTCTTGCAGCCCATCCTCTACTTAGTAGACGGAGTGGCCCTGTGGGAATATGCATGGGCTGCTATCAGTCTTCTCTCTTAACCTTCCAGTGGCTTTCTCCTCCTTTAGGGGAATAGCCAAGTCCATCCTGCAGCCTCCAAGACCTACTAGATGTGGCCCTCTGCTCCTGTTCCTACTTCTCTTTCCCTTTGTTCACTCTCCTCCAGCCACATTCTTCTTTGTGCTTATCCTTCAACATGCCAGGCAGGTTTCTGCCTCAAAGCCTGTATGTTTGTGGTCCCTTTTGCCTAGAATGCTATTCCTCCTGGTATCTACATGATCATGCCTTCAGGTCTCTGTCCAAATATCACCTTATCAGCAGAATATATAGCGAGTTTATAGACAAAAAAAGAAAATAGTCCTTAAACATATAAAAGACGTTAAACCACACTCAAAAGAAGAGAAAGGCCACATTAAAACATCATTATAACAGCATTTTCCAACTCTTTTTTTTTTTTTTTTTTTGAGACAGAGTCTTGCTCTGTCGCCCAGGCTGCAGTACAGTGGTGCGATCATGGCTCACTGCAAGCTCCGCCTCCTGGGTTCATGCCATTCTCCTGCCTCAGCCTCCCCAGCAGCTGGGACTACAGGCGCCTGCCATCACACCCGGCTAATTTTTTGTATTTTTAGTAGAGGCGGGGTTTCAGCATGTTAGCCAGGATGGTCTCGATCTGCTGACCTTGTGATCCGCCCACCTTGGCCTCCCAAAGTGCTGGGATTACAGGCGTGAGCCACCACGCCTGGCTGCATTTTCCAACTCTTTAGTTGGCAAGAGCCCAAAGGTTTGGCAATACCCTCTGTGGGAGAGGTTGTGAGGAAATAGGCTGTCACACACATTGCTGTGGAACACAGTTTTGTGATAGGCTGTTCATTCCAGCACTGTTGATAAGAGCAAAGGACTGCAAACAACACAAATGTCATTAATTTAGGGACTGGTTGAGTAAGTGATGCTACGTCCACAGTGGAGCACTATGCAGCTGCAAAAGGAAAGAATAAGACCTGTATATACTCCTGTAAAATTCTCTCCAGGGACAAAATAGTATTTATAGAATTGTACTCTTTGTGTAAGAAAGGTAAGAAAATACAATCGTATATTTTGTGTGATTTGCTCATATTTTCAAAAGAAACAATACAAGGATGAATGAAAAACTGATAAAAATTGTTAGTTATGGAGAGAGTAAGAGGAAGGTAAAGGGAACAGGGATAGGGGATAGACTAACTATCTTTTTTAAAGTTTTTATTTTGGAACCATGTAAATGTTATCATAAATTTTAAAATTAAATCAAATGGGGAAAAATGGAATCATAAAAAAGAAGAACAAATGAACATAACTCTATAACAAATTGAAAGATTAATAAACACATAGAGGAGAATTATCTTAAGTGACTTTAAAATATATCCATATAAGTCTATACCACTACATAGGAATCCATCCTGTGAACATAAATAATCACAAGAAAATCTTAAATTATATTTACTGTCTCATTGTTGGTTGGTAATACTGTCATACTTATTTTGACACTATTGTATGTAAATAAGTAATAATGCTAATGTCATTAGAACTAGGATTTTTAGTGTAAGATAGCAGAGGTACAAATATAAAACTGATGTAAAATGCTTGCATTCTTAAATATAAATGTGAAATATCTGAATGCATAGTTGTTTTCCTTTTAAAAATATATATTTTCTAGTTCCTGCCACTGAAAACACCTGAAATAAACGACAGCTCCATAGCAATGGAGCACTTTTACTTCCCACACTGTGGTCTCTAAATACCATTTCCTGCTAAGTGGAACCAGCGCTCCTCAGAATAATGGCTGATTGCCTGCCTGGGGCAGGAAATGTTCAAGATGAACCAGGAACATCTTTTTGTGCCAGAGCTGGTCCTTATATGTTAGAGACACATTAAAAAAAAAAATTTTTTTTTCCAGATGGAGTCTCACTCTGTCGCCCAGGCTGGAGTGCAGTGGCCATTCTCCTGCCTCAGCCTCCCAAGTAGCTGGGACTACAGGTGCCTGCCACCACACCTGGCTAATTTTTTGTATTTTTAGTAGAGATGGTGTATCACTGTGTTAGCCAGGATGGTCTCAATCTCCTGACCTCTTGATCCGCCTGCCTCGGCCTCCCAAAGTGCAGGGATTACAGGTGTGAGCCACCGTGCCCAGCCCAAAAATTTTTACAGGTGAAATGTTTTTATCTCACTGCAAGCTCCGCCTCCCAAGTTCATGCCATTCTCCTGCCTCAGCCTCCCAAGTAGCTGGGACTACAGGTGCCTGCCACCACACCTGGCTAATTTTTTGTATTTTTAGTAGAGATGGTGTATCACTGTGTTAGCCAGGATGGTCTCAATCTCCTGACCTCTTGATCCGCCTGCCTCGGCCTCCCAAAGTGCAGGGATTACAGGTGTGAGCCACCGTGCCCAGCCCAAAAATTTTTACAGGTGAAATGTTTTTATCTCCCTCCCTTCCTCTCACTCTTTCCCTCTCTCTTCCCTTTTTCCTCTCACTCTCTTACTGTTCGTTCCTCTCACTAGAAGATAAATTTCATTAGGTCAGATACTAGATGTTTTTCTCTGCTATATCCTCCTCAGCACCTGGAACAATGCTTGGCACAAAGTAGACATTTAATAAACATTTGCTGAATGGAAGAATGGATAGTTGGATGGATGAAGGAATGAGACAGAAAGGGATTGTTTAAATTATCTGGATCAAGTGTCCTTATATTGACAGGTTCAGTATCCTTTCACTGGGAGGCAGTCTTTGCCAGGCTCACTGTGTGGCCCACAGACCACAGGCATCAAAGTTACCCAGGAAGCTTATTAAAAATGCTTATCACTGGGCCGGGCGTGGTGGCTCACACCTATAATCCCAGCACTTTGGGAGGCCAAGGCGGACGGATCACGAGGTCAGGAGATCAAGACCATCCTGGGTAACACAGTGAAACCCTGTCTCTACTAAAAATACAAAAAAATTAGCTGGGCATGATGGTGGGCGCCTGTAGTCCCAGCTACTTGGGAGGCTGAGGCAGAAGAATGGTATGAACCCAGGAGGCAGAGCTTGCAGTGAGCTGAGATCGCACCACTGCACTCTCCAGCCTGGGCGACAGAGCAAGACTCTGTCTCAAAAAAAAAAAAAAAAAAAAAGGCTTATCACTGGGCTTTTCACACCAGATCTACTGCACCAAAATCTTGCAGTATAAGGCGAAAGAAGCTGCCTTTTACCCAGCATTCCCAGTTGACTCTTACACATGTTTATGAACCACTGCTTTAAGGGAACTGGAATATGACCATGGACCCTACGCTGCCTGTGTAGGCCTTATAAACACACAAGCCCTTTTTAAATTAAGAGTCACCTTTCAGCTATACACAGCTAATATGGTAGCTCATAATTAATCTACTGGCTATTTAACTCTGCTCTCACCTGGCAATCTAAAAAGAGTAAAAATTTAAAACTATGTTGCCCTGTTTTGACCATAAGTAACTGGAAATTACTTTCGGGTAGCCTTGTTTTTCCAAATTTAGAATTAAACATTTTAGAAACACTTTCCTTTCAGTCACCATTCTATAATTAAAGACAACTTGAACATTGCTCATAATGGCTTTTCATTTTGCTTAGGTCAGAGTTTTCACATTCTCTTATTCAAGATCCCTTACCAACTTACCAACCTATCTTTCCAGCCTTCCCCCCAGAAACCCCCTCGTCTGTCCAGACCACACTGACCCAAAGACTTTTCATTCATTTCTGCCTCTGCTTTTTTACTGAAATCTTTCTTCCCATCCAGCAGGCTCTTCCTTTTTCTTATTAAATCACCAAGCATCCTTCAATTGACATGTCCCCCCCAAAAGCCTTTCACATCTGAGCATTCTAGTTGGATGTGAGCTCTTCCTCCCAAACCTTTCCCAGACTAGTGCTTTTTTCCCACCTATACACATTGAACTCTCATCCACTGCTTGGCATTGATAATTGTCTCTTCATGTGTTTTGCTTCCAAGGCACTGTTCCATATACCTCTCGGTAAGGTATCCAGCCTGATAGGTGCATTGTCAGACAGGAAGTAAGCAGATCAATAAATATTAGATTATTTGAAATTCCCATAGATCCTGTTTTTCACCTGCTTAGCAAGCAGAACACACTGTTAATTATAGAAATAATAGTTGATTAATGGCCAAGCTGGTCAGAATGAGAGCCCACTCTTCCATTACAGGTAATCATTGCTCTTTCTGATTCATGATTGTGCTGGAGGTTTTTGTGGACACCCTGTGAACAATGCTAAATCTCAGCCAGTGACTTACCAATGAGGGCAATTAGTCCCCAAAACACCACGGAGGATAACATGGCGGGGAATCTTATCTTCCAGGACCTGCTCTGATTTGAAATAGAAACTGGTTAATTTTAAAACCTGAAAATTTCCTAAAGAAAAATTTGCTTTGATATTTTAAAAAGTTTAGAGTTATTTCCAATTCACTACTCATTTCCCTGTTTCAAGATAGTATTCTCACAGGCTCAGTACATAGTTTGTTGGCACACTCTCTTTCTTAAGCATAAACTCCTAATCTCACTTCAATCCAATTTCATATTGACATGAGTCATGCGTATCTTACATATGTAACTAAATATACACTCCCATCCCACCTCTAAGCTTGGTAACACCACAATTTTGTTCCCTTTCTTTTTAAAAAAAAAAATACTGATCTTTTCATTCTAGTTATTCACCCTACCCCTGGCTTCAAGGATCAGTTTTGGTCTTTCATTCATTTATTTAGAAATGGGATCTTGCTCTGTCACCCAGGCTGGAGTGCAGTGGCATAATCATAGCTCACTATGGCCTCAAACTCCTGGGCTCAAGCGATCCTCCCACCTCAGCCTCCTGAGTAGCTGGGGCGACATATGCGTGCCACCATGCCTGGGTGTTTCCATTCTTATACCAGGGTCTCCGTAGGGAAAACAAAATAAAACAAAATACCAACAGGAGCATGAGAACGTGACTTAGAAGAGGTTTCCTCTGCTCCATTTCTTCCTCAATCAACTCTATTCTTGGTTTCATTCAAATGGTAGCTTATAAGTTTTACAAGACATAAGAAGGCCAGCACTAACCTTGTTTGCAACCTTACAGAGAAAATCTCCCCTCTCTGTTTGCAAAGGTCTTCTGTACTCAGCAGCAAACTGCACTTCAAGCTTTTACAAAGCGACGGCCTTTGTCCTGTAACATAGGCTTAACAATTGGAGAATCCATTAGTCAGTAGATCACTGCGCACCTGGCTTCAACAGAGTAGACATCAGCGTGGCTCTACTGCTGTGGAGGAAACTTTTAAACACCAGCATGAAGACTCACCTGGCTTTTCTTACCTTCGTCCTGTACCAATGATCATTAGAGGAGCTTTATATATGGTTTAAAACCCTCTCTTTAAACCATTGACCTCATTAGGCCTGGTTATAATAGTACTTAGGACTTAGGTGACCCAATTAATAAGAGGATTTCAAAGGGCTTATTAACCACTATTAATTAATTAACCTAATGAACCCCCAAGTTGCTCAGGAGGCATATTTTGATAGATTGTTTCTAGATATCTAAAATTGTGCCAAACAGCTTCTAAATTTGCGAATAAGAAACAGATAATTCACTTTAAAAGGATAACAGGAAATACTAGCAATTTTTATTCTTGGATTGGTTATTTACCTGAAATATTGGGTCTCCTGCTTTTTGTTCCCATTCCAATGTCATATGATCCCCGTACCAGTATGTCACATGATCTCAAACCACTATGTCACATGATCATGATAGGTGAACTTGGCTCCTTACTCCAATCCCACTTCTGAGAAAAAGGTGCAAGTGTGGCCACCTGCTCTAGGAGATCAATGCAAAACCAGGGAGTAGCAACGTGAGTGCTCATTTGCCCATACTTGCTAAGGATATGGGAAAAAAGATTATAGCCAGGGATGAAAACTTCTTCAAGAAGAGAGTATCTTTCTTCAGGCTTATGTCCAAAGGAAGAGAGGAAGCATATTGTGCAGCCCCAGGAACAGGAAATGGAAGGGACGTTCTTGAAACAGGCAAAGCACATTGCGCTGAGGGGAGGAAGAAGTCTGGTCTGGGTCCTTCCACAAGCGTGTCCAGTTTCTCAGACTGCACACAGTCCTCCCCCACATCCACTGAGTGAAGAAAGGTGGAAGGCAGCTGTACAGGGAACAGGAAGACAAAACCACAGGCAACTTCCCAGCTCCCTGGCAATAAAACCACCTCCACTCCCAGGAGAACATGCCCTCCCCAAGCTGAGGTCTGCACAGTCCACTGGCATTCACTTCTGCCCTGCCTGCCTTCCTGCTTGTAGAACAGACGTCTCTGGCATGGCCTCTAGCCTTCCATCCCTGGAAGAGTGGCAGGGCTGTTCTGAGCCAATGGATGATTCCTACCTGACTCTCAGGAAAGTGACCCATGGAGGGTCTGCTCCACCACCATCAACACTGCAGTCAGGACCACTCTTGAATAAGGGATATTGCAGGAGTCTAACTGCCCTGAGGCAGGCCTTAGAAACCCATAGTCTATGACCCAGCGACATTGTGCCCGTGACCCACTTCACTGCAGGGTGAGTAGAGCCACTTACCTGAGGCTTCCAGGCTAAGTGCAATGAGAAAGCTCAAGAAAGGGAGATTAAGAAGTTACGAATGATAAGTTAGGTAAAAGAGAGTAGGTGGAGGCTGGGGCTCTCCCTACATGCACTGGAAGAAGACATTGTTAATAAAACATTTAAAGCACTGTTGAATGTGAAGAATACTTATCCTTCTGCTCTCAGTTAGTGGGGCTACGAGTCCTTCTAGGTATGAGGTCCTTAATGTCCAGGCTTCTGCAACTCAACCAAAATTGTTTTCAAACTGATGTGGATTGTTCTGTTCACTCAAGCTGTGAGAGAACAATTGAACATTTATTTGACACCCAACATTAGTCAGGTTCCTATGGATATTATATGACTCAATCCTCCACTGGCCCTGTGAGGCAGGTATTATCCCTTATTTTAGAGATGAGGAAACTGTGACTCAGAGAAGCTAAGTAACTTGTCAAAGATGGCACAGTTAGCATGTGACAGAGCCAGGATTTGAATCTAGGCCTGTAAGATTCCAAAATCCATGCTCTTCCACTGTATCGAAGTGCCAGCACGATGGACAAATGCCTCTGCAGAGCAATCATTGCAACAGGTCCAAATCAATCTGGATACAAAGCATTGTCCGTGGTCTGGAAAAATAACACCACTCACAGATTTTTATACCACTATCTGTCAAATGTTTGTAGGTGCTGTTGTAATTTCTAAAATGCAAATTAATATAAGTTAACTAAGTCCAAAGTGGTTTTTTGTCACTTTATATTTTCTCCACCAGTAATAATAATGTAGTTAATACGCACTGACCTTGTATGGTATGACTGGTAGAATAATAGGAAGGGGCATAACCTAAGTTTGTTACATTCTGAAGCCTAACTCTTAACTGCAGTACCCTACTGACCCAGTGGATGGTTAAGTGTGGGTACTATTGTATAATGACCTTAGAAATTTCTTGTCACTAAGAAGAAATGTACTGAATAATTCTCCATCTCTTCCCAGGGATACCAAGAATGACTACATGTAAGTTGTACTGTTATTTCCAGGAGGGGCTTGAAGGGAACTTGGCACCTGTCATAATCTCTATCAGTCCCCAAAATAAAAACACAATCTATATGCAAGCAATTTCTGTGCTATACAAATAAAACTCTATGGCCTGGTCCCCTACCCCTCAAATCAGTTGCCTGCTCCTAAGACTCTTCAGTGCAGCAATTCTCTGGCAGCTTCTGGGGAGTCCTAACAGATTTGGGGTTCCTGGCTTCAGTGGTGGAGACTCCAATCATCCCTAACGACTAAATGGCCTCAGCAATTGGAAAACTTCAATGGGAAAGTTTAAGCAGTACTGTCCTAGTTAGGAGGAGAGGAATGATTATGAAAACTGAGGTACTCTGTATAGCCAGGGAAGTAGATTCTGGTAGGAGTTCCTGGCAAGACTTCTCAATTCATACCACACAAAGACCTGCCCTTGTGCCCTGAGCTACCCTAGGTTAGCACTTTTGGGAGTTAAAGGAATCCAGCACCTCAGGCTCCCTTGGTCCCCTCGCCCTCTGCGTCCCCACCTGCCTCCCTCCCAACACTAGTCTGTGCTAATAGAGACTGGGTTGTCTCCGCCATGTCATTATTTGTGAATCCCAGGCACAGCTTTCCCTTCTCAGGAACAACAGCCAAGGAGGATGACCATAGCCAACTCATTTAACCTCCCTGAGCCTTAATTTTCCTCATCTGTAAAATGGAGATGATAATAATGCCCCATGACTTTGTTTTGAAGACAAAAATAAATTTTATATGTAAAAACATGTTATAAACTACAGTGCTTCATAGAGATGCCAGTTACTATCATGATGGGTTTGCACTCAAGTCCTGATGGCTTAGCTTCTTGTTGATTTATTCATTTGTTTGTTTATCCATGCACTCAGGAAAAATAAACAGCTGAATTATAGGACAGGAAGTAGGAGGTGAAGTCTCTCTCCAGCCATGAAGAAAACTTGGCAGGACAAGCAAGAGCTATTCATTGTCAGGACTCTGTAGCCTGCCTGGTAGGAGTGGAGGAAGGATAAGTTCAGAAACAGCCACACAAGCAGCTGCAGCCCAAGCATCTGTTTCACAGCTCTGAAACCTATAAAATGGGGGAGCTGCCCAAGAATATGTGGCAAAGGTACTTTGGCGCCAATGGCTGGTAAGAAGGCAGAAGGGGAGCCCTTCCATAAAATTTCACTAAAACATTCAACTTAACCCCAGGATATATCAATGTCAAGCTTTAACTGCTGTGTGCTTTTCTTGTCTTGGTTTTAATCTACTATATGATAGGTAAAATGCAGGGTATGCCCTGTTGAAGAAGCCACTTATATGGTTGCATTATTGGTCTTCCAATGTCAAACATTTGACCAACATTTCAGGAAAGAAGATATACAAATGGCCAATAAAGCTCATGAAAAATTGGTAAACATCTTTACACATCAGGGAAATGCAAAATAAAACCAAAATGAGACAGTATTTCACACTCTCTAAAAAGGCTAAAACCAAAGACTAGCTATATCACATATTGGTGAGAATATGAAACAAAACAGAACTCTCATACATTGCTGGTTGGAGTATAAAATGGTATGATTGCTTTGTAGTACTGTTCAGCAGTTTCTAACAAAGTAAATAACTATATGCCTCAGGAATTTTATTTCTAGTTATTTACCCAAGAGCAATGAAAAAAAAAAAAATGTCTCCCAAAAGACTTGTATGAGAATCTTCACAGATTGTAAGTTCTGCAAAGAGAAAAGAAAAAAAAAGAATTTTTACAGTGCTTTATTCATAATAGCTCAAAACTGGAAACACTCCAAAAAATTCATCAACAGAAGAATGGACTAACAGTTGTAGTATAACGATATAATGGAAAAATACACAAGTTAAAAAAAAAATCCAGGAAAAAATTCCAATGAACCTGGGCTGGGTCAGGTGCCCACCTCTGGATCATTCAACCATGTCTAGGAATATATTTGTTTGAAAAAGGGACTCCCTGTGGTTTGGAAAGGAGAAGGGAGAAGTCTGAAACAAAATTTTAAAGTAACGTTTTCATTTTGAAATAGTTTAAATTTCACAAGAAGCTTCAAAAATAGTACCAAGAGTTCTCATGTACCCTTCACCCAGCTTCCCCCAATGGCAATGTCTTACATAACTATAGTACATGTCAAATCCAGAACATTACCATTAGTATTATACAATACTGTAAACTTAGGTACAGACCTTATTTGGATTTCCCCAGTTTGTTTTTACACGCTCTTTTAAAAAAAATATTTATTTATATTTCAGAAGCGTATAGTACTGTGAACGTTTATCCCACAGGTAGATGCAAGTAACCATCACCATAATCAGGATACAGAACTGACCCATCACCATAAAAAGACTGCCTCATGATATCCCCTAACTATGTCTTTCATTGTGCCAAAAGTAAACTTTTTTTTTTTTTTTTTTTTGATGGAGACTCACTGTTGTCAGCCTGGGCTGGAGGGCAGTGGCATGATCTCGGATCACTGCAACTTCCACCTTCCAGGTTCCAGCAATTCTCCTGCCTCAACCTCCTGAGTAGCTGAGATTACAGGTGCCCACCACCACACCTGGCTAATTTTTGTATTTTTTAGTAGAGATGGGGTTTCACCATGTTGGCCAGGCTGGTCTCAAACTCCTGGCCTCAGGTGATCCATCTGCCTCAGCCTGCCAAAGTGCTGGGACTACAGGCATGAGCCACCGTGCCCGGCCAAGTAAGCTATTTTTTAAAAACAGCTTGATTTGAGGTATAATTCACATATCATAGCCTTCACTCATTTAAAGTGTGCAATTCAATGGTTTTTAGTATGTTGATAAGAGTTTTGCAACCATCAGCATAATCAATTTTAGAGTATTTTCATTATCCATGGAAGAATCTCCACAACCATTAGCAGTCATTCCCAGTTTCTCTCCCCTCCCTCTTCTCTCCTGTTCACCCTCTGACCCCAGGCAGTCACTTACCTAGAAGTCTGGATGATTTTGTAAAAAACTGCTCTATAGTTGTTCACTATACCTGTGATGGAGAGAAGAGCTGGAGCAGTATCTGGAGAAGGACTTGTGTCAAAGACAGTCCTTTTGTCATGGTTTAACCTGGGAGTGACTTGAATATAATCAAATGCTGTAGAAAATGAGGATACAAAAAACAATAGGATTATTTGGTCAGGTAATGATGTTGAAGACGCTAGTTCAAAAGCTTAAGCATAGAAATTGGCCTGAGGCAGGAATGGGACTGCCTCTTCCATTGTAACAGAAAGAAAAGAGAAAAAAATCAGATAGCAATGCAGTTCAGTGTATAGAGTTGATAGGAGAAAACTGAGGGAGTTATCTAATGATTTTTAAGTCCTTTGTGAAACAGGAGGTCAAATCATGTGCTGAGAGTAAAAACTACGTGGACTTAGAAAACGGAGAGCATGTGGAAAAGCTACCCGGTAGAATTGGAGAGACAGCTGAAAGAGAGCCAAAAAGATGAGTGGGGTTTACATATGGACTAGTTGAGATTGGAGTCCATAAATGTTCATTTGGAGGTATTGAAATGCTGGGGTCTGACACGGCAACCTAAGTACAGACAAGGAGAAAACAGAGGGCTGGAGTGGTCCAGGGCTGAGGTGCAGCTCTGCGGGGGCCATGCAAGGAGGATACAGGGACAAGTGAGATGGAGTTTGGCAAAGGAATGGCTTAAGTAATGGCAAGTGGATTGGAAATGAAGGGAAGAAAGTAAGGGGCTATCATGGGGCCAGTGGGAAGATTTAAGCTTAAGGTTTTGGAGGTGGAGTGTATCGGCCATCCTTTTCTCCCAGCTTACTTCTCTTACCTTACCTCTAACTCCACCCGCAGTTACAACAAACAGTAGCATACAAGCTTCAGCCTGCTTTGCTCAGGCCCTTTCCCAAGTGCTTGCTCACTCCCTCGTGCCTGCTTCCTGCAGTCTTGATTTCTAGGAGAACTGGAATCCCCTGTGGACCTCTCCAACTCATTCTCCTTAGTAACCTGACCAAAATCAAGGGCAGAAGGATGAGGGGGTGGATGGTGAGAGGAATAAATCAGGCATGCAGGGGCTTGGGCTATCGCATATCCCCACAGACAGTGGAGGAGCAGGCAGGTGTGGGTGATTCTGGGCTGTGTGTGCAAAGATTCTGGTGACCTTTTATCAGGCCAGAGGCCCTCACAGTGCAAAGAGAGGAAGCAGGGGTTAGGAGCCTCAGCTGGAGGCTTCTTAATAATAAGTTTTCTTGTTTAACAACAGAAGGATGTTCATACTGTTAAGCTCTTTACTTTACTTAAGCAGGTTATTAAATGGTATTAATGAATGTTTCCAATTTTGTTTTAAGTGTGTGTATATGCAGGCATGGAAATTAAGCTGAATTGCATCTTCAACTATACCAGATGTTACAAAATTCTTCTTCAAAGCAGCTGTACCACATTTACCCCTCTAAAGCAGGATGTAAGTGTTTCCATGCTCCATATCTCCACCGAGGTTTGCTATAATTAGACTTAAATTGGGTGAGAAAAGTCAGTTTCCTGACTGAGGTTGGGCATCTTTTCATATATGCTCATTGGCAGTGTCAGTTTTACCTGCTCTGAACTGCCCGTTTGTATTCTTTGATCACTTTTCACTGGGTTGTTTGCCTTTTTCACATTTTATTTATTTGGCTTTAAAAATTTTTTATATCACAAGATATCATCAACTTTTTCTCATTTTTTAAAATAGAAGTCCTCATATACTATAGTCTGGGTCCTAGTCTTTTTTTTTTTTTTTTTTTGAGATGGAGTCTTGCTCTGTTGCCCAGGCTGGAGTGCAGTGGCACGATCTCGGCTCACTGCAAGCTCCGCCTCCCAGGTTCACGCCATTCTCCTGCCTCAGCCTCCCAAGTAGCTGGGACTACAGGCGCCTGCCACCACACCCAGCTAATATTTTGTATTTTTAGTAGAGATGGGGTTTCACTGTGTTAGCCAGGATGGTCTTGATCTCCTGACCTCATGATCTGTCCACCTTGGCATCCCAAAAGTACTGGGACTACAAGCGTGAGCCACCATGCCCAGCCCTAGTCCTTTGATAATCATATGCCAAAAAAAAAAAAAAAAAAAAGGAAGAAGAAGAAAAAAAAAAAAGAAAGAAATTTTACAAAAAATTACATAATTAAAAGGGATATAATCAGTACCTTGCAGTAATTTTCAAGTGTTCTACAAGGAACTTGTATTAATTTTCAGAAAGACATGCTATATTAAAACTCTTTAGCCATGTCTGATCCCACAGATGATTGCTGTGGAGGGCTACCCCTTAGATGGCCTTCGACCCCAGGTTTTATGAGAACTGCAAGGGCGTCTTCTAGAGTTCTGGCCCTGTGGTGACTGGGATGGTGAGTGTCTTAGTCTGCTATTTTTGCTGCTATAACAGCATACCACAGACTGGGTAATTTATGATAAACAAAAATGTATTGGGCCCATGGTTCTGGAGGCCAGGAAATCCAAGAGCATGGTGCTGGCATCTGACAAGGGTCATCCATGGTGGAATGGCAGAAGGTGGAGGTGAACACACAAGATGGAGAGCAAATGGGGCTGAGCTGATCCTGCAGAAATAAAGCCCCCCTGAGAGAACAGCATTATTCCATTCATGAGGGCGAAGCCTCATGACCTCATTATCTTTTTTTTTTTTTTTTTTTTTGAGACAGGGTCTCCCTCTGTTGTCCACGCTGGAGCGCAGTGGTGCAATTACAGCTCATTGCAGCCTCAACCTCTCTAGGCTCAGGTGAACCTCTTACCTCGACTCTCGAATAGCTGGGACTACAGGTGTGTGCCACCACTCCCCACTAATTTGTATGTGTTTTTTTTTTAGAGACAGGATCTTACCATGTTGCCCAGGCTGATCTCAAACTCCTGTGCTCAAGTGATCCTCTTGCCTCAGCCTCCCAAAGTCCTGGGATTACAGGCGTGAGCCACTGCACCCTGGCACCTATCATCTATTAAAGTTTCCATCTTCCAATACCAGTACATATGATAATTAAATTTCAACATGAGTTTTGATGAGGACGTTTGAACCAATTTTTCACACTTCTCAGGGTTAAATTCAGGGGTGAAGGGATATGCAATGAATTTCAGTTCCAGATGTGTACAGCAATAGAGAGGCATAGGAAATTGTTGGCCTCCCTGAGGCCTCACCCAGGACAAGCAATGGAGAGAGGATGGCTCAGGAATCACCATTGTCAGCAGTTACTCCCAAGATTTGACCCAGGCTCAGTGGGTTTTCCTGAGGCTGGAACAGGAGTGAGAATGTCTCAGCCATGTTCCCCAGCTCCTCCTGGCTCCTGACAATCCTGGGGCCAGAGAATTGACTATTCAAGACAAATGGGTTAATGGCCCAGCGGGTCATGACACACAGGTAACAACAGAGAGCAACCTGTACTGCATTTCCTTGAAAAGAGTCAATTAAAGAAGGTGCTGACCCTGGCAGAGTGAGTGGCTCAGCCAAAACATCATTCTACAGCTCATTTTGTTCTATCTTATTCATCTCAGTCTGATTTAACTAATTTTGCCAGATTCTAGTACTCATCTAAATTTTTCTTAAGGGGTTATAACTGTGACAGAAAAAATAAGTAAAAATATATAAGAAGAAAATGGGAGCTACAGGTTTTATCTTTGCCTCCTCTCTCTTCTCTGTGTAGACATAAGCACAAACACACTAATAATATTTTCACTGCCAAAGTATCTCTGTATTAATTACTCACCTTGAAAATTACCAACTGTCTGTAGAACTGGGCTGAGCCAGGATTGTAAAATAGGCAACATCTATTTAATATCTCATATTGTTGCAGTACTTTGGAATTTTGAGTGGGCTTTCAAATAAGTTAAAATAATAGAAATAACCTTCCAGGAAAGATCAAGCAGATTTTATGTCCCCCATTAGACATATAAGAAAAGAGACTGACTTGCCCAAGACGTCCTATCTAATAAATGATGGAGCTGAGACTGGAACCAAAACATTCAGATTCCGAGTCCAGGGCATTTCTTTCCATCATTTATTGGGTCAGATGATGATTTCTAAAGCATTTTACACCCTGAAACTTCAGGATTCCATGATTTATTTTGTCATTTCCAACAGTCAGGCATTCATGCTCTCACTTGCCATCTGGCTGCACAAAGACTGCCCTTCACTGCCACCTACGCCCACCCTGATTTTAACACTGCCCAGCACCTATGCACTTCCCCCAAAGCACCCATCCCCAGTCCCAGTGGAAAATATACTTATTCGGTGTTTTATGTTCAGAGACCTTCTCCACCTGTGCTGTCCAATAGAAACAAAATGTGAGCCGCACATTTAATTTAAACTTTTTTGTCAGCCACATTGAAAGAAGTGAGATTAATTTTAATGCTACATTTTGTTTAGCCCAATATACTCAAAATATTATTTCAAAATCAATATAAAAGTTGGGATATTTTATAATCTTTTTTGTACTAAATGTGTGTATTTTAGGCTTACAGCACATTGCAGTTCTAACTAGCTACATTTCAAGTACTCAATAGCCACTAGTGGCCACCATATTTGACTGAAGAGTTTTTTTTTCTATTTTTATTTATTTTTAATCTTTTACCACATCTTTTTAAATTTATTTTTTATTTCAATAGTTTTTAGGGAACAGGTGGTATTTGGTTACATGGATAAGCTCTTTAGTGGTGATTTCTAAGATTTTGCCATACCCATCACCTGAGCAGTGTATATTGTACCCAATGTGTAGTCTTTTATTCCTCACCCCCGTCTCACCCTTCTCCCCAAGTCCCCAGAGTCTATTGTATGATTCTTAAGGCGTTGCATCCTCATAGCTTAACTCCCGCTTGTAAGTGAGAACCTACAAGGTTTGGTTTTCCACTCCTGAGTTACTTCACTTAGAATAATGGTCTCCGATGCCATCCAGGTTGCTGCAAATGCCATTATTTTGTTCCCTTTTATGGCTGAGTAGTATTCCATGGTGTGCATGTGTGTATGTATATATATATATAAATCTATCTATATATATATATGTATATATATACATCACATTTGCTTTATCCACTCATTGGTTGATGAGCATTTAGGCTGGTTCCATATTTTTGCAATTGCAGATTGTGCTGCTATAAACATGGATGTACAAGTGTCTTTTTCATATAAAGACTTCTTTCCCTCTGGGTAGATACCCAGTAGTGGGATTGCTGGATCAAATGGTAGTTCTACTTTTAGTTCTTTAAGGAGTCTCCATACTGTTTTCCATAGTGGTTGTATTAGTTTACATTCCCACCAGCAGTGTAAAAGTGTTCCCTTTTCACCATATCCCTGCCAACATCTATAATTTTTAAAATTTTTTTAATTATGGCCATTCTTGCAGGAGTAAGGTGGTATCACATTGTGGTTTTGATTTGCATTCCCCTGATCATTAGTGATGTTGAGCATTTTTTCATATGTTTGTTGGCCATTTGTATATCTTCTTATGAGAATTGTCTATTCATGTCCTTAACCCACTTTTTGATGGGATTACTTCTTTTTTCCTTGCTGATTTGTTTGAGTTCCTTGTAGATCCTAGATATTAGTCCTTTGTTGGATGCATAGTTTGTGGAGATTTTCTCCCACTCTGTGGGTTGTCTGCTCTGCTATTTCTTTTGCTGTGCAGAAGCTTTTTAGTTTCATTAAGTCTCATCTATTTATCTTTGTTTTTGTTGCATTTACTTTTGGGTTCCTGGTCATGAACTCTTTGCCTAAGCCAATGCCTGGAAGAGTTTTTCCGATGTTGTCTTGTTTTGGTCCTCTTTAGAAGGTGGTTTCATAATCAGCTATAAAACTCCAACAGGTGCTCTTAAATGCAGGTTTCTGATAACTGTGGAGATTGTGACATCAGAATAGAAGAAAACTTTTAGGACTCACGGAGTACTGAAATGTTCATGAATATCAAGCAGAACAGGAATTAACTGCATGGACTAAACTAATAGAAGTCTGAAATAATCTTTTTAAATTTTGCTTAAAATGTTGCTGATCCTTTGTTTTGTTTTTCAGAGTCAATAACACTTTTAAGTTATTTACAGCTTTTAACAGTTGAGTAAAGTATACTCCTATGAAAAAAATTTGGAGCATATTCATTTCTAACTGATTTCTCCAGAAGTTGGAAATTATTTGTGGGTATTTTTAACTTATGACAATATGTTATTTGCATAAGTGCAATAATAATCTGTTTTCTGTAACAGGACACAGTTGGAGAAACTGGTATTTTACCAAGGCTTTGACAGGGATGGCATGCTTTCCTTTAAGGAATCAAACTTGACTTATGGAGTCACTAAAAGCCCCTTGGAAAAACTGACCTCATACCTTTGTCTACACCGTCCCTGTATAGGGTTCCTGACCTGTGGCAAGTAAAGAATGTCACCTTCTGACAGGCCCAGGAGCCCCAGGTTTATCTTGGGACCTCAAGAGAAGAGGAATTTACTCAACTCACAGGCATTTGATGGTACAAATCCATGGCTGGACTTGGCTTTTAAAAAGTCTTATCTGAGATTCCTTCTATGGAACAAAGTTCCATCAAAGCCAATTTATAAGCCTATGTAAATATTTTTGCTGCACTGTATACAAATAATTAGGCCAAGTATAAGAAAGCAAACCAATCTTACCATGATTTGTCTTTAGTAAAAATGGGAAACTGGAGAGAAAAATTATGTTTCAAAAACTATAGTACACCTGTTGTTAGATTCTAGTCTTCCCTAATGTTTTTCAATTTTTATTATTTTCTACAGTTTGGATTGAATTCTAATTTTTCTTGGCTACAAGTCTTCATCTTCAAAATAATGTTTTCATTTTTTTCTCTTCTTTTTTTCCCCATTTTTCCTAATTTGGAGTCACTGAAAACTAAACTGTGCTTTCCTGTGAACTGAAGCCAGACAACTTAAACTTCAGAGGAAAATAACAGCAACCTATGTACATACATGATGTACATATGTACATCCTATGTACAACCTATGTGCATACAACCACTTTCATAACTGCCTACTGATGTATGGACTTCAGAGTTATGTGGCCTATATCGATTTGCCAGGATTGTTCTTTTGCCTGTTATTGTTTTTCTCGCTTCCTCCCCTTATTTTCTCTTCAAAGGACATGAGACTTCACAACCTTGTAAAAATGAGCTTTCCTAATAACTCAGGACCTACCCATCTAGGAATAAACCATCCCAACCAGGAGAGATCAGATGAAACCTGAGACCACAGACTCATTTTCTTCTAAAATGCTTTCTCCAAAAGATTTTTAATAAGAAAAGCAGGGAAATATGAAAGGAAAATTTCTTGGGCCCCCAAAATCACTAAGCTAAAGAGAAAAGTCAAGCTGGGAACTGCTTAGGGCAAACCTGCCTCCCATTCTATTCAAAGTTACCCCTCTGCTCACTGAGATAAATGCATATCTGATTGCCTCCTTTGGAGAAGCTAATCAGAAACTCAAAAGAATGCAACCATTTCTCTCTTATCTACATATGACCTGGAAGCCCCCTCCCCATTTTGAGTTGTCCCACCTTTGCTTCGAGTTCTCCCGCCTTTCCAGACCAAACCAATGTTCATCTTACATATGTTGATTGATGTCTCATGTCTCCTTAAAATGTATAAAACCAAACTGTGCTCTGACCACCCTGGGCACATGTCATCAGGACCTCCTGAGGCTGTATGACGGGCACATGTCCTCAACCTTGGCCAAATAAACTTTCTAAATTAACTGAAACCTGTCTCAGATTTTCAGGGTTCACATAATCAACCTTCTGAATTCTTTATCTGGCAATTCAGAGATTTCTTTTTGGTTTCGATCCATTGCTGGAGAGCTAATGTGATCTTTTGGGGTTGCTATAGAAACTTGTTTTGTCATATTACCAGAATTACTTTTCTGGCTCCTTCTCATTTGGGTAGACTATTTCAGTGGAAAGATCTAGAACTCAAGGGCTGCTGTTCAGATTATTTTGTCCCATGGGGTGATCCCTTGATGTGGTGTTCTCCCCTTCCCCTAAGGATGGGCTTCCTGAGAGCTGAACTGCAGTGATTGTTATTTCCCTTCTGGGACTAGCCATCCATCCGGGCTACCAGGCTCTGGGATGGTGGTAGGGAATGTCTGCAAAGAGCCTGGGATATGATCTGTCTTCAGGTCTCCCAGCCAAGGATACCAGCACCTGCTTGGACCAGAGAGTTTTAAATAGTGACTGTAATGTGAGCTTTTGATGTCCTAAGGAAAAGATGTGGCCTAACATAGTTTTTTTTTTTTTCCTGTCT
The DNA here is from genome assembly GCF_000001405.40 of Homo sapiens. Lineage (NCBI taxonomy): Eukaryota > Metazoa > Chordata > Mammalia > Primates > Hominidae > Homo > Homo sapiens. The sequence continues at coordinate 99,268,810 of NC_000002.12, forward strand.
ATGGAGGGAATATTTTGGACTATGTGAAACTGTGCTATACCAGGTCATATCAGCTCCAAGCTCCCTTGAAGCATTTGTCTTAAGTCTCAGTTCAAACCTGGCTCTGCCCGTAACTGGTTGTTTGACCCTGAGCAACTGACTTAACACCTCTGGGCCTCTATTTCCTCACCTACCAAACCAGAATACTATGACATATTTTCAGTACTTTTGTGTGAGTTAAATTTAATATTCTGTATAGGGACCTATCACTGTGCCTGTCCTATATATCCACACTTCAACAACAGCAACTCTTGATTGCCCTCTCCTCCCTCTATGCTGTTCAGTCATGCTCCACCTTCTATGACTAGATCAGCCTGGTATGTAGCCACCACTTGAGGAGGAGAAAAGGAATTGACCTCCTCAGTCACCCCTGGACATCCATGCACCAGTATACCTGTGACCACCTGTGCTGGGTTGAATAGAGTCATCCTGAAATTCATATCCACCAGAAAACTGAATGAATGTGGCCTTATTTGGAAACAGGGTCTTTGCAGATGTAATCAAGATGAGGTCCAACCAGATTAGGGTGGGGCCTACATCCAACGATTAGCATCCTTAAAGGGAGGCCAAGTGAAGACACAGGGGAATACATAACGAAGGCTGTGTGGTGTTGGAGGCAGAGATTGGAGAGATGTGTTTACCACCCAAGGAGTGCCAAGGATTGCTGGCAACACCAGAAGGTAGGAAGAGCTGAGGGGTGATTCTTCCCTAGAGCTTTCAGGAGTATGGCCTTTCTGGCACCTTGATTTTTAATTTCTAACCTCCAAAACTGAAAGATAATACATTTCCATTGTTTTAACCCATCCAGTTTTCAGCAATGTGTGATGACAGTCCTAGGAAATGAATACAGCATCATACTTTTTTCTAGGTGGCTTTGCCAATAGATTGTCAATTCATGTTCTGTCATATTCAGTTTTATGTCCCCTGTTCTTAGCATAGCACTTGGCCTACCCGGGTGCTCTTAAATGACTGTGGGCTGAAAATGAAGCGAGAAAACACATGGGGAAAACCAAGTTGGATAAACATGGAAGGGTGTCAGTTTAACCCTGATACAGCTCGAAGAATGGCTTACATGGGCCAGGGGAAGGGGCAAGTTTGGAACATTCTGTGGGTGATTGTGCCAGAAAGTGATCCAAGAATCTCTGATTGGAGAGTTTGAATGTAAGACACAGAGAAGGACATGTGCAGTAAAGGAGCCCAAAGCAGAAAGACCTCTGAGAGGGGACAGTAAGCAGAAGCCTTAAGGCAGGAGAAGCCATGAGTGCACACCCACAGGAGACCAGAGAGTACTCAGAAAGTCACTTGGCTGTTAGAAGTGGTCATTATCAATACAGAATGGAGACTTCCCGAGTCTCAGGAAAGGCCACCAAGAGCTGCCCCTAGGCCACTAGGAGGTCTCCTGGAGAACATTCTAGGTCCTCATGCCACCTACTCACCCTCTGCTGAGGTGGCTTCCAATGCTTTCTCACTCACTTCCCTTATGAATCTTTACAGCTAATCACCATCCTCTGAGGTAACCTGAGTATTTTTCTCAACTGCAGGCCTAAATGTAGTTTGATTTAATTTGACTGCTTCTAGATAGTTTTATTTTTACTTTATAGAAAAGGAAACTGCGATTCGTATTAGCCCATTGGTGCGTTTAAGCGCTCTCTCTCTTTCTCTCTCTCTCTCTCTCTCTCTCTCTCTTTCTCTTCCTTTGTCTCTCACTATTTTTCCCTCTTAGGTTAGTTAGAGAGTGGGCATGTGACACAGAGAAGACAGCAGCAGGAAAGGTACATTTTGATGGGACAAGGAAGGTGTTGTGTGAGAAATCACTGGGTGCTCACGGGTTCTGCCGAGACCTGCTTGGTCGTGGAGACCCTAACCCAGTGGCGCTAGACAAACTAAAGACACACACACAGAAATATAGTGTGTGGAGTGGGAAACCAGGGGGCTGACAGCCTTCAGAGCTGAGAGCCACGAACAGAGTTTTACCCATATGCTTATTGAGAACAAGCCAGTAATAAGCATTATTTCTATAGATTATAGGTTAACTAAAACGGGAAACAAAGGGATGGGCTCTGGCTAGTTATCTGCAGCAGGAACATGTCCTTAAGGCACAGATCGCTCATGCTATTGTTTGTGGTTCAGGAATGTGTTAAGCGGTTTTCCACCCTGGGTGGGCCAGGTGTTCCTTTCCCTCATTCCGGTAAACCAACAACCTTCAGCGTGGGCGTCATAGCCATCACGAGCATCTCACAGAGCTGCAGAGATTTTGTTTATGGCCAGTTTTGGGGCCTGTTTATGGCCAGATTTGGGGGCCTGTTCCCCACCTGTCCCCCTTTTTGTTTTTGCAAGACGATAAAAGCAAAGGTGGCTTTGTCACGGTGAGCTACTTCTCACAGGAGCTGGGATCTGCATCTGCAGACTATACAAAGACAAGCAACACAGACTAATAACACAATCATCATTGAAATCACAGAGCATCCAAGTGTTTTTATCCATTTTAATGGGTTGATAGCTGCTAATCCATCTGCAGCTCCTTCAAGCACTCCAGTTCCTGGCATTAAGGTCAGGTGTGCCTGGGATACTTTAAATATTTGTTCTTTTAATTTTGGAATATCTGACGACAAGTTTGTAGAGTGTCCTTCTAGATGCTTTTTTATTCTTTCCCAAATTTTGATCTTATTAAGAGCCATTAATAGTTTCCACAAATCCTGATGTTTAGCTCCTAGAATGGGCCATATCATTTGAGTTTGAGGTGCCACTGTACCACCATGTTTCCAGATAATAGGAACTCTTGCCATACTTCTTACCATTTCTACCATCTGACCATTTTGTTCAGACCAGCTGAACATAGTATGGCCATGGCATGCAGACTGAGAGGTGCAATTCAAACTAAACATCCTCTTAGGGAACCAATCAGTAATGATTCCATGGGAATCGTTGTGCAGCCTCCCTGCCTGTTCTGCAATGCAATCTTTCCAAACAAGTACGTTCATTTCTTCTGACCAGGTCCAATCCTGTTTACAAATAGGTTTTTGAGGGTGGTATTCCTCAAGTATAGAAGCAGATTTGTTATGGCAAATACTGAGACCAGAAAGCATGTGTAAGTGTGTCATAGAGTGATTACATCCGGTCATTATTGCCAGTCAAGATTTGATAGCGAGGGGGTAGGCAACTAGTGGCCTTTCCCAAACAGATAGGTGGATGTTCAAATCCTAAAGAAATATTCATAACAGTTCCTTCCTCATGTGGGTGAGATGGGCCTCTATCATCTGTAGGACCGAGCATCCAAGAGTTATCATTAGTGTATACCTCCATTGGGGGGTCCAGCCAAGTTACAGGCTGTAGAAGTGGTGGAAAAGGTAAATATGCCCAATAAGTATAATCGTTCTCTGTGTCAGCCCTTGCTAAAGGAATACTCATGGCAATGGTGATCACCGCTACCATGGCTATCATTAAATTACTCATTGTGACTGGTTGTCCTGCTTTCCTCAGGTTTTCTTCTGCCATCTGTGACAGCTTCTTGATCTGTCCCCAGGTAGGTGGCTGTGTTCAACGGGTGTTGGTCGTGACAGTTGGGGTCCTCCTTAGCATCAACTTGGACAATGCTGCCACTGATAGGTCTTTGGGATCCCCCCAAAACCTCTTCCTGTGTATCTGGCTCATAGTGATGCTTTAGAGGTCTCGATGGTACCCAAATAGGCTGTTGATTCAGTCCTGGAGAAACACAAGCATAACCTCTACCCCAAGTTATTATTTGACCTATTTCCCAACTTTTTGTTATCGGATCTCTCCACTAAACCAGTTGTTCTGCTTGTCTTTGCAGCTGGTTTCTGTAAATGCTGTTCAGCCACTGTTGTAACTGCTGAACAGATGCTGTTCAGATGCTGTTCATCTGGTCTTTAGGCACACTCAAAAAATTTAAACTCAATAATGCTAGATTCAATTGCATGTGTGGTGTCCTGTAGTCTCTGTTTCCACCCTTTTGCTTTTGCAACTGCTGTTTCAGGGAGAGATTGATTCTTTCCACTATGGCTTGTCCTTGAGAATTATATGGGATACCAATAATGTGGTTAATATTCCATATAGAGAAAAATGTAGCTAGAGTTTGGCTAGTATAGCCTGGGGCATTGTCTGTTTTAATAGAAGCTGGAATGCCCAACAGTGCAAAACACTGCAAAAGGTGATGTTTAACACAGGCAGAAGACTCTCCTGATTGGCATGTATCCCAGACAAAGTGAGAAAAGGTGTCCACACATACATGTACATAAGCTAGTCTCCCAAACAAGGGAACATGGGTAACATCCATTTGCCAAAGAGAATTAGGTTCCAATCCTCAAGGATTAACTCCTCCTGTAAAAGATGAGAAATGCACCATTTGGCAAGTTGGGCATCACTGGATAATAGCTTTAGCTTCTTTCCAGGTAATGCTGTATCTGCGTTTGAGACCAGAGGCATTAACATGGGTTAAATTGTGAAAGTGTCTGGCATTAGATATTGCAGTAGCAACTAGGTGATCAGCCATTTGATTACCTGCAGTCAAAGGTCTTGGAAGAGGTGTATGAGCCCTAATGTGAGTGATGTAAAAAGGGTGCATTCTACTCCTGACTGCTGTTTGCAATTGGGTAAATAAAGTCATCAGTTGTTCATCTGTATGAAATCGTAACTGAGCATTTTCAGTTAATTGTGTGGAATGAACCACATATGAAGAATCAGAAATCATATTAATAGGCATATGAAAAGCAATCAATACCTCAGTTAGAGCTACAAGCTCTGCCTTTTGAGCTGAAGTATAGGATGTCTGTAAAACTTTACCTTTAGAGCCAGAATAAGAAGTTTTACCATTACTAGACCCATCTGTGAAGATATTTTCAGCACCTTCAATTGGTTTAAATTTAGTTATTTTAGGGAGAATCCAATTGGTTAATTTCAAAAACGGAAACAGTTTTGTTTCAGGAAAATGATTATCAAGAATACCCACAAAGTCAGCTAAATGGGTTTGCCAAGTAAGACTATTTATAAAAGCTTGCTGTATTTGCACCTTCGTGAGAGGGACAATAATTTTTCCAGGATCATATCCATGTAATTTAACAATCCGAGTTCTCCCATTTCTTTTCATAGTAGCAATTTGATCCAAATAAGGAGTTAGAGTCTGTGAATTAGTATATGGAAGAGAAAGCCACTGTAGAAGATCTTCCTCTTGAACAATAACTCCAGTAGGTGAATGCTGAGTTGAAAAAATTAGCAAATCTGGAGTCTTTTCTTGATCTATTCTATTTATTTGAGCCTTATGCACTCGCTTCTCAATTAGCTGTAACTCTCCCTCAGCCTCCTTTGTTAATTGCCAAGGGCTAGTGAGACTAGAATCTCCTCTAAGGTTAGAAAATAGATTATTCATGGCCTAGGTAGGAATGCCTAGAGCAGGTCACATCAAGTTAATGTCTCCTAGTAATTTTTGAAAGTCATTTAATGTTTTCAATTGATCTCTACATATGTTTACTTTCTGTGACACTATTGTAGTGTCATTTACTAAGGTCTCTAAGTAGGAGTAAGGAGTAGTAGTCTGAATTTTATCAGGAGCTATAGTTAAACCAGCGTGAGAAATCGAATTTTGCAAGTGATCATAACATTGGAGTAATATTTCTCAAGTGGGGGCAACACAAAGTATATCATCCATATAATTAATAATGCAATACTATTAAAATTTTTTACAAGTAGGTTCAATTTCTTACCCTACATAAGTCTGGCAAATTTTTGGACTGTTTAACATTCTTTGTGGCAACACTTTCCAATGAAAACACTTAGCAGGCTGCAGGTTGTTTACTGCAGGAATTGTAAATGCAAACCGTTCACAGTCTTGCTCATCTAAGGGGATAGTAAAGAAATAGTCTTTTAAATCTATGACTATTGAAGGCCAATTTTTCGGAATCATAGCAGGAGAAGGCAATCCTGGCTGTAATGCCCCCATAGGTTGTATAACTGAATTAATGGCTCTAAGATCTGTCAACATTCTCCATTTACCTGATTTTTTCTTAATAATAAAGACCAGAGAATTCCAGGGGAAAAATGTTGGAGCTATGTGTCCTTTTTCTAATTGTTCAGTAACTAAGTCCTCTAAAGCCTCCAGTTTCTCTTTACTTAGTGGCCACTGTTCTATCTAAATTGGCTTATCTGTTAACCATTTTAAAGGTATAGGTTCTGGAAGCTGAACAATGGCCGCCATCAAAAATGATATCCTAAACCTTGGCAGAAACTTTGTCTTTCCACTTGAAGCAGTTCTTTCAAACCTTGCAAATTTTTTCCTAGTCCCATACCAGGGACATACCCCATTTCATGCATCATATATTGACTTTGAGGGCTATGTAATTGCTTTGGAATTAGAACTTGTGATCCCCATTATTGTAATAAATCTCTTCCCCATAAATTTATAGGTACAGAAGTTACAATTGGTTGAATAGTCCCAGGTTGTCCATCAGGCCCTTCACAATGCAAAATATAACTACTTTGATATACTTCAGGGGCATTACCAACTCCAACTATGATAATTGAGCAGGTTGAATTGGCCACGCGGACGGCCAGTGCTGTAGAGAAATAATTGAAATGTCCGCTCCTGTATCTACCAAACCTTTAAATTTCTTTCCCTGAATAGTTATTTCACAGGTGGGATGTCTATCAGTAATTTGATTCACCCAATAAGCTGCTTTGCCTTGTTTACTTGTGCTTCCAAATCCTCCTGTTTGTTTAGTTTCACTTTTTCTCCATTTCCACATATGGCACAATCAGGAGCTGTGCTGTACACTCTCCTGGCTCTGCTTTCCAGGGAACAGAAGTAGATACAACAATTTGAACTTCCCCATTGTAATCTGAATCAATGACTCTTGTATGTACTTGCACTTCTTTTAAATTTAAACTAGATCTACCTACAAGTAATCCTACCGTCCCCACTGGCAAGGGTCCACAGACTCCTGTTGGCACTTTTTGTGGGGATCTCCAGGCAGAAGGCTCACAGCTTCTGTGCAGCATAAATCTACTGTGGCACTACTGGCTGTGGCAGGGGACAGGCATTGTTCAGGAGTGAAGGAATGGCCTGAGCCAGAAATGCCCCGGTTTGGAACAGGGCTCAGGACGGGCCCCTCATGGCGTTTCCTGAAATTGGGTTTCCATCGTTATCAAATTTAGAATGACACTGATTGGCCCAGTGTTTTCCTTTTTTGCATTTTGGACATATTCCAGGCTCGGCAGTTTTCTTTTTTCCCTCAACTGGCTGCATGACTTGCTGATTTTTTCTACGTTCTTTTTTAGTATGACCATGCTTCCCACAGTTAAAACAAGCTCCAGGAGATGGAGTATTTCCTTTACCCATTTTCAGTCCTGCCATGGCTTGTGCCAACAAAGTAGCTTTATGCAGATTACCTCCGATACCATCACAGGCCTTGATATAATCAACTAAATACACTTTCCCTCTAATAGGTCACACAGCAGCCTGGCACTCAGGATTGGCATTGTCGAAAGCTAGTAACTGCAACACTATATCCTAAGCAGCCGAATCTGCAATCATCTTTTTAAGAGACTCCTGTAACCAAGCTATAAAATCTGCATACAGAAACAACAGGTGCTGGAGAGGATGTGGAGAAATAGGAATGCTTTTACAGTGTTGGTGGGAGTGTAAACTAGTTCAACCATTGTGGAAGACAGTGTGGCGATTCCTCAAGGATCTAGAACTAGAAATACCATTTGACCCAGCGATCCCATTACTGGGTATGTACCCAAAGGATTATAAATCATGCTACTTTAAAGACACATGCACACATATGTTTATTGCGGCATTATTCACAATAGCAAAGACTTGGAACCAACCCAAATGTCCATCAATGATAGACTGGATTAAGAAAATGTGGCACGTATACACCATGGAATACTATGCAGCCATAAAAAAAGATGAGTTCATGTCCTTTGTAGTGATATGGATGAAGCTGGAAACCATCATTCTGAGCAAACTGTCACAAGGACAGAAAGCCAAACACCGCATGTTCTCACTCATAGGTGGGAACTGACAATGAGAACACTTGGACACAGGGTGGGAAACATCACACACCGGGGCCTGTCATGGGATGTGGGGATGGGGGAGGGATTGCATTAGGAGAAATATCTAATGTAAATGACGAGTTAATGGGTGCAGCAAACCAACATGGCACATGTATACATATGTAACAAACCTGCATGTTGTACACATGTACCCTAGAACTTAAAGTATAATTTTAAAAAAATCTGCATACAGTTCTTTTGGTTCCTGTTTTACAGCACTAAAGGAAGGGTATTGTTCTCCTCCTGAAGTGATTTTTTCCCAAGCTCTGATGCACACTCCTCTAAGCTATTCTATGGCATCATCCTGCATGACCACTTGTGCATCTAAACCAGCCCAGCCGCTGACCCCCAAAAGATGGTCTGCAGTTATATTAATTTGAGGTTGGGCCTGGGTGTTGCAAGCAGCCTGAATGGAAGCTTCATCTGCCCACCAAGTTTTAAATTGTAAGAACTGAGCAGGAGTTAGATAAGCTTGAGTAAGAGCATCCCAGTCAGTAGGAATCATCCAACTGGAGACAGCAACATTCTTTAACAGTCCCATTACAAAAGGAGAACTTGGTCCATACTGATTTATAGCTTGTTTAAATTCTTTGAGTAATTTAAAAGGAAAAGGCTCAAATGTAGCTATAATATTTCCCTGTTGATCTGGGGGGGGTGTATTCTAACAGGGAACTGCCAAGCCTCTATATTACCCTCTCATCTAGCTTGCTGAATTCCTGCCTAAATACAACTGAGAGTGGTAGCTCAAGATGCTGCTCGAACAGTCACTGGGGCAACTACTTTTTGCCCAGTGTCCTCTGGAAAAGAAAGATCTGGAGGGTCAGGCCAATCTTTTTCTTCAAAATAATGAAGGGGTGCAGAAAGGTAGGGACAAACCTCTCCCTTCTTTGCCGCTTTAGCTTTAGCTGGCAAACAAACCTGCTCTGTTACCTCTTCTGTTACTTCATTATACTCTCCTTCCTCCTCATCATCAGTGTGAAAAGGTTCCAAGGTGGAACCAACCAGAGCCCACACTTGTCCCATTGTTACCTTGATGCTTCTGAGCTCCCCTTCTTACTCACCATGGGGATTGTTTAAGAGTACTTGGGTGTCCTCCAGCATAGTTCCATGTTCTCCAACCATCGCTCTGGTGACCCTTCGACCCGGGTTCGAGCCACACATATGGGTGCCACTTGCTGAGACCAGCTCGGTTGTGGAGACCCAAACCCAGCGGTGCTAGAGGAATTAAAGACACATACACACAGAAATATAAAGTGTAGAGTGGGAAATCAGGGGGCTAACAGACTTCAGAGCTGAGAGCCACGAACAGAGTTTTACCCACATATTTATTGACAGCAAGCCAGTGATAAGCAGTGTTTCTATAGATTATAGATTAACTAAAACGGGAAACAAAGGGATGGGCTTGGCTAGTTATCTGCAGCAGGAACATGTCCTTAAGGCACAGATCACTCATTCTATTGTTTGTGGTTCAGGAATGCCTTAAGCAGTTTTCTGCCCTGGGTCGGCCAGCTGTTCCTTGCCCTCATTCTGGTAAACCAACAACCTTCAGCATGGGCATCATAGCCATCATGAGCATGTCACAGTGCTGCAGAGATTTTGTTTATGGCCAGTTTTGGGGCCTGTTTATGGCCAGATTTGGGGGCCCGTTCCCAACAGGTTCTTGGTTGGAGACATCAGGGCAACACGTCACCAACAGGAAAAAAACACTGAGGGGAGCTTCCCATTGGTGCTTAGGAATGAACAAAAAATTATCAACTGTAAACTGTTTCCCTCAGAGAAAACAGTGTCACAAAAATCTTTTTTAAATGCTTGGGTGTTTTCTGTATTGTGTTTTCACTTAGCTTAGAAAGGACAATGCCTGCCAGGCTGTAATCAATGTTGTTACATCAGGCTCTAAGGACAGTTATGAACAGTCTTCTCTCCTGAGATGTTTCAAATAACACATCCTGATGCAACTTTATCAAATAAGGCAGCTGCAGACTCTCCAAGGCCACATAATACTGTGTTTTCCTAAGGATTAGGTTGCATAATTCCAGAGATATCTGTGGTTTGAAGCAAATGAATTATCAACAGAAGAGTCATATGTCAATGAGCGGAATGGAAAAACAAGGTAGAGGCAGTCTTTCATCTGAGGAGAAATGCAGGGTCTCCCTTCAGGATGAACAGATGGTTCACCCATCTTCCCCAGGAAAATGAAACCACAGCTGTGGGTCTGAGTGCCGATGCTGGATGAAAGTTGGAAGCTGTCTCTGGAAAGCAGGCTTCCCCAAGGCTGGATGAGTCAGGCCAGGGTGCTGCTCTTCTGGTAAAGTCAGAATTCCACTAAGCAAGTAATAAGCCCATTGGTGTGAAGTGTCAACATGTATGTAACAAAGAAAAGATTTTACAATCTTCTAAAGCAATTATGTCCAACCTGGGCCTCATGCAGTCCAAGACAGCTTTGAATGTGACCCAACACAAATTAGTAAACTTTCTTTTCTATTTTTTTATTTTTATTTATTTTATTTATTTATCTATGTATGTATTTATTTATTTATTTATTTATTTTGAGATTGGGTTTTGCTCTTGTTGCCCAGGCTGGAGTGCAATGGTGCAGTCTCAGCTCACTGCAACCTCCGCCTCCTGGGTTCAAGCAATTCTCCTGCCTCAGCCTCCCGAGTAGCTGGGATTACAGGCATGTGCCACCACGCCTGGCTTAATTTTGTATTTTTAGTAGAGACGGGGTTTCTCCATGTTGGCCAGGCTGGTCTCAAACTCCCGACTTCAGGTTATCCATCCGCCTCGGCCTCCCAAAGTGCTGGGATTACAGGTGCGAGCCACTGTGTCTGGCCTGTAAACTTTCTTAAAACATTATGAGGTTTTTTTTTTTTTTTTAGCTTATCAGCTATCATTAGTGTTAGCATATTTTATGTGTGGCCCAAGACAATTCTTCTTCCAGTGTGGCCAGGGAAGGCAAAAGATTGGACACCACTGTTCTAAAGAGAAGAAAAAGAAATATAGAGAGAGGATTAAAATCAAAATGATTTCAGTCTTCTCAAGAGTAACCCTAAAAGCCCAAAGACCAACAGAGCAATGCTTTAAAAACTCCAAAGGAAAATTATTTCCAAACTAGAATTCTGTTCCAGGACAAATTCACTAATTCATGTGATAATAGAAAGAAAGATATTTTGGATCTAGAAAGTCTCAAAAAACTTATCTCCCATTCACTTTTCTCAGAAAGCTGCTAGAGGATGTGCTCCATTAAAACAAAAGAGTAAGCTCAGAAAGGATGTAAAAAATGAAAGGTGCAACATAGGACAGCTACAAAGGAATATGGGGAAGGGGATCCCAGGATGTTTGCAGGGCTTTCTGACTTACCTGAGACAGGAGCAGGTCAGAAGTTTCCAGGAAAGAGTTCTTCATGAAAAATAATTGATAGACTCTCTGATAAGAACTACCAATTAAGAGGATATTTAGGGTTGAATTAATGATAAGTACAGACAGAACTAAGGCAGCAAGCAATGGATAATTATTAACTCCATTATTATTCAAGAAAGTAAAGTAATCTTGGGTGATTACACAACTCAGCTGTAAACAGTGTTTGCATAGTATCTGATATGAGACCAAACCATTTTTTGTGATGTAATTCACAGTCTCTAGGAAGAAATCTCTGGCATCCTGATAGAAAAATCTTGTACTTAAAAACAAACAAATAACAACTTTAATGTGATTAAGACTTACACTGAGACACCAGTCCCCTACACACCCAGCTGACTGTCAGCCCAGAGTTTAGTGATCTTTAACCAAATATTCTTTCCTTTTTGTATTGTTGGGAAATTTAAAATGTCTACAAAACATCAAAAAGAAAGAAACCAGAGTACCATGGACAAAGGCTCATCATCTGCAAAGATATTTTATATGCAGAGAGAAATTCCACCCTACTTAGGCAGCCAAGAAGTAACAATCCTTTTTTCTTTCTTTCTTTTCATTCTCAAAGGAGGTGAGAAGTTACATTCCTTTTCTACTGCCCTATTTTTAGCCATTACATACATATGTTCTCTATTAACAGTAACCTGTCCTCCTATGAGAAGAATTAACAGAGCCATTTGCTGTACATTCTTTCACAGTTTAGCCTAAATTCACCTTTATCAAAAGGAATAATAATGGCATGGGCAACATGGTCAGACCTCATATCTAAAAACAATTTAAAAGTTACCAAGGCGTGGTGGCACATACTTGTGTTCCCAGCTACTTAGGAGACTGAGGTGGGTGGATCACTTGAGCCCAGGAGGTGGAGGCTGCAGTGAGCTGTGATTGTGCTGCTGCACTCCAGCCTGGGTGACAGAGCAAGACCCTGTCTCAAAAAAAAAAAAAAAAGGAATAATAAAATTTATCTCTGCGACAAGCAGATGAAGATAGAGACAGAAAGGTGCTCAGAGGTTAAACTTCCACAGTGAATGGAACATAGAGACATTATTTTCCTAGGTGTTTATTTACATTTCAAAAAGATGGCTCTCAGATTTCTGAAAAAAACAATCTGGGTTGTAAAGTGACAAAAGGCTAACTCAGGAAGATATAAAAATAAAATTTTATATACTTTTCACTGGGTGGGACCATCCCGCCCAGTGCAAACTGCAAAATACTTAGCAGTCTTTGCCCAGCCCCTTCCCAATATACCAGTAATGTCTAACCCCAACCCCCTACCCCGGGCATTGTAGCAATAACAAAAGAAAGAGAATGAGGAGAAGGGAGGGAGGGAAGAAAACTGCCCTCACATATTTTCAAATACCTCCTGGAAAAGGAAGGCCAAGCTAGAATGACCAACTCATCCCAATTTGCCTGGGACTTTTCAAGTTTAATTTTACCAGTTTTGGCACTAAAAGCCTCATGTCCCAGAAAATCCACTAGTTCCAGGCAAACCAGGACAGTTGGTCAACTGAACACCCCATGACATATGCACACATGCACATGTGTGTGCCAACCATCTAATTATGTATGTGTGCCACTTAGGAAAAAATTAAAACTTAAAATAAAAAGATAGGCTTTAACATTGAAGACATCTGGGTTTGTATTATGGTCCTGTCCCTCACCAGTTTTGTGACCTAGGGCAAGTTTCTGTTGATGAATTACAATCATCCCTCGGTATCCTGAGGGACTGGGTCCAGGAGCTACCCCCCATACCCAAATCCACGGATGCTCAAGTCCCTGATACAAGATGATGTAGGGTTTGCATATAACCTATGCACAACTTCATGTATACTTTAAATCATCTCTGGATGACTTATAATACCTAATACAATGTAAATGATATGTTAATAGTTGTACTGTTTAGGGAATAATGACAAGAAAAAAAAGTCTGTGCTTTTTCAGTACACATAAGTTTTTTTTTCTTTTTAAGACAAGGTTTCACTGTGTTGCCTAGGCTAGAGTGTTGTGGTGCATAGCTCACTGTGGCTTCAAACTCCCGGGCTCTAGCTATCTTCCTGCCTCAGCCTCCCAAGATGCAATTTTTTTCCCGAATATTTTCCATTCACATTCAATCCACCAATGCAGAAACCATGGCTATGGAGGGCCAACTATACTATCAACAACTCTGGTTGCCACTTCTCTTGTCTGTTCTAGGGAATTAAAATGATGTAACCTGTCAGGGCTGGTGTGAGAGCAATCCCTAATAAATGGCCTTGCCTCTTTCTTGCGTGAATTTGGGCCTCAGTTCTCCAAAATTCACCTATTGACACACCCTCGATATTTTTTATTTCTTTTTTCTGAGACAGAGTCTTGCTCTGTAGCCCAGGCTGGAGTGCAGTGGCACCATCTCGGCTCACTGCAAGCTCTGCCTCCCGGGTTCACGCCATTCTCCTGCCTCAGCCTCCCGAGTAGCTGGGACTACAGGCGCCCACCACCACGCCCGGCTAATTTTTTGTATTTTTAGTAGAGATGGGGTTTCACCGTTTTAGCCAGGATAGTCTCGATCTCCTTACCTCCTGATCCACCCGCCTCGGCCTCCCAAAGTGCTGGGATTACAGGCGTAAGCCACCGCGCCCGGCTGATATTTTTTATTTCTTCTTTAGCGAAATTAGCTTATTGTGTTCTTAACTAATTTTCTGTATCTGAATTAGAAAAGGAGCTGATATGGTTTGGCTGTGTCCCTGCCCAAGTCTCATCTTGAATTGTAGTTCCCATAATCCCCACATTCCCATTACCTCCATGCTGCTGTTCTATGATAGTGAGTGAGTTCTCACAAGATCTGATGGTTTCATAAGGGGCTTTTCCCTCTTTGCTTGGCACTTCTCCTTCCTGCCATCATATGAAGAGGATGTGTTTGCTTCCCCTTCTGCCATGATTGTAAGTTTCCTGAGGCCTCCCCAGCCATGCGGAACTGCGAGTCAATTAAACCTCTTCCTTTACAAATTACCAAGTCTCAGGCAGTTCTTTATAGCACTGTGATAATGGACTAATACAGGAGCCTTTGTGAACAAGGACAATGTCTTTGCATCCTGGTTTTATAGTTCTTAATGCAGTGGCTGCAGATAGAGGATTCAGTAGGATTTGTTAGTTGCTATATCATCTTTCTCAATCTGTAAAGTGCTGATATTGTACAGATAATAGAATGGGACATGAATAACTTTTATAGAATATAAATCTTCAAATTCAGTAATTTACTAGTACGGTGCACAGCCAATGTGCTTGGGGGCAGCTCCGGCTGATGAATTACCTCCCATGGCCTGGCTCTCTTGGTGACTTAAGTGCCCCCAAACTAGGGAATAGTTTAGCTGAGTTAGAGACAATTTGGGCAGGAAAATTAGGGAGTTTGGGTGTAGGAGAAGGTTCAGTTGTCCAGGAAAGGAAAGGAGACAATAACTTTCATGACAGAGAGACAATTCTAGGGTTAAGATGATGCCAGAAAGTTAGCAAGTGACTTTCCTAAAGCCATTTCATACAGTATATGGGGCTGGCTGCCATCTTACCCTTTTTCTCATCAAAATTTTTCAATTAAAATGTGAAACACTGACTTTTATCAAAGAAGTTAATGTTAGGGTTGCCAGATAAAATATAGGAAGCCCAGATAATTTTGAATTTTAAATAAACAGTTAATAATTTGTTAGTGTAAATGTGTTCTAAATATTGTGTGGGACTTATACTAAAAAATTATTTGTCATTTCTCTGGAATTCAAATTTAACCTGGGCTTCCTACATTTTGTTTGCTAAATCTGGCAACGCCAGTCAGTGAAAAATAAAATTCACTTCACAGAAAACCCACAGCATGGCTAATGTCCATGAGAATACCTTTAAAGAAACACGGCCCTTGATCCACACAGACATACACTACATATTATAAATGCAGGTCAAAATTCTTCCTTTAATGTGATTCATGTTATTTTAATGACTTTTAGGTCAAACTCAGATTCCCAGTTACAGGTGCCCTTGGCTAGTTTTATCTGTGTAACATTTGAGGCTGCATATGTGATCATGGTCTTGGGTTTCATCTGAGATGTTAGAAGCCATGTCTCTTGAGGTACTTGGCTCGTGCAAGGACATCATTGCAGAAGTCACAGCTCAGGTCCTGGCTGCTTCGGACATAGCCAGCACCCCCACTGTAGGCACAGAGTCCACCTGAAATGCATGAGATAGGTTAATGCTGACCTAGGGTACTCAGCAGTTAACTCTGATTCTCTTTACTAACTACCTAACAGGAGGCAGCTGGAGTTTCGGGGAATCTGGTGCAATGTATTATATTTGTCCCTATTAATTCTGTGCTTGAGACAACTGACTGATAGCGTTACACGTACCTCTCAGGTACTGGTCAGGGGTCCAGGTTGGAAACCTCCTCTGGATTTCTTTGATTCTAGTAGTCAGAACTTCAGTTGTCTGGGAAACCTGAGACTCACTAATCCAGGATGTGGGAGCTTGAGAGCCAGGGTCCTGCAGGGAAGGAGGCAGAGAAGAAGCCACGTAAGCTGGGTGGGAGGGTGATCCGGCTTACTGGGCTCAATGGCGCTTGTTCATTTCCTGTCTCTTGTTCTCCTTTCACCTTTGATGGAACCAATGCCACCGTCAGTCTCCTGTGAGGTAGGTTAGATAGGGTGGTCATAGCCTCCCTTATGGGGAACAAATTTGCCAGACAGGTGGAGAGAACAAACCACTGACAGTGCACAAACTACATGGTCAGAATATCCTACAGTGCCAGACACGGTGGCTTATGCCTGTGATCCCAGCACTTTGGGAGGCCAAGGTAGGTGGATCACTTAAGCTCAGGAGTTCGAGACGAGCCTCAGCAACATGGGAAAACTTCATCTCAACAAAAAATACAAAAATTAGCTGGGCGTGGTGGTGTGTGCCTGTAATCCCAGCTACTTGGGAGGCTGAGGTGGGAGGATCACCTGAGCCTAAGAGGATCAATTGAGCCTGGGAGGCAGAGGTTGCAGTGAGCCATGATTGCACCACTGCATTCCATCCTGGGTGACAGAGTGAGACCCTGTCTTAAAAAAAAAAAAAAAATATTTGCAGTAAGGAGACAAAGAACAGAAGGGAAAATTCCCAAATCCATGCAAGCACAGAAACCCATGATTAGTGTCCTTGGGCTGACCTATGCTCATTGTAAGAGTGAAAAAAAAGCACACTCCTGGGTGGAGAATTAAAATGCTGAGACACGCGATGTATGTGCTAGCATGCACAACAATAGCGCATGTGCATCCCGGAGACCCTGAAACATGCTTAACAGCAATAACCATCCCCTCTGTCTTATGAATAATCATATAAGCTTTCCATGAAGGGATTTTCCCAATGTCACATGAGGCTGTCTCATTCTCCACCCAGCTACCAGAGTGTAGTTTTGCTTTGCAATAAACTTCTTCGCCTACTTTTAATTTGGACTCGTGCCCAAATTCTTCTGTGCGGCAAAGTCAAGAACTTGAACTGGCCCTCCAACAACACCTGGAGATCAGACAGTAAAGCCATTTATACCTGTTAGAATAGCTACTGTCAAAAATGCAAAAGACAGGTGCTATAATTTGAATGCTTGTCCCTTGTGAAATTCATGTTGAAACTTAATCCCCGATGTGGCAGTATTGAGAGGTGGGGCTTTTAAGAGGTGATTAGATTAATCTATGAATAGATTAATAGATTAGTGGGTTAATGGTTATCACAGGAGTGAGGCTGGTGGCTTTATAAGAAGAGGAAGAGAGACTAAGCCAGCACACTCAGCCTCTCACCATGTGAGGCCCTGAGCCACCCTGGGACTCTGCAAAGAGTCCCCACCAGCAAGAAGGCTCTACCAGATGTGTCCCCTTGACCTTGGGGTCCCCAGCCTCCAGAACTGTAAGTAATAAATTTTATTTTTCATAAATTACCCATATTTAGGTATTCTGTAATAAGTAACAGAAAACAGACTAAGACAACTAGGGTTGGTGAGGATGTAGAGAAACTGAAATCATTGTACATTGTTGATGGCAATGCAAAATGGTGCAGCTACCATGGAAAACTGTACTGTGGTTTCTCAAAAAATTAAAATTAGAACTACCATATGGTCTGGGTGCAGTGGCTCACACCTGTAATCCCAGCACTATGGGAGGCCAAGGCAGGTGGGCTCACCAGGCAGGAGTTTGAGACCTGCCTGGCCAAAATGGTGAAACCCCATCTCTACTAAAAATACAAAAATTAGCCAGGTGTGGTGGTGGGCGCCTGTAATCCCAGCTACTCGGGAGGCTGGGACAGGAGAATTGCTTGAACCCAGGAGGTGGAGGTTGCAGTGAGCTGAGATAATGCCATTATACTTCAGCCTGGGCAACAAGAGTGAGACTGTCTCAAAAAATAAAACAAATTAAAGTAAAAATTAATACCATATGATTTAGTAATCCCCTTTCTGGGTATTCATCCAAAAGAATTGGAATCAGGATCTCAAAGAGATATCTGAGCTCCCACATTCATTGCAAAGCTATTCCCAATAGCCAAGAGGTAGAAACAACCTAAATGTACCTGACAGATGAATGAATAAAGAAAATGTGGTATACACATATCATGGAAGATTATTCAACCTTAAAAAGAAGGAAATCCTGCATTATATGACAACATAGATGAATCTTGAGGACATTATGTAAGTGAAATAAGCCAGTCACAGGACAAATACTGCATGATTTCACTTATATGAGGTATCTAAAATAGTTAAGTTCATAGAAGCAAAGAATAGAATGATGGTTGCCAGGGGCTGATGGGGAGAGGGAAACTGGGAGTTGCTAATTAATGGGTATAAAATTTTAGTCATGCAAGACAAGTAAGTTCTAGAGATCTGATGTATGACATTGTGCCTATAATTAACAACACTGTATTGTATGTTTACACATCTGTAGCCAGCATTATCCTTAGCAAACTAACACAGAAACAGAAAACCAAATACCACATGTTCTCACTTGTAAGTGGGAGCTAGATGATGAGAACACATGGACACATACAGGGGAACAACACGCACTGGGGCCTATTGGAGGGTGGAGTGTGGGAGGAGGGAGAGGATCAGGAAAAATAACTAAAGGGTACAGGCTTAATACCTGGGTGATGAAATAATCTGTACAACAAACCCCCATGACACACGTTTACCTGTGGAACAAACCTGCACATAAACCCCTGAACTTAAAGGTTGGAAAAAAGGCTTTCTTTTTTTTTAATATTAGGTTTGTGACTGTAAATCTCCCTTAAAGCATTTTTACCATATCTCATAGTTTCTAATATCTAGTGTTTCTCTATCATCCTGTTTTAGTTATTTTTAAGTTTCACTATGATTTGTTTCTTTAACCTAAGAGTTACTTAGTGTTGTGTATGTGTGTGTGTGTGCATGTATTTTAAATTTCCATATGATCAGAGATATTTTTAATTTTTAAAATTATCTTCTAGCATAATTGTATTATTGTGATATCTGAAATTTTTGAGGATTTCTTTAATAGATGATATATGATCAACTTTTGTAAAATGTTCCTCATGTGCAGGAAACAATTGTGTATATCCTAATGGATACGTAAATAATTACATCCCCCTCATTTTTCTCTCCTGCTCTCCCTCCCTCCCCAATTAACAATCAAGCCTCTTAATTGTGTTCTTATTACATGTGTTAATTGTTTTACTTATTTTTCTTCTATATCTTTGCTGGTTTGTTTATTGTATAACCTGTAAATAATCAAGAGAGATGTGTTGAAATTTCCCATTATGATAGCAGGTTTATTATTATAGTAATAATAATTTATGCTGCATATATTTTGAGGCTATTTTACTGGCATCTACTTGTTTTAAATTGCTGTATGTCCTGGATAAATTCAATCTTTTTTGTTATGTCATAATTCTCTCCATACCAAATATTTTTTCTTCTAAAGTGTATTTTATTTAATATATCATAGTTATCAACATTATTTTGATTATTGTATTCCTGATAGGTCTTCTTTTTACCATACTTTTACTTCAAACTTTTGCATATTCAAATGCTTTAAGTGTTTCTCACATAAACCATGTAAATCTGGATTTGGGCTTTTAATCTCGTTCATACATCTGTGTCTTTAAACCAGTAGGTTTCCTATATTTATATTTATTGCCATTATTAATATCGTGTAGTTGCTACTATCATCTTAATTTGTTATTTCAATGTGTCTCTCTTTTTCTACATTCCTTTTTACTCTTGTCTTAACTATTATTATTATTAATATTGTTAGAGGTAGGGTCCCACTCTCTCGCCCAGACTGGAGTGCAGTGGCGTGATTTCAGCTCACTGCAACCTCCGCCTCCCAGGCTCCAGCGATTCTCCTGCCTCAGCCTCCTGCGTAGCTGGGATTACAGGCACCTGCCACTACTGCCTGACTGATTTTTGTATTTTTAGTAAAGACAGGATTTCACCTTGTTGGCCAGGCTGGTTTCAAACTCCTGACCTCAAATGATCCATCCGCCTCAGCCTCCCAAAGTGCTGGGATTTTAAAGACGTGAGCCACTGTGCCCAGCCTATTTTGTAACCGAAACTATGTCTCACCCTAAATAAGGCAAGGACTCTCTGATCCTTTGTCTCCCCACCACTGCTTCCAGCACCCATCATATTGACCAAACCTATACCCTGGGTTTTACTTAAAATGTGGTCCGGGAACCAGCAACATCAGCAACAACTGAGAACTTATTTATTAGAATTGCAGAACTTTGGGCCCCATTTCAGACCTACTGAATCAGAATTCTCATGTAAACAAGAGCTCCAGGTGTTCATATGCACAATAAGCTTCGAGAGTCAGTAAACTAGACTTAAAAAACAAAAATCTGTGGCCGGGTAAAGTGGCTCACACCTGTAATCCCAGCACTTTGGGAGGCTGAGGCAGGCAGACCACTTGAGTCCAGGAGTTCGAGACCAGCCTGGGCAACATGATGAAACCCCATCTCTACAAAAAATACAAACATTAGCCAGGCATGGTGGTGCATGCTTGTAGTCCCAGCTACTTGGGAGGCTGAGGAGGATCGTGTGAGCCCAGGAGGCAGAGGTTGCAGTGAGCTAAGATCATACCACTATACTCCAGCCTGGGTGACAGAGCCAGACCCTGTCTTAAAAAAAAAAAAAATCTGTTAAGATGATAGATCTCATGTTAATGTTAAGTGGTGTTCTTGCCAAAGAAAAAAGATAGTCAAGTTACAAGGTTTGGGCTAAGGAAGGGATGAGCAGACCTTTCACTGCTGCTTCAGCTTAAGGGTGTAACTCAGTTAATGACTGAGTTAGTGTAGGTAGCAGTGTGATGCCCTCCTTCAATGCTGCCAGTGCAAACCCTCCAAACAGTCCAGAAAGGGATTTTTCTGTCTGAACTTGTAATTCTTTTTCCAGATAGTCTGAACGTCTAAAGGGACTTCTAACCCTTCTTATACGCCTTTGATTATCACTTCCATGTAGGTTTCATCATATTTGGGAGAAATGTCCAAATCTAGAGAATTCTCTTGTTTGTTGTTGTTGTTGTTGTTGTTGTTGTTGTTTTTTGAGATGGAGTCTCGCTCTCTCGCCCAGGCTGGAGTGTAGTGGCATGATCTCAGCTCACTGCAACCTCTACCCCCCAGGTTCAAGCAATCCTCTCACCTCAGCCTCCCAAGTAGCTGGAATTACAGGCATGCACCACCATGGCCAGCTAATTTTTGAATTTTAGTAGAGATGGGGTTTCACCATGTTGGCTGGGCTGGTCTCGCACTCCTGACCTCATGTAATCCACCCTCCTCGTCCTCCCAAAGTGCTGGGATTATAGGCATGAGCCACTGCGCCTGACCCAAATCTAGGGAATTCTTATTTCATCTTCAAAGGAAATGGACTCATCCTTTCCTCAAAAGCCAGATTTTACAAAGGAGACAGAACAGCGCAGCAGAAATGATGCCAGCCCTAACATCACAAGATATTCAGTCCCAGTTCTGCCTCTTGCAGCTGCCATGTGACTTTGTAGCAGCAACTCCTTCCTTGTGATTCTATTTCCTCACTTGTCAAGGATGGATTACGTGTCCCTCACCTCATCTTATCAGATTATTGGATGGGTCTCCAAATCGAAGTAAAATAAAGTATTTGAAAGTACTTTAAAAGTATCATACAAAAAAGTCAAGGGAAGCAAATTTGGAGAGATCATTGAGAAATAAATTTTTCTAAAATCTTAAAAAAAAGACTGCAATACTCACAGGTTCCTCAACAACAACCACAAAAGCAGTGTGAGATCAATGGAAAAAATCAAGCCTCATTCTCACCCTTGCCATCACTGATTCCCTGGCGCAGAGTTAATTCAACAGTGGATTAGTGACCATTCCCCAGAAGTCTCTATCTGGCAAGTGACACCAGACGGAATTCATGCAAAAATAAAACTCAATCTTCAGAACTAAGAATTGTATAGAAAAAGGTAAAGGAAAATAAATTTAACATTTTTTGAGAATCCAACAGATATCAGGTACTTTTTTGCATTGTTTCATGGAATCTTCATAATAATGCTGTAAGAATGGCATTTTATAGGTAGAGAAACTAAGGCCCAGTGAGATTAAATGACTTATTCAAGGCCATGTGGCTACAAAGTAACTGAGGAAAGATTTAATCTGTGATCTTTCTCTTGGACCACTTAGGTCCAGAAATCCAGAATAGGGTGGCCCGGATGATATTCTGGAAACACGGCATTATTTACTGTGAAAAGAAATTGTGGCTCAACATGAAACAGAAATGTTGCTGCTCATATCTCTCAGGCAGAACTGTCACTGTCACAGCTCTAGAGACCTTCATTCATGCTGTGTTCTGTGAAGCTTTGCCATCATCCAAAAAACAAAGCAGTGGTGCCACATAGCAGAATGGCCACATGTGTCAACGGATGAAGAGTTACCTGCACCATGCTAGTCCTATCGCCCATGTTGACCAGAATTTTGTCACCGGGAGACTTCCTGGACAAGACACCAGCGATCACGGCAGGATCCATGCAGTACTTTTGGCCAATGGTTTGCATCATGGGTTGATATTTCAGGAGGTATGGCATGTCTATTTCAGCCAGCCTTTCAGAAGCACGAACTCCTAAACCAAACGCAAAAGGAATGATGCAGCTTGTTGTGACTTATGCTGCAACAGGAGCTCAAGGGGAGAGAGAAAGAACAATCCAAGGATCTGAGTAATGGTCGAGGACTGACAATCCCAGATTTTGGTCTTAAATCTTTAGTAGTGGCCACTCCCTGACCTGAGGTTAGGGCTCTCCTCCTGTGAGCTTGAGTCAGCATCCCCTGAGCCAGGGTCCCCTGTGGCTGTCAGTGCCCTTCGACTGGGCTCTCAGGGGCTGCTCTGGCCCACCCAGGACAATTCCATGGCCATAGGAACCATTGGTCCCATTCTAAGCACCCCAATAAAATGAAATGTGCCTGCCTATCAGCTGCAACCTGACATGAAGGAGAAATTCTGCAAACCCTTCAATAAGTCTTTAGATAGTGTTCCTCAACAAGTTTGTTCACAATTGCACAGTTTTCCACTCCTAAACGATACCAACAAATCATGCAAGTTTAAACCTTTCTGAAATAATAAGAATGCTGGGCAAAAGGAAAGCCAATATTAATCTACTTAGCTAGCCTTACCTTCTAGGTGCTTTTATGGTTTAAAAAGCACCCTCGGCCGGGCGCAGTGGCTCACACCTGTAATCCCAGCACTTTGGGAGGCCAAAGAGGGAGGATCACCTGAGGTCAGGAGTTCGAGACCAGCCTGACCAACATGGTGAAATCCCATCTCTACTAAAAATACAAAATTAGCCAGGCATGGTGGCACATGCCTGTAACCCAGCTACTCTGGAGGCTGAGGCAGGAGAATCGCTTAAACCGGGGAGGTGGAGGTTGCAGTGACCTGAGATTGCACCATTGCACTCCAACCTGGGCAACAAGACAGAAACTTATCTCAAAAAAAATAAATAAAAATAAAAAATAAAAAGCACCCTTGTCCACATTGTGTCAATCAGAGCTCACAACAACACTGTAAATACCGTACTGCTAGCCGCCTTGCCACGGATGCAGGGGCAGCTAAGTGACTTGTTCAAGAAGCAGAGCTTTGGGACCCCATACCCGGAACTCTTTCCAACACTCAGTAGCGTGAGGCATGGGAAACAGTGAAAGCCGGGGGATAGGTTGAGAGGGCGAAAGCTCATAGCTACCACAGTAGTTCAGGCCGTGACGTCTTCCAATCCCACAAGATGCTCCAGGGGTGTCCAGGCTTTGGATGTTTCCATAGCATCCCCAGTTGCTGCTTTCAGACAAGTCTACAAGTTGAGAAAAGTTCAGCCTAAGGCATGGAACTAGTTCTCATCATTCTTCTGTCCATGAATAAAATTACATTAATAAAAGTAACAATAATAAAATCCATTACATCACCTTCACTCTGCAATTGAAACTCTTGAAATTTAAATGAGAAATATCCCATAAATGATCACAAAAACTTCCTCAATACCAAATTCTCACCTGCTCCCCTGCAGACATGAGTAACTACTGGAGCTATTGAAGCAGTTACACTCTTTGTAAAGCTCTGGTGCCCTTTGATGTTGTCAGGTGGTATCTTGGAACACAAAGGAGAGGATTTGTTCCCTGTAAAGTAGTCCTCATCTTACTTTTTTTTTTTTTTTTTTTTTTTTGAGATGGAGTCTGGCTCTGTCGCCTAGTCTGGAGTGCAGTGGCACGATCTCGACTCTCTGCAACCTCTGCCTTCTGGGTTCAAGTGATTCTCCTGCTTCAGCCTCCCAAGTAGCTGGGATTACAGGTGCATGCCACCACGCCCAGCTAATTTTTGTATTTTTAGTAGAGACGAGGTTTCACCATGTTGGCCAGGCTGGTCTCGAACTCTTGACCTCAAGTGATCCGCCCGCCTCGGCCTCCCAAAGTGCTGGGATCACAGGCGTGAGCCACCGCGCCCAGCCTCTTCTTTCATCTTATATGAACTCTGAGCACTTCTCCGTCAAATACTCCTAACTTGTTGCTCTGATGAAATATTTATGTTTGCTCTGGAGAAACAAGTATAAAACCTGGATCTCTCTGGGATATCAACCCAGATCCAAAGTAAGGCACTGCTCGTAAATGAGGATTTGAGGCTGGCTACACTTTCTCTCAGGTACACTTCTAGATAAGAGCCTAAGGCTGCAGAAGGGAGTGAAGGAGAGAGGCATGGGACCAGTCTCCACATGGGATCACCCACTTTCCACTTCTTCCCTTTATCTCTTTCTCCTTTCCATCTCTCTCTACCTCTGTCATTCTAGTCATCACTGAAGGGGAGGAGTGGTTTCAGACACTCGGGATTTCACAAAGGCCATTGAAGAGGAGAATGTTCTTTCTCTTCACACCAGGAGGAGAGTGCATGAGTATTTAGATCTACAATTCACACAAGGTGGGTACACAAGTATTTATAATATATCTACAATTCACACCAGAATGGGGACACATGAGTCAGTACTAAGATACCTACAGTAGGCAGGAAATTGCTCCTTTTGAGAATCATCTCACCATTATAAGGCTGTAAGAATGTCTCATTAGATTACTCTTTAATTAATTAATTAATTAATTAATTTATCTATAGACAGGGTCTCACTGTCACCCAGGCTGGAGTGTAGTGGCATGATCATGGCTCACCACAGCCTCAACCTCCCAGGTTCAAGCTATCCTGCCACCTCAGCCTCTCAAGTAGCTGGGACCACAGGCACAAGCCAACACACCTGTGTAATTTTTTGAAGAGATGGGGTTTTGCCTTGTTGCCCAGGCTGGTCTCAAACTCCTGAGCTCAAGCAATTTGCCCGCCTCGACCTCCCAAAGTTCTGGGATTACAGGCATGAGCCACCGCATACACCTGGTTTACTCTGTTTAATCTATTTGATCCTTTGACTAAAGTAGATTAGATTATCAAACCTTAATGATTTGCAGATCTTTGGAGATATATCTATTGCCTATAATCATATGTGTCCTGTGTGTTTACATAAATGCATTTTCAGGTTCTACTTTCTTAGAACTTTATGGGGTTGATAAATACTCGTCTTTTGGAGTAAATACTTCTACTTTACAAACTTGTGATAAGTAACCTAAGAAAAATGTGGAAATGAAAAGACTAGATCTTTTATGAATATACTAAAAATTAAACCAGCTGACAGGTTCTTTTTTATTTTTTAATCAGTGCACTTTTATCTTTATGACTGGTGACAAATACCCTTAGTACTGCAGTTGGTTTTATCACTCCTTGGTTCCTGCCTTGTGGACCTCTCCCTAGCCACACTCTATGATCCTCAAAATTCTTTGTATTCCCAATGCTTAGCACCTTGTAGGCATTTTTAAATATTTGTTGAATGAATGGGTCAATAACTAAATGAATGACTATGAGACCTCATCTAAGAAATCTATTAAATTTAGAGTCAGGAAAATTTAGCTTCTCCTGAGGAACTTTGCTTCCTCCTTTTATTTATTAAAAAACAAGTAGGCTGGGCGCAGTGGATCACCCTGTAATCCCAGCACTTTGGGAGGCCAGATCACGAGGTCAAGAGTTTGAGACCAATCTGGCCAACATGGTGAAACCCTGTCTCTACTAAAAATACAAAAATTAGCCGGGTGTAGTGACAGGCGCCTGTAATCCCAGCTACTTGGGAGGCTGAGGCAGGAGAATCGCTTGAAACCGGAAGGCAGATATTCCAGTGAGCTGAGATTGCACCACTGCACTCCAGCCTGGGTGAAAGAGCAAAATTCCATCTCAAAAAAAACAAAAACAAAAGCAAACCAACAAAAACAAGTACTTTCCCTTTTTCCTCCAGCTGCAAAGCTGAAGTTCAATCACAGCAACTAAATCAGCCTCAGTGATTAGCTTAGTCATGTGTACTCGGTTGCCTTGATTCTGGTTTTCTATTTGAATTAGTCTTATTCATTAGTCTTATTCTGGCAACCACCTCAATTCTTCTATGGAAATAAATGCTTTAGGAATAAATTCAATTTGGCATTTTTTATAGTGGACAATGAGCAGCTATTGATGGTGTATATTTAAAGTCTGGCTTCAAGCAGTGCTGTTTTAAGCCCACCTTGCATTCCAGAGAACCCCAATCTTTTGTGGGACATTTGGGGAGAGGCTGATTGTTGGTGGCTGTTCCTAACTCCAGGATTTGTTGGACAGTTTAGGGAAAAAATAATCTTTTTTGTTGCATTTTCAAGTATTAGAAGTGCCATTGTGTTCCTGTGCTTATCCTTCCCATCTCCAAAGTCATTTGTAAAAATCAGCCACACTCACCCATCAGGGCAAGGAGGCCCAGCAGCAGCCACAATGCAGACATGATGACGATCTGGCTCTACGGCTCCTGAAACACTTTTAAAACAAAAATTAGCTTGAGAATACAAAAATATCAGTCATCATCATAACCACATGTAATATTTCCACAGAAGCAGGGGTGAAAAGAACAAATTTCCCCATATCTGACCTAAGAAAATGAATTATTTGAATCATAGTGAAAAAAAAGCAAAAGTAGGACAAGTAAGTGCTCCATTCATCCTTTCAATTAATCTAAAAATGAGAAGACTCTTACTCAGCCCACAGGAACTCAACATACAGTCAAGTTACTAACTACTTTATTTCAAGAAGGCAAGACACTTTGAATCTCAACCACCAAGAAACATACTGACCTGGCTCCAGACCCTGAAAAGCAAATTTCTGATGCCCATACCTCATCCCAAGAGCCTTTTTATTATCTCCATTATCAAAAGGAGAATTTTGTATTGGTGACTTCTTGGAATTTAGGTCCCTTCTTCTTCAGGTTTGAGGAAAGACCACGCTTTCCTCAGTGCCCTGGAATGTACACTGGTTGGAAGACGTTTCCCACTGCTCTAACCCCAGCCTGGAATCACAGACCCCCTTTATCACCTTGAGCCATGTTCCCCATTCCCCCTCTGTAAAACCCCAATGCGGCAACAAACCTGGACCAGAGCCCAGGGAGAATGGAGCTACCTCCACCAGCAAATCCCCAAGAAGCTGGCTCATGGGCAGGGGTCCCAGGATTGAACTCATGAGGTGCTCACAAGACTGGAGAATGAACACGTGGCCAACATGGAGCACCCGCTCATGTGCTCTCTCTCTCTCTTATCCCAACCATTCCCCTAATCACCTTCCATGAGTACAAACAGCCCTGGTTCTCCTACTGGCTACCAAACCAATACACAAATACCACCAAGGATAGTTTGCTGTTAACCTCAGGGAATGGTAGAGTTTCTGGACCTTTGCCTCCAAAGCGCCTCCCACCAAGCCCTGCCACTCCAGGGTGTATGTCATCATTGCCCCAGTCAGCAGAGCCTGGCAGCCTAGCATTTTGAATTATTACTGTCATTACATGTAGGAATGTGCATATAAACAAGGCACTTGGTACTTTCATAATGCTTCTCTCATCTCTTTTGTTTTGAGGTTAACCTTATGGGTTGTTTCTTTCAAACACCCAGGAAGAGATCACATCTCAAGATGGAGAGGCTTTAAGGAAGTCATTTGAAGCCAGGTGTGGTGGCATACACCTGTAGTCCTAGCTACTTGGGAGGCTGAGGCAGGAGGACTGCTTGAGCCCAGAGGGTCAAGGGTGCAGTGAGCTATGATCACACCACTGCACTCCATCCTGGGAAACAGAGCAAGAGCCTGTCTCAAAAAAGAAAAAGGAAGTTATTCGATTTCTGTCTTCTTAAACTGAGGGGGCATATGCCCTTCAGTTGCAGTCATGCTTTTTGTTATTCTCTCTACAACATTGAGATGGTCTGTCCGATTTTGCTTAGTTGAGCACAAAATGTCATGGTCAGTCCCAACACCAAAAAGATTCAGGGACCTGGAATCTTAGCTGGGTCTGCAGGAACGCTCAGATTTAATCACCCAACAGGAGTCATTTATTCAGCATCCTGAGCCTCCAGCAGTAAACAAGAGAGGACAACCAATCCCAGGAGAAAAGAATGGACAAAGAGCTGCTTGGGTATAGGAAAAGCTCATGGTCTCATGAAAGTGCATCACTGGCTTTATGGAAGGACCCTTCAGGAAAAAGCACTGCTCACATTCAAATGCTCCACCCAGGGTATTTCACTCTTTTTGCTGCTTTTCCAGGAAAGAAAAAATACTTCCTCTTGGAAACCCAAGTGGAAGGACTCAGCTTTTATTGTAACAGGAGAGCTACCGTATTTTCCATGCTTGGAACTAAATATCTGTGTTGAGAAGTCACTTTAATGAAAGAGTCTATGTAAATACATGTGCCACTTAATGGGAACACAGAATTACTTTCTAGTTGCTCCTGGGACCAGGTCATCAAGGTAAAGTTTTTCAATTTCATCAGGGAAGAGCAAGAAGTGACAATGGAATTTTTCTTTTTTTTCTTAGAGCCAGAGTTTTACTCTGTCACCCAGGCTGGAGTGCAATGGCACGATCACGGCTCACTGCAGCCTTGACCTCCTGGGCTCAAGTGATACTCCCACCTTAGCCTCCCAAGTAGCTGGGGCTAGAGGTGTATGCCACCATGCCCAGATAATTTTTTAGTTTTTATGTAGAAATGGGTCTCACTATGTTGCCCAGGCTGGTCTTGAACTCCAGGCTTCAAGTGATCCTTCCACCTCAGCTTCCTGAGTAGGTAGGGTTACAGGCTCAAGCCACCACACCTAGCTTGGAATTCTTAAATGGATGAACAATGTCATTTTGTCCATAAATACAGCATATTGAAGCAACCCAAACTCTATGGCCCAACTTTACAAGTGACGAAAAGTACTCTGTGTTTAGAAGAGATTGTTGAGACATCACTCGGGTGTGCTCAAAGAGTGTCTGTCAGTTCCCTATGACTCATTTGTTAATTCCCCTGTGGCTCCCTGCTTAAAACCATTATGAAGATGTCAGACCAAGGCAGCACAGTGGTCATGATGTCAAGCACAATGTTTATGGTAGCATCCCTCTTCTCCCTTCCCAGAGAGCAAAATAGTAACAAACAGCAAGGGGGTGTCAACAAGCTGGGGCAACAGGCCTGCCAGGCACACTGGAAACTGACAACCAGAGCATCCCTCAGGAGCTACCTCATGTTCCTGGTGGCTTTGATGGGGACATCTTCCTCTACTCACCCTCTCTCCACTGAGTACTTTGGAATTCCCAAAGCACTGTGTAAGTTTGTAAGGCATAATGGACCATGTCTTCTTCAGTTCATCAATTTTTCTAGAAAAGGTAGAAACAGGTATCTTTGGTCTTATGGTTTTCTCACCTTAGAAACTTTTCCATGAATGCTCTCAATCTTTACCTTGAACAGTATCATTGCAGGTCATTGGGGCCCTCCATCCAGCCCAGAAATGTGACGTATTAACACCTCAACGTGCCCAATGAAGGTGCCCCTGCCCCATTGTGGTGTCCCCATCTAATCCTGAGAGAACTGAGAACTCCTGTATGCATCCACATTAGGCATGGTCTCCTGCTCTAAGCTGTGTTGTCACCCTTGTTTATTGCTAACATGTCTCTGTGTCTACCTACTCATTGTGTGCCAACAGGCCTTTCTTTTTTTAATTTTTTAATTTTAATTTTAATTACTTTTTGTTTTGTTGGGTTTTGCTTTGTTTTGTTTGAGACAAAGTCTCACTCTGTCGCCCAGGCTGGAGTGCAGTGGTGCGATCTCAGCTCAATGCAACCTCCGCCTCTTGAATTCAAGTGATTATCTTGCCTCAGCCTCCTGAGTAGCTGAGACTACAGGCACTCCACGCCCAGCTAATTTTTGTATTTTTAGTAGAGATGGGGTTTCACCATGTTGGCCAGGCTGGTTGAGAACTCCTGACCTCAGGTGATCCACCCACCTCAGCCTCCCAAAATGCTGGGATCATAGGCATGAGCCACCGCGCCCAGCCCCTGGGTTTTTTTCTTTTTCTTTTCTTTTTGTTTTTTCTTTTTCTTTTTCTTTTTTTCTTTTTTTTTTTTTTTTAATCGAGACAAGGTCTCACTCTGTCTCCCAGGTGGGAGTGCAGTGGCCCAAAATTGTGGAATCATCTCACCATTATAAGCCTGTAAGAATGTCTCATTAGATTACTCTTTAATTTTTAAAATTGTTTTAATTTTTTTTTTTTCAAAACATAGTCTGACTGTCACCTAGGCTGGAGTGAAGTGCTGTGATCTCGGCTCACTGCACCCTCGACCTGCCTGAGCTCAGGTGATTCTCCTGCCTCAGCCTCCTGAGTAGCTGGGATTACAGCCCTGTGCCACCACGCCCAGCTAATTTTTGTATTTTTAGTAAAGACGGGGTTTCGCCATGTTGGCCAGGCTGGTCTCAAACTCCAGGGCTCAAGCAATCTGCCTGCCTCAGCCTCCCAAAGTGCTGGGAACCACCAACACCTGGCCTGTTTTAAAATTATTTTTAATTTTTTATTATTTTAACTTTTTAATTTTTTTAATTTTTGTTTTTTTAAAATTTTTAAATATTTATTTTATTCCATTTTTAAAATGTTTAAGTTTTTAAATTTCTTAAAGGCCTTACCAGTAGCATCATGTCGTACTCATCCTCTTCTTGCTATTCTAATCTTCTCCCTCCCTACATATATACACACACACGTACACACACACACGTACACACACACACATGCACGTACAGCAACACTCCAGCCCATTGCCTCACAGATTGCTATGCACCAACAGGCCTAAAATTAAAATAGTAATAGCAATGTAGTCACAAATATAAAATAATATAAAATTATTCTGCCACTAAGATCTTTTTTTTTTTGAGAAAAATACAACTTTTTAGAGCAAAAATATAGGGCAGCAACAGGAAGGCTCATTTTAAGCTGTTACGCTGCGTAGAGCTGCACCTTCACATGGCCTGTGAAAATACCTATTCACTGAATTTGGATTGTAATCAATAATTACCAGCCTAGAAGACCTCTGAAAGTTTGATCATTTTCTTCCCTCTGGGCAGGCAAATCTTCCCTGCATAGAGACACTGTGAGCTGGAAGGGAGTTCCTTCTCTCAGTGCGTCCTCTGTGCCTGCTTTTCCCATTTGCGTTTTTGAGAGTTCAGAACTCCAGGAAGGATCATCCTATGCTGGAGATTTCCCCGTGAACGTTTCCTTCTGCACAGAGCAAATCAGGGAGACTTGGCCCCTCTGTTCCGTCTATGGACTCTAGAGGCGTATCTGTCTTTTTAGTCTGTTAGCCGAGGCTGTTAGACATGTTGGCCTTAGTTCTTACACAGCTTGCAGAGAAAATAAGATTGTTATAGAACCAATACTCATGGTCTATGGGTTAATGTAGCATTGGCAAGACTGCCCATGAGGGCAGGCAAGGGATTTACCGTCTGGCAAAATACAAACACCTTAGTCTTTTGGCTTTCAGTTAACAAATATGACGTCGCATTTGGCCCTATTACAGCTACAGTTAAGTGCACACACATTTCTTTTCTCCCATTATTCGATTTGCACATGCTCACAAATCCAAAAGTAATGACATACTTGCATTAAAAGATATCTAAATTTTGATGAGTGTTGTAATGAACAGGAAAAATTATTCTATCATCTACAAATCTTTTCAAACTTGGGTTTTCTTTGCAAGGTCCTTAAGTTTCGCCTGAGTCCAATATTTCTTATGCAGCAGAGACACAATCATTGCCAACTGATCACCATACACTGGATTTTCATCCTCAATAAGCCCGAGTGTAAGATCCATGCCTCTGCTTCACACTCACCTGTCTTCAGTCAGTGCTCCTCCTTAGAGGTGGTGAGCCCACAGCGATTTATATAGAGTCCTGTTCTCTTGTTAAAAGTGTTCATCTCATCCTATTTTGGAGAGATTTATGACATCTCATAAATTATAATAATAATCATAATTATTATAAATACTCCGAACTTATATAGGGCCTTTTATTCGAGAATGTCCTGGCATTTTGCAAACATTAACCAATTTGTTTCTTGCCATACCTCAGAAGGCAGATCCTAGTTGTAGTTTAACTTTGACACATTGAGGTCCAACACTTGTCTTTATTCACATCATTTTCTGGGAATGTGGGTTAGGTAAGAAAACAAGGAAGGAAGAGAGAGAGAAAGAGAGAGAGAGTGAGAAGGAGAGAGAGAGTGAGAAGGGGAAGGGAGGAAGGGAAGAGGAAGGGAGGAAGGGAAGGAAGAAAGAAAAGGAAGAAGGAAGGAAGGAAGGGAGGGAGGGAATTGAACTTGGTGTGTCAGAAACTCATTATTGGTTTGTATTTCAGGTAAGCAGAGCGCCTAGACCAGGGGTTGGCAGCTTTTTCTTACAGACCCAGACAGGTTTTTGGGCTACGTGGTCTTTATAATGCCTCTGACATTGTAGCATGAGAGTGATCATAGATAATATTTAAATGAATGGCCAAGACTGTGTTCCAAAAAAAAAACTTTCTTTACTACACAGGTGGTGGCCCTAGGGCCGTAGGTTGCTGGCCCCTGTTCTGAACCACCGAGAGATACCAGTTCACATGTCCTCAGTTCAGCAATGTGGGGAGAGATGATCGGCTGGATGATGCTATTTTACAGACACCCAGGACCTACAGCGTGTTCCAAATGTCTACATCAATAAGTACTTTGAGAGGGTTCATATGAAGTTTCCAGGAAGGATTCTTTCCCAAGTTGTGGAAAGGGTGCATTTCATGACTGAAAGAGGGAGCCCCCTCCCTCACCACACCCTGTGCCCCAGCTCAGCTGAACAGCTTGATTTTCCCCAAACACAGCGCCATTCTTTGCACTAGGCATTCCTACAGGATCTTTCCTTTTTATCTAAACCCTCAGGGACAGGGGCTGTGTCTCATTCGTCTTTATAATACCAGCATGCAACACTCTGCATGATACATATTAGACACTCAGTAAAACACGTGGAATCAATGGCTTGCTTATCGGCTGACTGGTATACAGTCTGTTTCTTCTGCATCCCCTGCCTTAGCTCCCTCCCCATACCACAACTCAAACACAAGCTCCGTGAGAGCTGTGAATCTGGCTACTTCATTTATAAGACTGAGTCTTCAGTGCCCAGATAACAGCCTGGCACACTGTAAGTGTTCAGTAAATCTTTGTTGAATCAGTCAATGACTGAAGAATTCCTACAACCTCACCCAGCAAGATTTGGACTGGGCTTCCAATGCTGGGCCCCAGGTTAGACGTGTGTTCCTTGTGTTTCAAGCAACATGTGGATATTTCTACCATAGCACCTACAGCACTTTGGTTTGTTGTTGTCTTGAGAACAAAAACAAAGGCTTTTTTCTCCTGTATTCCTTATGGCACATAAGGGGTATTCAGTACATGTTTACGGAATGAGTAAATGAATGATTTAAAGCGTATTTATGACTTTTTGGAAGTCACTCACTCTGCATCCCCAGTGCAGACATTGAGGGTTAAGATTTTGTTATTCTCAGCCGGGCACAGAGCCTCACGTCTGTAATCCCAGCGCTTTGGGAGGCCGAGGCAGGTGGATCACTTGAGGTCAGGAGTTCGGACCAGCCTGGCCAACATGGCGAAACCCCATCTCTACTAAAAATACAAAAATTATCCAGGCATGGTGGCACACACCAGTAATCCCAGCTACTCGGGAGGCTGAGGCAGGAGAATCAGTTGAACCAAGAGGGAGAGGTTGCAGTAAGCCAAGATCATGCCAGTGTACTCCAGCCTGGGCCACAGAGCAAGCCTCCATCTGAAAAAAAAAAAAAAGAAGATTTTGTTTTTCTCTACTTGTGACTGAGATGGTGAGACCACAAGGCAGGGCACTGTGAGCAAGGGTCCAGATTTGGACACCCAGGGAGTTCCTGAACTTTAACTCTGGGAGGGGAGTGTGAGAACACTGGGTTCCTCTCGGTTGTTGGCAGAGTTGGGGTAAAAAGAGAACTAATGCACCCATTAAAAACTCTATCCTGACCCCCAAAATGGAACTCATCCATTTTATTTTTTCCACCAAGCTCTAGCACATACCAACAATTAAAAGGTATTACAGTGTGGGGAAATCTGGGGATGCCCAGCTCCACCTACAAAAGCACCCTGTCATCAGCCCAGAGGGCCATGTTAGCATCCTGGGAGGTTCTCCTGGGCAGCAGCCAGCATGTTGCCTGGCAAAGGCTCCACAGAGACGAAATGGCTTCTCACAAACCCTGCCTCTCTATGATGACTTCCACCTCCTCACCTGCTGCACCTGGGTCCCCACCCTAAGAATCCTAGAAGCTGAGGAGGTCGTTCTCCATCCAGCCTCCGGGACACTCCGCAGGCACATGACGGTCAGATTTATGTTTTAAAAAGTGTCCCCTGGCTGCTGATTGCATTGGAGGTGAGCCAGAGTGACTCGGGAGACTTCACAGAAGACCAGAAGAGAGATGATGGTTGGACTAGAGTGACGGGGCTATGGCTTGGCTGTGTCTCCACTGAAATCTCATCTCAAATTGTAGCTTCCATAATTCCCTTGCATTGTGGGAGGGACACAGTGGGAGACAATTGAATCATGGAGGCAGTTTCCCCCATACTGTTCTCCTGGTAGTGAATAAGTCTCAAGAGATCTGATGATTTTATAAGAAGAAACCCCGGCCGGGCACGGTGGCTCACGCCTGTAATCCCAGCACTTTGGGAGGCCCAGGCAGGCGGATCACGAGCTCAAGAGATAGAGAACATCCTGGCTAACACAGTGAAACCCCGTCTCCACTAAAAATACAAAAAAATTAGCCAGGCGTGGTGGGGGCACCTGAGACTTCAGGGGATTGTTGGGAAGGCAAGATTGGTTTTGAAATGTGAGGACATGAGATTTGGGAGGGGTCAGAAGTGGAATGATATGATTTGGCTCTGTCCCCACCAAAATCTCATCTCAAATTGTAGCTTGCATAATTGCCTTGTGTTGTGGGAGGGACCCAGTGGGAGACAATTGAATCATGGAGGCAGTTTCCCCCATACTGTTCTCATGGTAGTGTATAAGTCTCATGAGATCTGATGATTTTATAAGAGGAAACCCCTTTCACTTGGCTCTCACTCTTCTCTTGTCTGCTGCCATGTGAGACATGCCTTTCACCTTCCGCCATGATTGTGAGGCCTCCCCAGACAAGTGGAACTGTGAATCTGTTAAACCTCTTGCTTTTGTAAATTGCTCAGTCTCAGGTATGTCTTTATCAGCAGCATGAAAGTGGCTAAGAGAAAAAGGAAAGATATTACAGATCTATTTTAGAGGTGGAATTGACAGGACTCAGTTTGGGACAAGACGCCAAGGATGAGAGCAAAGAAGAGGACATAAGTGCCTGGGAGGATGGTACTAAGTCTGGAATGCTGAAGATGAAAGCACATTTACCAAAGAAGATGAAGTTTTAGGCTGGGTGGAGTGGCTCACGTCTGTGGTTCCAACACTTTAGGAGGTCAAGGCACTTCAAGACCAGCCTGGGCAACATAGCAACATCCTGTCTCAATTTATGAAAAAGAAAAAGAAAGGATTATGTTTTAACTCCCATGTAACAAACCTACACGTGTACACCTCAATCTAAAAATGTTTTTAAAGAGAAAAAATAACAAATTGTGGTGTAGATATGGAGAAATGGAGCCCTTATACACTCTAGGTGGGTATATACACGAATCTAGCCATTATGGAAAACAGTATGGAGATGCCTCAAAAAATTAAAAGTAGAAGTGGCATATGACCCAGAAATCTCACTGCTGGGTATGTATCCAAAGAAAATGGATATGTCAAAGGGAAATATGCACTCCCATGTTGACTGCAGCATTATTTGTAATAGCCAAGACACAGAATCATCCTAAGTGTCCATCAACACATGAGTGGATAAAGAAAATGCAGTATATACACATAATGGAATAATATTTTGTCATTAAAAAGCATGAAATCCTGTCATTTGCAGCAACACGATCAACCTAAAGGACATTAAGTGAAATAAGGCACAGAAAGACAAAATCACCCATTTGTGAAATCTAAAAAAGTTGATCATGTGTAATGGCCAGGTGTGGTGGCTCACGCCTGTAATCCCAGCACTTTGGGAGGCCGAGGCAGGCAGATTACCTGAGTCGGGAGTTCGAGACCAGCCTGGCCAACATGGTAAAACCCCGTCTTTACTAAAAGTACAAAAATTAGCCGGACATGGTGGTGGGCACCTGTAATCCCAGCTACTCAGGAGGCTGAGGCAGGAGAATTGCTTGAACCTGGAAGGTGGAGGTTGCAGTAAGCCAAGATCCCGCCACTGCACTGGGAAACAGAGCAAGACTCCATCTCAAGAAAAAAAAAAGGCGATCTCATAGAAGTAAAGAGCAGAATAGTGGCTACTAGAGGCTGGGGAGGAATGGGGAGAGATTGGTTGCATGCAAAATTACAGCTAGATAGGAGGAGTAAGTTCTGGTGTCCTATTGCACACTGCAGTGACTATATTTAACAATATTGTAGTGTATACTACAAAATATCTAAAAGGGAAGCTATTTAGTATTCTCATCAATTTGAGGTGATGGATATGCTAAATACCCTGATTTGATCATTACACAACTTATCCCATAAATCTATGCAATTCTTATGTATAAATTAAAAATAAAACTTTTACAAAATATATAATATCTTTTTATTTTGAGACGGAGTCTCGCTCTGTCACCCAGATGGAGTGAGCGTGATCTCAGCTCACTGCAACCTCCGCCTCCTGGGTTCACACCATTCTCCTGCCTCAGCCTCCCGAGTAGCTGGGACTACAGTAGCCTGCCACCATGCCCGGCTAATTTTTTGTATTTCTAGTAGAGGCGGGGTTTCACCGTGTTAGCCAGGATGGTCTCGATCTACTGACCTCATGATCCGCCGGCCTCAGCCTCCCAAAGTGCTGGGATTACAGGCATGAGCCACCACACCCTGCCTCATGATTTCTTATAAGTAAAAAACACACAAAAAAGGAGAGACCAGAGAATTGAATCCAGCCATCTAAATGGACATTGAACCCACTCAGCATGACAGAGTCAAGAATAAGACTTTGAGACAAGTGTGAACGTTTTCTTGAAAAAGTGAGGATCCAGGAGGTCTGAAAGGACAAGCCAGGGACATGGTGGCTCATAGCACAAGTTTCTGAGACACAGCCCCTGTCCCTGAGGGGTTAGATAAAAAGCAAACAGCCTGTAGGAAGGCCTAATGCAAAGAATGGCGCTGTGTTTGGGGAAAATCAAGCTGCTTAGTTGAGCTGGGGCACAGGGTGTGGTGAGGGAGGGGGCTCCCTCTTTCAGTCGTGAAATGCACCCTTTCCACAACTTGGGAAGGAATCCTTCCTGGAAACTTCATATGAACCCTCTCAAAGTACTTATTGATGTAGACATTTGGAACATGCTGTAGGTCCTGGGTGTCTGTAAAATAGCATCATCCAGCCGATCATCTCTCCCCACATTGCTGAACTGAGGACATGTGAACTGGTATCTCTCGGTGGTTCAGAACAGGGGCCAGCAACCTACGGCCCTAGGGCCACCACCTGTGTAGTAAAGAAAGTTTTTTTGGAACACAGTCTTGGCCATTCATTTAAATATTATCTATGATCACTCTCATGCTACAATGTCAGAGGCATTATAAAGACCACGTAGCCCAAAAACCTGTCTGGGCCTGTAAGAAAAAGCTGCCAACCCCTGGTCTAGGCGCTCTGCTTACCTGAAATACAAACCAATAATGAGTTTCTGACACACCAAGTTCAATTCCCTCCCTCCCTTCCTTCCTTCCTTCTTCCTTTTCTTTCTTCCTTCCCTTCCTCCCTTCCTCTTCCCTTCCTCCCTTCCCCTTCTCACTCTCTCTCTCCTTCTCACTCTCTCTCTCTTTCTCTCTCTCTCTTCCTTCCTTGTTTTCTTACCTAACCCACATTCCCAGAAAATGATGTGAATAAAGACAAGTGTTGGACCTCAATGTGTCAAAGTTAAACTACAACTAGGATCTGCCTTCTGAGGTATGGCAAGAAACAAATTGGTTAATGTTTGCAAAATGCCAGGACATTCTTGAATAAAAGGCCCTATATAAGTTCAAAGTATTTACAATTATTATGATTATTATTATAATTTATGAGATGTCATAAATCTCTCCAAAATAGGATGAGATGAACACTTTTAACAAGAGAACAGGACTCTATATAAATCGCTGTGGGCTCACCACCTCTAAGGAGGAGCACTGACTGAAGACAGGTGAGTGTGAAGCAGAGGCATGGATCTTACACTCGGGCTTATTGAGGATGAAAATCCAGTGTATGGTGATCAGTTGGCAATGATTGTGTCTCTGCTGCATAAGAAATATTGGACTCAGGCGAAACTTAAGGACCTTGCAAAGAAAACCCAAGTTTGAAAAGATTTGTAGATGATAGAATAATTTTTCCTGTTCATTACAACACTCATCAAAATTTAGATATCTTTTAATGCAAGTATGTCATTACTTTTGGATTTGTGAGCATGTGCAAATCGAATAATGGGAGAAAAGAAATGTGTGTGCACTTAACTGTAGCTGTAAT